>NC_000014.9:104459716-104762716 GCF_000001405.40 Homo sapiens
GAACTAATTTACACTCCCAAAATAGGAGTGTAAATTAAAGACAGTGTGGTTGGAAGGAACAAAAATGCACCCAAAACCTGTGTGAGGAAAAGTAAAACTTTATTGGCAGACACAAAAGAAACTTTCTGAGTAAATGGAGAGACATGTTCTTCTTGAATGAGAAAATTAACATTGTAAAGATGTCAACGGTCTCCCAAAGTGATCCAGATGTGCCGTGGAATCCCAGTCAAACTGCAGTTGCATCTTTTATGGAATTTGACACACTGACTGAAATTCACCTGGAAAAGAACATGCTTAGTAAACATGGTTTCCTGGGGGCGGGGCGGGGGGAGGGGGCAGAGGGGAGGGAACAATGAAAATTGGTCCCGCAGACAAGGTTCAAGTTAGAGATCCCAGAAAGAAGCAGATGTACCTCCGTGCAGTGAGGTACACTGGAGCAGGCACATCCCACGGAAAGGGCAGGGTGGACGATGGAAAACAGGCTGGAAAACAGGCTGCCAGGGGACAAAATCAACGCAGATTTCCAAGTCACAAACACAGGCAAATTCTGTGGATTAAAGAAAGACATCTAAAGATCTACAAACACAAATAAAAAGAATGCTTGATTTCACTGGAAATCAAAGATGTTGATGAGAGTAATAATGAGAAATTGTTTTTCACCCATAAAATTGGGGGTGGGGAGATAAGGATTAGACTTTCTAACAATGACAAAAGTGTAAGAAAAACAGGTAATTGGCTGCGCGGCTGGTGGTGAATACTTTTTACAACCTTCTCAGAAAACAATATGGAAATGTCCACCATGAAGGAGCAGAGAAAGCCTGTTTGAGGCCTCCGCTGTAGCTGGGGACGCCTGCCTGAACACAGAAGAATCATCCATATCCATGCTAGTTGCAGTTTGGTAATAGAAAAAAAAAAAAGAATCAGAAGGGGAAGAAAAGAGAAGCACCTTAATTCTTCGCCGGCAGAGGAGAGCTCCTTACACAGCAGCATCGCCCACAGGACAGAAGCCTCTGCAGCCATCAAAGAAAATGAGGTCGAACTAAGTGGGCCAATGTAGAAAGCTCCCGGGACATCGTGTTAAATGTAAAAAGCAAGTTGCAGACAACGCATGAAATATGTATGATTCCATTTGTGAAAAAGCAGCATCGCTAGACAAAACTGTGTATTTTATTTCGTATGTACACACGTGTGCAGGTCCATGTAAAGAAAGCAGTCCAGACGGTGGGGCGGGGTTGGATATGAAGCCAGCCCTGCTTTGTGTCTAGATACCCTGGCATGCTTGGAGCCCCCCAGGCCCGAGGTCATGTGCTCCTGCCATAATTTAAACAAATGCCTTAACAGCAAAAAGAAATTAGAATAGTCAGCTGGACGTGGTCTGGAGTGCAAGACGAAGGGGCGGTGCGGAGAGAAGGGAGGCGACCTGACCAGGCAGTGTCTTAGGGACCGGAGAGGAGTGAGGCCCACGGCGGTCCTGGGGAGCGGCCCACCTAGAGCTTGTCGCCAGTGAACAGGGAGCCGTGGCGAGAGGGACGGGGAAACCCAAGAGACCGTGGGGTGGGGGGAAAGCCAGGGAAGCCCCAGGCTTCTAGGAAGGGCCTGGCGCGGAGTCAGTGGGGAGGAGCAGGAGGCCGGCGTGGCCTTGGACAAGAGGCTCGGCGGCGCGGGGGAGCCCCAGGACCCGGGGAGCTGCGGAGGGAAGAGGAGGAGCAGAGCGTGGCTGGAAAGGCGGTGGGACAGGGAGGGGTAAGCTGTGCGGCCGCCTTGTCCCCTACGGAGAGGAGCCCTGGGAGCTGCGGGAAGAGCCGGGAGAGAGAAGAGGCTGTGGGCGGGGGACATGGTGGGGGGGTGGACGGGGGACATGGGGGGGTGGACAGGGGACAAGGGGGGTGGACGGGGGACGGGGCGGGGCGGGGGCGGGGCGGGGGGGTGGGCGGGGGAGGGGCGGGGCGGGAGGGCGAGGGCTGTCTCTCCCTCAGGACTGGGGTTAGCGAGGCCGGGCTGCGTGCTCAGGAGCCGAGGCAGAGAAGTCGTGGCTGCGCAGAGGGAGGCGGTGCTCTCCTCGCGGGGTCTGGGGTCCCGCAGCGCCTGGGGCGGGAGCAGTGAGCAAGCGTGGGTGGGAGCCGCGGTCTGGGTCCCTGCGCCCTCCCGGCTGCCCGGACAGCAGGTGCACCCGGGGGGCCTCGGCGCATTTCCAGGGCGAATGAGTCCAGGGCCCTCGGCCTGCAGGCTAAGCAGCGAGGACAGCGGCAGGGGGGCTCCGTGGCACGGCCTGGGGGGTCACCGCGCACGCCTAGGCCCCGGGAGCTCGGAGACGCAGCAGCCGTCGCGCGGGGCTAACAAGGCACTCCAGGCGCCTGCGCCACCGACACGGAGAAGGGCGAGCTGCGGAGCGCGGGGTGCGGACGGCCACGCCCCTCCCGCCACGGCCACCCCGAGCCCAGGCTGCCAGGGCGGCATCCCCAGCAGGAGACCCGCGCAGCAGCCCCTCCAGCCCCCACAGGAGAGGGCAACAGACCGCGCTGGGTTTCTGCCGGTTAGATGCTCAGATGCTTTGTTACCGCGGCACGAACTACCCCCACCCCGACTGTGCGTGGGTGCCGGAGCCTTTGTCCATAAGGATCCGTGTGGGCAGTGGCTTAAGGTGGCTTAGGGTTCCCCAGAGACACAGAACCAGCAGGACACACACAGTCCCGCCTGCATCTCAGTGATTGCAAGCGCTGACCTCACACACACTGTCTATATCCCATAAGATTATAACGCAGCAGAAAGCCTCCAGGGTTTAGTGACATCTTGATGGTCCTGATCCTAGGCTGATGTGTGTGTTCATGCCTTACTTGTTAACAAAAAAGTTTAAAAAGTAAAAATTTTTTTAAAAATTAATAGGGAAAAGCTTATAGAATAAAGATCTTTAAAAAACATTTTTGTACAGCTGTACTTGTTTGTGTTTTAAGTTATTACAAGAGTCAAAACGTTAAAAAATTACAAAGTGTATAAAATAAAAAGGTACAGTAAGATAAGATTAATTTATTATTAAAGATAGAAAAAAGTGTTAATACATTCAGTGTTTATAAAGTCTACAGTAGTGTACACTAATGTCCTCAGCCTTCTCAGTCACCTACACTCACTCATGACTCACCCAGAGCCTCTTTCAGTCCTGCAACCTCCATTCATGGGAACAGCCCTGCGCCAGTGTGCCATTTTTAATCATCTATGCCCTGTTTTTATGGTACCTTCTCTATATTTAGATACGCCATTACTTGCCATTGTGTCAAAGCTGCCTCCCGTGTTCAGTACAAGTGACACTCTGTACAGGTTAGTAGCCTAGGAGCCATAGGCTGCACCCTGCGGCCCGGGCATGTGGCAGGTTGTACCGTCTCGGTTTGTCAGTGACCTCTGTGATGCTTGCAGAGGACGAAATCGCCTAACCACACGTTTCTCAGAACACATCCTCATTATGAAGCAACACTTGACTGCGTGTCTGTGTGCTGCGTGTGTGTGTATACATGAAGAGATTTATTACAGAAATTGACCCACAAGATTATAGAGGCCAAGAGGTCTGAAGCCCAAAGAGCTGCTGCCTGTAAGCTGGAACACCAGGAAGGCCAGTGGTGTGGCTCTGTCTGAGTCTGAAGCCAGAGAAAGAGCATCACTGAGGTCTGGGGGCAGGAGAAGGTGGCTGCCCCAGCTCAAGAGGAGATGGAGGATGTGCCCTGACTCCACCCTTCTGTTCTACCCGGGCCTTGGGTGGGTGTGATGATGCTGGCACATATTGGTGAGGGCAGATCATCTTCACCAGTTCAAATGCTAATCTCCTCTGGAGACATCCTCACATCGACAAAGAATGCTTACCAGCTACCTGGGCTTCCCTTAGCCCAGTCAATTTGATGCATGAAATTAACCCCACGAGTCCACCCTTTGTCAACTTAGCATCCATACAAATCTTCAACTATATTTAGTCTCCAATAAATACAATCCGATCACAGTCCTGCCTAATCTGATACAACTATCGTACATACAACCAAAAACACACTAATTCCTTCCCCAAAAGAGCTGGTCAAGTCCTTGAGTGATAGTCACTTTTCTCCTGATGTCCCGTAACATAAAAACCAAGATGTAAAATTAACAGCGTTTAAATACTGATACGAAGTTGTTACATTTTATGCTACATGCTAAGGAGATAACAGAGAAAACAAATATATTTGGTTAATATATGTATATATTCACACAAACATATAAGTTACAAAACGAGGAGGACATTCTGACAATGACAGTCCTTATTTCTCCCACCAGCCATGTAGTTGTCACTGGTATTAATAACCCCCTTCTTCCACCACCCAATCCATATCCCTTTGCCCTTAGCAAGCGCCGCAGCTGGCCATGGTTCTTTACTGGTGGACTGACCCAAAACCTTCATTCTTGAAGGGTCTGAGCCAATAGAGGTCCTGCCTGAATTGTATTATTGTGGTTTCCAGTGACTTTAATCACAGAGCATGGCAGTGCCAAGACATGCCTGAGGATCTCCTGTCTCCCAGACACACTGTTCCTTCCCTCCATGGAGGAGTGCAGTCCAATTTCCCCTCAGTATTCCAATCAATCACCCCAGCCAGCGCCTTTATTCCCCTCTCAGCCTGCTGACTCTTGAGGCTTGAGGGTCCCAAAATGGCATACTAACTTTCTTTCTTTTTTTTTTTTTTTTGAGACAGAGTCTCACTCTGTCACCCAGGCTGGAATGCAGTGGTGCGATCTCTGCTCACTGCAAGCTCCACCTCCCAGGTTCACGCCATTCTCCTGACTCAGCCTCCCGAGTAGCTGGGACGACAGGTGCCTGCCACCACACCCGGCTAATTTTTTGTATTTTTAGTAGACACGGGGTTTCACCATGTTAGCCAGGATGGTCTCGATCTCCTGACCTCGTGATCCACCCGCCTTGGCCTCCCAAAGTGCTGGGATTACAGGCATGAGCCACCATGCCCAGCCCTAACTTTCAATTCAATGGGATCACTGTTGTGCCTCCTGGTTGAAGCATTTCTGCCTCTGGAACTAAGACCCATAGGCCAGCAGAATACAAAGTTGCAGGGAGCACCTGGTCCCAGCCCTGCAAGGTATTGCCATCTAGTTGGTAATTGACCTTCAAAAGGCCATCGCATCATTCTATCACACCAGCTGCTTCAGGATGCAACATGAGCATCGTTGCACTTCTTTGGCTGTGAAGTGAGTTCCTCGGTGAGAAGCAGTGCGAGGTGGAACACCGTGACAGTGGGTAAGGCATCCTGTGAGTCCATGGATGGTGGTTTTTCCAGTAAGGACAAACCTCTGCCCCTTCCATGCTGGGGACCATGCAATGTTATCAACCTGCCCCAGGTAGCTGGCTGATCGCCTGGGAATGGTGCCATATCAAGGGCTTGGTGTTGGTCTCCGCTGCTGGCAGATTGGGCAGTCAGCAGTGTCCGGAGCCAGTTAGGCCTTGGTGAATGGGAGTCCATGTTTCTGAGCCCATGTACTACCTCCATCCCTGCCACCATGCCTGCTTACTTTATGAGCTCATTGGGCCATGACAGGGGTGGCTTGGCAAGAGGCTGACCAGTGTCCACAGAAGGAGTCATTCTGTCCACTTGATTCCTAAAACCCTCCTCTGCTATGGTCATTCATTGCTGACCATTCACATGGGACAGACATATCTTCATGATTTTTGCCCATTCTAAGAGGGCTATCCACATATCTTTTCCCCCAAATATCTTCTTCACCAATTTTTCCAATCCTTCTTTCCATGTTCCTGACCATCCAGCATAAACACTGAGCACGGCCCGTGAATTAGTCCATCACTGCACAACTGCCCACTGCTCCTTCCAAGCAAAGTGCACAGCCAGGTGCATTGCCCACAGCTCTGCCCAGGAGGACTTCCCTTCCCCACTGTCCTCCAGGGATGTCCCAGGAAGGAGCTGTAGTTCTGCAGCATCCACTTTCAGATGGTGCCTGCATATGGGGCAGAGCCATCTGTAAACCAGGCCTGAATTATCTCTTACTCTGTCAAATGATCATGGGGAGCTCCCCCACGAGGCCACAGGCACAGGCTGGGAGAGAGGATCTCAGCTGAGAAAGGCAGTGGAGCAGGGGTGGGGACCGTGGGCACTTTGGCCCTTTCATGTAACCTACTTGAGCATTCAGGGTCTGGTTGGACCCAATCACATACGTACCACTTCCATTTGATGACAGAGTGTTGCTATGCATACCTAACCATGTGGCTTGGTGGGTCAGATAACACCCTCTGACACACAGACGTCTCACCAATAAATGTAGAGTAGTTGCTACTTCTTGCTCACTAAGTCCAATCCGCACAATGTCATCAATGTAATGCACCAGTGTGGCATCCCATGGGAAAAGCAACCAAGATTCCTGCAGACTAAATTATAATGTAAGGCTAGAGAGTTGATGGGACACTGTCCCTGAGATGGGACAGTGAATGTGTATTGCTGGCCTTGCCAGCTGAAAGAAAACTGCTTCTGGCTGGCCTTCTGGACAGGGATGGACAAAAGGCATTTGCTGGATCAATAGCCGTGTACCAGGTAACAGAGGATGTGTTAATTTGCTCAAGCAATGAAACCACATCTGGTACAGCAGCTGCAATTGGAGTCACCACCTGGTTAAGCTTGTGGTATTTCAGTCACTCTCCAAGATCCATCTGTGTTCCTTACAGGCCAAATCGGAGAGTCGAGTGGGAATGTGGTGAGAATCGCCAGCCCTGCACCTTGCAAGTTCCCGATGGTGGCATGATCTCCACAGTCCTTCCAGGAATATGGGATTGTTTTTGACTTATAGCAGTCACCACTTATCCCTGGTTTCACTTTCCACATTTTAAGTGACCTGTTGCACAGTACAAGATATTTTGAGAGAGAGAAATCACATTCGCAGAGCTTTTATTGCAGCATATTCTTCTAATTGTTTGATTTTATTATTGTTGCTAATCTCCTACGGTGCCAAATTTATAAATTAAACTTTATCATTGGTATGTAAGTATAGGAAGAAACATAGTATATATAGTGTTTGGTGGTTTATATGTCCATGGTGTCAGGCATCCACTGGGGTCTTAGAACATATTGCCTGCAGATAAAGGGGGACTACTGTATTATTTTCCTAAGCAGTTGCAATGGCTTCTACTTGGTCTTCTTCACTGTAATAGTCCTTACTCCACAGGTCAGGGACCCAATGTGTAGATGCTACCAGCTCCTCAATTACGTCTCTTCCGATTATGCATTCTGGAATGGGGAAATAACTACAGGATGGGTTTGGGGACCCACTGGGCCCACTGTAAAATGAACCTGAGCTAAAACTCCATTGATCATTGAGCTCCATAAGCCCCTACTCTGCCTGGATGGCCACAGAGACCTTTTCAATCTTCTGGAGTCAATGTCAGTGCAGAGCCAGAGTTCAGCAGTCCCTGAAAGGTCTGAGTATTTCCTTTTCCCCAGTGCACAGTCACCTGGTAAAACGTAAGGTAGGTCCCTTTGGGAAAGGCTGGGGAAAAGATTAAGAGTATACATTTCGGGGAATTTACAGAGTTGTTTCCCAGGGGGACACTGTCGTCCCTTCATTCGCTGGTTCTGAGTCTGTAGATTGGCTCAGGTCTGAGAATTGGTTGAGGGGCCATGACTCTGTGCTTTGAGAGTCATGATTTTATTATTTGAGTTAGACTTTTGTTTTTAGAGACTGGATATCATTACGTCATCCAGGCTAGAGTGCAGTGATGTGTTCATAGCTCACTGCAGCCTCAAACTCCCAGGCTCAACAGATGCCCCTGCCTCAACCTCCTGAGTAACTGGGACCACAGGCATGTGCCACTATGCCCAGATTCGACTTAGACTTTTGTTCACTTGACCTAAAACTTTCCTGCTTATACAGATCATGTAAGGATTTAGTAGGCTTCTGATCAAATTCCTTTCCAGGAGCCCCATGATAACGGGCCAGAGCCATGAGTCTCATGAGCCAGGTTGTTCTGATTGCTGCTGTGCCACTCCTGCCCATTGCTATGCCTGCACCCACCTTGCCTGTGGGATCCCCCACCACAGGATCCAGTTGCTCCCCTTGCACTTAGGTCTCCAGCTGAGTGGCTGTGGTTCCCACCATAAGGTCTGACTTACAGGGACGAGTTATGGCGGAGCTCTTCAAGGAAGCTGGGACCCCCTCACACAGTTCTTTCTCGAGGTGTTGGTGAAAGGCCAGTCTTCCAGATCCCCGCGTGTGGGCAACTAGGTCTGAAATGACAAACCCACTCTAACACACCAGCTTCCCTGAGCCCTTTAAACCCCCTCTACATTAAACCGGGGAGTTTGGATCTTTCCAGTTTGCTCACGGCAGGGCAGACTATCTTTTGACCCCTGTTCCGCCATCCAACCAAACTGAGCCCTTTCTAACTCGTTGACCTGCAACATTAAATCCAGAATCATTGCTTACTGAGCCCATATCAATAAATTTGGCCTGATCCAACTTTATGTTCCTTCCACTACCATCCCACACCCTTAATATTCATTCCCATCCATGTTCCCTGGATTTCTGCTCGTATAAATTAGAAAACCCATGTTGTTCTTTTGGAGAGCAGCATACCTTCTCATGGGTCACAGTTTGTCCCTCACCTTCAGGGCCTACTGGGGTTTGGGTCTAGTTATAGGGCTAGAGGCAAAGAGGGGCGGTGAGGGTGGGTCCTGAAAATAATCAGCATTGTCCTGCTTGGCCACCACCTCAGAGGAAGATATTACTCAGGATGCGGGGGACTCCTTCAAGTCAGGTGGAAAGGCTACACCACTGTTGGCAGGGATGCTCCTGCCACCAGGGATGTGAAGGCCACTTTTTTTGAGCGTGGGGGGACCTCTTCCACTGGCAAATAATAAACATCAGAACTTAGGGGCTTGATACCCCCAGCTTCATCAGGGTCTTCCCACATGTCCCCATTGCAACTTACAGTATCCCGTTCTTTCCCAGTCAATTTCCCCACTCAAGAGTAGACATTCCAGGAGGCTGGGAGCTCAACTTGCATTGTATTAATAATTTGGCCAATTGCAGGATGAGGTCCTGAGTTTGATTTTCAGAAACTTCAGCCCTGTGGTTGTATGAGATAAGGCTCCTGGGGCAAACATAGAAACTCTTAGGTCATTTTTGTGGCTCTTGAGCTGGGAATTTGAATCCCTGAGCTCATCTTTTTCTTTTACCACTTTGTCCAATGACATTAGAAGCAACCAATGTCATTATATTCCTCAGTTTTCCTAAAATGTTCAAAAGTATCATATACAGAGTCATGTAGCTCCTCGCTTCTTACAAGTAGTTTATTAGAAGGATCCAATGCAGATATTTTGCATATCTCTATAGTTTGTGCCATGGATGATCAGTGCTCTCTTTACTACCGGAAATACAGTCATTAGTGTCTTTACATATAGTTGGATTAAAGAGCCAATTCCAGAAACTCCAGAAAGAATTCAGAAAACTCGTCCTCAAAATTCTGGTCCTCTAGATCCACTCTTGGTACCAAAATCTATATTATTCAGAGTTCTACAAAAAACAGAATTAATAGAATATGAACATATATATGTATATATATATATACATATATATGAGGAGATTTATTATAGGAATCAACTTATGTAGTTATGGAAGCCAAGAAGTCCCACAATCTGCCATCTGCAAGCTGGAGAACCAGGGAAGTCAGTGGTGTTATTCAATCTGAGTCCAAAGACCAGAGAATCAGAGGCACCAATGGTCGAGGGCAGGAGAAGATGGATGTCCCAGCTAAAGAAGAAAGTGAGTTCACCCTTCCTCAGGCTTTTCGCTCTACTCAGGCCCTCCTTGGATTAAGTGATGCTTGCTCACTTTGATGAGGGCAGGTCTGTACTCAGTCCACTGACTCAAATGTTAATCTCTTCCAGAGACACCTTCAAAGACACATCCAGAAATGTTTTATCAACTATCTAGGCATCCCTCAGTGCAGTCAAGTTGACACCTAAAATTAACCACCACAAGCAGGGAAGATGGTGTGGGAGGTGAGATGTGTGTCTGTGAGCAGAAGCCGGGTGGGTCTCTGCATGAACATGTAGATACGGGTGCAAGCATGTGGGAGCTGCTGGTGGCAAAACTCAACAGAAGCAACTCGTATTTAGGAAGCGAATCAAGCGTCCCATCCTTTGAGCCCCATGACATTTCATGATCGGGAACAATAACAGACTCTTAGAGCAAGATGTATAATAAAAAGCTAAATTTTCAAGTATGGTTTTTGGAAGAATGTGACTTCTGAATTTTAACAAAAAGCAGAAACAAACACTTTCTTTCACACTTAAGAATTGTCTGCCAGGCTTCTGGAGGCACCTGGGCCATGTGGGTTCACTGTGGTCATTCAGGGAATGGATGGACAATGGTGAGTTTCTGGAGCACGGACATGACCTTTGGGGTAGAGGGAGGGCTCCAACACCAAGGCCCCCAGCACACATTTCACGAGGAAAAATGACCATCAACTCTGCTGAAACTGAGAAGGGAATTTTTTCTAATTAGAGGCTTCACATTAAGCATGCATTGGCTTCATCTGGAGTGTGCAGTACAGAATGATTCTCTTCCCCATTCCTCACCAAGAACAGTAATTAGAATGCAAGGTCATCTCCATATAATGCATTATGACTTTAATATCAGTAAACTCCCCTTACGTGTTAGATGCAGTGAGGAAATAGTAGTTAAATTATCACAGACTAGTATGATCAGTTTCCGCTAGGATAAAATGTGATAAATGGGTTTTAATAAACTGAGGAGAATTATAGGCACCATCTTCTTGGTTGCTGTCAATTTTATTTAGAGTAAAATGCCATTGCGATAATTAGTTGGTTTTTACTGTGTTCATTAAAAGCTTTTCTAATGACCGCTTGAGGAATAAGTAAAATTAATTTCTTTCTTGAACGTCGAAGGAATTAATCAAACAAACAAAAAGCAAACTTCAGGGATTGTGCGAGACGGGATGAGGGCCGGTGGTTTTCCGTGCCCGCTGTGGGGACAGCACTTTCCCGCCGTCTGTCGTTGGTGTTGCAGCTCCAGGCCATTCCCCCGAGCTGTGCTGATGGAGAGGGATGCAAGCCCCGGGGCAGAGGCCTTGGCCGTCCTTCTCAGGTGCCATTGAGCTGTGACTCCCAGGCCGCCTCCTCCAGGCAGCTTTCCTTGACTGCTCCAACTTCAGGGCTCTCTTCTGCCTGGCCCACACACTTGAGCTAGGGCTCCTCAGTCTCAGAGGCTGAGGCCAGGTTCTCTCTCTGCCTGTGGCCCCTTGGAGTCCAGCACAGGGCTAGGCACTCTAGAGGGCTCAAGGGCTTGAGCCTGAGATCCTGGCCTGTCTCCTCTTGGACAGGACTCCTTGGGCCTCCTGGCCACTACCCTATGTCCCAGCCCCTGCAGTGCTTGCCCAAGCTCAGCCTTTGTTCAGCACACCAGCCCTGTGAACCACACTGTCCCTGGAGGGACTGAGGGATGTCCAGGGGTCATTGGTGGCATAAAGGATGGAGCCACTGAAACGCAGTGGGTGGATGCAGGAAGAGGAGGGCTGCCCAGCAAGGCCACACCTGGCCTGGCTCGGAGGATGCCAGGAGGAGTCTCCAGCAGGCAGGCGTGGCCAGAGGGGCCGCGGGGTAGCCAGATGGAGTCTTTGTGCTGACCCCACAGTCCACAGGGAGGAGCAGAAAAGTGGGTGAGGCCTGCGGAGATGCCATCACCTGGCTGGGGGTACTCAGTGGCGAAGGGAGAGACAAAGCCAGACACCGCTCTGGCTAGTGGGAAGAGCAATGGTCCTTCTGACCTCCTGTGCCAGGTACAGCACTAGCACGGGCCTGAGAACCTGGCTGGTGAGCACATCCACCTGCACCTGTACCCATCCCCACTCCCCACACACGCCACACACACACACACACACACACATGCTCATCACACACACACCGCCACCTGCACCCATCAGCACTCTCCACACACATCACACACACACTCATCACACACACCCATCGCACACACCACACACACACTCATCACACACATGCTTATCACACACACTCACACACCACACATACATTCATCACACTCACACACACACCACATGCTTATCACACACATGCTCATAATACACACACCTCCACCTGCACCAGTCCCCACTCCCCACACACATCACACACACCATTGCACACACACCACACACCCACTCACACACACCACACACACGTTCATCACAGACACACACACACCAAACACATGCTTATCACAAACTTGCTCATCACACACACACACCCCTCCACCTGCACCCATCCCCATTCCCCACACATCACACACACACTCATCACACACACCCATTGCACACACACCACCCAATCACACACACACATCCACCTGCACCCATCAGCACTCCCCACACATCACACACACACTCATCACCCACACTCATCACAGACACACCACACACACTCATCACACACATGCTCATCACACACACTCATCACACACCACACACATTCTCATCATACACACTCATCACACTCATTACACACACACTTATCACACACATCACACATATGCTCATCAGACATGCTCATTACACACTCATCACACACACCACACACACACAAACTCATCACACGTACACCTGCACACAGCCACACACACAGGCCCATCACACAGACACCATGCACCACACACACACTCATCACACATACACACAAACCCAACCACCTCACACACCCATTCCCCCATCACACTCACACCCCCACCTCTGCTGGATGGAGCCCCACCATCCTTCAACGCCCAGTTGACAGCTCATCGTCCTTGACGCTTCCCCACCCCACCGTGGCCTACTCTGCGCCCCACCACACTTCCCTCTCCCGCCCACAAGGACCTCGGTAATGTCGCCCCTAAAACTGCTGCGGAACCTGCAGCCGGCTGTGACGCAGAATTGGCATCCCAGCTCGGCCCCTGCACACCCGACGCCCGGAGGGGTGCCTTAGTCCTGAGACTCTCCTGGTTCTTCTCCCTCTCCAGTGAGGTGAGAAGGTCAATCCGGCCCTGTGGGGTATGTTGAGGGTTAAGTGAGACCCTCGTGCTCATGAAGAGGCCAGGCAGGTCCTCTGCGAGTGCCACAGCCCCAGGCTTGTGCAGCCAGCTCACGGAGGCCTCCCAGGCCCTGAACACACACAGGACAGGGCTTTCTTGCATTATCACCTGAGTGACACTGCTAGGGGGCTGCTCTCTGGATGTCACTGCGGCCGGGTGCCGGGACAGCCGGCTGCTTGACTCCAGGACTTAGAGCTTGACTTGGCCTTTTAAGCCTCTGTCTCAGTGCCCTCGGGTCCCTTCCGCCCCCTCTGTGGCTCACCTACCTGTCCCTCGGCCTCTGGGGTGGGCTGGCAGGGCTTGTTCTGGGACCCAGGTGGGGTGGCAGCAGTGGCTGTCATGGTGCAGCACCAGCTTCCCGGAGTGCCCGGTCTGGGGATCCCCAGCGAAGGCACCGAAGCTCTCTTCTTGGCTCCCGGGCCTGTGAGGCCCAGCCAGCTCCACCCCAGCCCCTCCCACCCCAAGCCTCACAAGGAACCCCCACCTGGCAGCTCAAGCCCAGCCCCCTTTCCTGGGGTCCTGGGAGTTCCCACCACCACCTTGTGGCAATCAAGGGTAATGTGTGGGCTGCTGGGCCCTTGGTCCCTGTCAGGGTCACTCAGAGAGGCCCGGGTGGACATGAAAGTTCAAGTCTAAGCCGCATCCAAGCCAAGACTCAGGAACAAGCAGGGACCCTGGCTGTAGCGCCCCCAACTCAGGAGCAGCTCTCCGGCTTCTCATTCCCCTGGCTCTTTCTGGCTGAGGGGGCTTCTCTGTGTAACTCGGCCAGGTCCTCTTTCCAGCCTTTTTATTCTTCCTGCAGTCAGAGGCAGGGGCAGAGGGGGCCTCTGGTGCCAGCTCTGAGGCCTCTCTTGAAGCCCAGCCTGAAGGTGGCTGACCCCACCCGCTGCCACCCCCACCCTGAGATGGGGGCTTAGCGCCTTTGTCTTGGTGGCTTGCCCTGCTGGGACCCCTTCCTCTAATCTCAGAATGGCCGACCCCTCGCCTCCCTCACGGCGCCATTTCAGAGCTACATTCTCAGGCAGACCCCCGACCTGGCGCTCCTAGTTCGCCCACCCACCTGTGCTGCGTGTTCCCAGGCGTCCGCCACCTGCAGCAGGCCACCCGGTCACGTCTCCCTCCTGGCGCGCTTTCATCCTCGAGCCCCTTCTGGCCCCATCCTCCAGCTCCCGCCGTGTTGCTCAGAGCAGCTCACGGTGGGCACGCGGCGACTCTGAGGAATGGGCGTTCCCACAGCTCCCCGGCTTCCGTGACGGCCACGACCGGCTCTGCAGGGCAAGCTGGCCTCTGCAATCACCGCGCAGCGGCCCCTCACAAGTAGCATTTTTGCACTTGGCAGTCTACACGCTTTTTCATTTTAAAAGGAGTTTGTCCCTGGTGTTTGAGAAATATGCCCAAGAACACAGCCCTTCTCAGAGAGTCTGGATTCTAACAAGGAAAGCTCTTGGTTACACAGGGGAGTCCACGGTGGTGCAATGTCGGCTGAGGCATGGCCAGCGCAGGGCAGGAGCTGGGGGACTGGCGCCTCTGAGGACAGGGAGACACTCATCGGAGCAGCAGCACGCTGCTTGCACCTATAGAGGCCGCGGGCTCGGCAGAGCTGCCCTCACGATACTGGTGATTTCGGGAGCTCTCTCTAGAGGGCCGGGAGATACTGCAGCCTCAGAAGTGGCTGCCAGGAGTGGCTCTGGCAGATTTAGACGGTGATTTAGTCGGTGATCCTGCTGCCGTCCGTGTTCATTCTCCAGCAGAAGCCACACCTCACTCTCCCCTTAGAGCGAGGGAGAGATATGCTCAATTAAGCTGGGGGCAAATGGCGTCTGCACAGCCAGATCCAGGGGCCAGGAGGATGGGGGACTGCCCGGGAGGAGTCTCCACGCCATGTGAGTCAATCAGGGAACCCTAATTGGAAAGCAGTAATAAAAAGTAATTGAGTTTAATACATAATTTAGATCGTTACCCGTTAAGCTAATGCCTCCCGCTTAGGTGTGGGGAGAAAATTATTTATCTCGTAGACGGGGAAGATTTCATTTGTTTTTATAATGGAATGCTCGCCAATTGACTTTAATAAGAGCAGTTTGTTAAATCAGATTTTGAATTGGTGCATAGATTTGAAGTTCATATGTTAATATTTGACATGATATACTTAGCGCCTCCCTTCTCCCCTTAAAGTGGCTGGATTTATTCTCCCGTGAGGCTGTGCGCTCATTGTTGTCCTACATTATGGAAATTAAATCGGTTCTCTCTGGTGTCTTGATGGGAGGCAATTTGGCTCCTGACTTCTACCTTTTTTTTTTTTTTTAAATTAAAAAAGGGACATTAAAGAGTCTCTGCTTGCTTCTTTGCAGGGCCTTTTTCCTCTTGAAAACAGTCCCAGGGCTGCAAACAAATGCTTTGCTTAAATACCAGAAAGGAACTTACTAACAACTCCTTACTTGGGTCCAGCCATCTGCCATTCCTTAGCCGTTTGATTTTCTCAGCAATCCTATGAAGTCAAGCGGCCACTAGGAACCCGGCTCCTGCGTGTGCACATCGAGGCCTGGGGCCTGGTCCCCACCCGTAGGTGGGCGCCAGCCTGGCAGTGGAGACCAGGCTTTTCACACCCGCAAGGCAGGGCCGCCTGGGCCTGGACCCAAGCTCCTCTGGCCAGCCTATTGATGGAGACTCTGGGACTCAGTTTCCCTATCAACAGAAGAGGGATAAGATACTGAGTACCTCAGAGGGGATTTTAGGATGGAAGGAGGTGCTGCCTGCCCGGGGCACGGAACACAGCCAGTACCAAGAGCTTAACTGTGAGCACTGCAACTACCCCAGTGGAGTGGCTCCCGGACCCCTCCCCAAACCAGCTCCCCCGACCCCAACAGCCGTACCACGAGGCAGATAGCATCTGACCGAGAGGGCCCCACCCTCACATCTGCCTCTCACCAGCTGTGGGGCCTCAGGTGGGCGTCCCTGTGCTCCAGGCCTCAGCATCCTCGGCTATGAAACAGGCTGCTGAGGCCTCCCTAGGGCACCCAGTG
Source organism: Homo sapiens (assembly GCF_000001405.40). Taxonomy (NCBI): domain Eukaryota; kingdom Metazoa; phylum Chordata; class Mammalia; order Primates; family Hominidae; genus Homo; species Homo sapiens. Next base: position 104,475,844 of record NC_000014.9, read on the forward strand.
TCCCTGTCAAGGGCAGAGGGGATCTTGCTGACAGGCTACAGGAGACCACCCCAGGAGCCAGGGGTTTGCACGGTCTCCTCTCGGGGCAGCCGTCCAGGCAGAACCTCAGCCCCCAGATGGCAGGATCGGGGCGAAAGCTAAGTCATCAGGACCCCAGGTCTGGAGGCCGTCCCTGCCCGGTTCCTGCAGCAGCCTCAGTGGCAGGTGCTGGGGAAAGCCCTAGTGCCGGCAGCCTTTACCTCGGGTCCCCCTGGACTCCCAACCCCTCCAGCTCCAGCCTCTGTGTCCCACAGAGACCCCCCAGCGCATTGCAGAGAGAGCTTTCCACAGCCCCAGCTGCACCCCCACTTCCAACTTGCCTCTGGAAACAGCCATGAATGGCAGGGGAGGGCACCAGAAGGAAGGCCTTTAGGGAGAACGAACACAGGTCTCCACTCTCAGAAACAGGAGTCTCCACAGAGCCCCCAAGGGACCCTGGGACACCCTGGAAGTGTCCACTGCACACTGGAGCCACCTCAAGAGCCATGGGGCTTGGAGCCCCACGGTCCTGGAGAAGCTCTCCCCGGTGGAACATCGGAATAAATGTGTGTAGCTGTGAAACCCCACTTTACATAAAATCAGAAAGAAAGCCTGTGTAAAACAGATTTCTAAGTACCCAAGGCCTGAGACACAAGCCTCTCCTGCTGAGCACCTGTGCAGCCTCTTCCTGCCCTTCTCGCCTCCAAGCCGGCGCAGCTCCTTCTAAAACACCTTGGTGCACCCAGGGTGCCCAGAGGAAGGTGGGAGCCCATGGCAGCCATGTGGACGGGAGCGAGCCCCTCCACCAGCATGCTGGGAGGCAGACGGTCGGGGAAGGGGTGCCCTGCCACTCTGCTGCGGAAGAATCTGTTGCCGTGGAAGCATCCAGAGCAACAAGGAGGAGATGACTTTGTACCCCAGGAAGTGGGGCTCTCTGCCCAGGGACGAGTGAGCTCATGTGCAAGGAGGGCCCTTAGGACTGAGGCACCTGGGGTGGGGGTGCCAATCCCGGTCCTGCCCCCAAGGGCACTCGGCATGGATGCCCTCAGCAAACTCTCCTCAAGACCAGGCACAGGGCGAGGCACCTTAGGACTGAGGCACCTGGGGTGGGGGTGCCAATCCCGGTCCTGCCCCCAAGGGCACTCGGCATGGATGCCCTCAGCAAACTCTCCTCAAGACCAGGCACAGGGCGAGGCACCTTAGGACTGAGGCACCTGGGGTGGGGTGCAAATCCCGGTCCTGCCCCTAAGGGCACTCGGCATGGATGCCCTCAGCAAACTCTCCTCAAGACCAGGCACAGGGCAAGGCAGGGCCTGTCCTGGAGCTCCCAGGCTGGGCAGTAGGGACGGCCAGGGCGAGGGGCCCTGGTGTGAAAGTCCAGGTGGGAACCGCCCTAATCGCTCCCCCGTCCCAGACCTGAAGCTGCCCCTGGGGCTGAGGAGCCTCACTCTGTCCCTGGGCCAGGGTCCTGGGCTCCCCCGCCTGTGGAGCAAGAGCCGCAGGGCAGGGATGGGCAAGCACCAGCACCCACGGCTGCGGCCGCAGTCCAGCCACCTCAGAGTCCCCAGGCCTTCACCCAGCCTCGCAAGCCCCGTTGCCCACACCTGGGTTCATGGATTTGAGCCAAGCTCACCCATCTGCCCAGTGGCTTTGGATTTGAGAGCGTCCATGGCTCCCCCTACGCCCAAGCCATGCCTCATAGTCCCCTGGGGTGGGCTGAAGGTCTCTGATGGAAACCTGCTCTCACTGTATGGAGCACAGGCCCTGGCCCACTGAGACACCCAAACAGAGTCACTCAGTGGTTCAGAAACAGGGTGGGCAGGACTCCCAGGTGCAGGGGCAGTGGGGATTCTGAGCCCTCCGGGAAGGGGTGTTGGAATCATTAGAGTGAATGAGGGAGGGGATTGTGTGGTTGTTGGAGGGCAGCCACCCAGCAGGACTTTCTAGGAGGAGGAAACAGTTTCTTTCTTGGCTCCCCGTATGGTGCCACATGGGCCATGTGCACCTGGCGCGTGGCTGGCACCCAGCGTCAGTTCCTTTCATTCACTTCCCTTTAAGCAGCTCCGTGGACGAGCAGCCACTGTCCTGGACTCACACAAAGTCTCAGCCGGCGTGTGAAAGCCTGGGGGGAGCTCAGCCCCTCCACTCAGAGGCGGCGGCCGTGGCCACTGCCCCGAACAAAAGGAAGAGCTTGTTTACAAATTGTCCATTGAAAATTGAGTTGCAAACATCGGCATCAGGCCTCGCCTGCCAGGCCACCCGGATTGGAGAGTAATTTATGAAGATTGCTTTACCTGGGGCCGTGCTGGTCTGTGCCTGCAAGTAATTCACACCAGGCTCATTTTGGATGCAGTCAAAGACCCCCGTATTTCACGGTGACAACGTAATCACAGAACCACATTAAAAAGTCATTATTGTTTAGAATCCAGCTTGGTTTGAAAAACTCTTACTATAAAATTCAACAGCCTTTGTAAATTACCGAAAGGTTTACTCAAGAATCCTAGGTGCCGTGATTTAGACCGGGAAGTTACCACTTTATTGATTCTGTGGGATTTTGTTGGTCCCCGCATTTATAAGGAATGATTAGTGAGTGATCAGAGTAATAAACTCCTCTGTGCTGGTTCATAAATAATGATGAATTGAGTTTGCATCCTCAAATTTCTCATGCAAACCACTCCTATTCCGAAGAGTCCCAGATGCAACTTTGGGGCAGTGTGGCCGTTAGCCCCCACGGGGACAGAACACAGGGGGATCTGGCTTCTCCGCTTGCCTCTTCATAGGATCCCAGCAGGCCTGGCCACTGCATCCCAGGATAGCAGCCGTGGAGCCGGACTCCATTTCCCCCCAGCTCGAGGGGTGCTGGGGGCCACTGGCAGAGCTCCTGCAGATGCAGATGCTCCTCTGCCTCCATCATGGCAGTCCAGGGAGCAGATGTGTGTCTGCACAAGCCCTCGTCACTCACACATGGTTGAACAGGCAGGACGTGGCCAATTCCTTGTCAGTTTTGTCCTGAGAGGCAGAAAGCTTGCCCCTGGCGGCCTTGAAATGAGGGGCTCATTTGGGGCTCCTGAAAGCTGAAACTCCAACCCAGGAAGTGCCCCAGAGCCAGGCAATCCTGACACACTCACTCTCCTTCCACACTGGGAGACAGCAGCTCTGCTCTGCCCACCGGCCCAGCTGGCTTCCAGCCAGGTTCTGCCCTCTGAGGCCCTGAAACTACACTTGTCCCTTTTTAGAAGTTGTCAATGCCCACCAGTGCCCAGGAGACTCTAGGAAGGACTGCAGTGAAATGCTCAATGTGTTTAATCCATGTTTCCCACTGGCCCAGCCATGCCTTTGACCCACAGGACAGCAGCCATGGGTGTGCTTGGGAAAACCACCATGATGGGTCCAGGCAAGAGCACCAGCCTGAGCATGGGTCACGCTAACGTGGGTGGCTCAATTAAGGAACAGGGATGGACTTCTTGTTCTGTGGCCCCCACACGCTCCTGCTTCATCCGGTGGCCATTTCTGGGTGAGGCCTGTTCCCCCACATCTCCGCAGTGGGTCCCTCTGCCCAGGCTGCTGCCAGCTCCCACCTCCCTCGGTGCCCAGCGTGAGGCTGGGGCACAGTGGAAGGTCTGTGAACCTGTATTAAGCAAAATAGAAACTAAATGTGGACTTGAACTGGACTGAAATGAAATTGAGTTAGACTGAATGAAAATGGATTGGAATGGAATGGAATTCGGATTTGAACTGAATGGAATTGAATTGGAAGTGGACTAAAATGGAATTGAACTCTAATCTAAACACCAGTCAGGCAGGAGAGATGGACGGGCTGAGCCAGGGGAGCTGCCCTCACCCCACCTGCCCCCTGCCCTGGGGAACCCTCTGGTCAATACTGCTAATAGGAACTGAAAATTAAAGAAAATGATGCTGATGGATTTCCTTTAATATGCACAGACGCAGCTCAAAGAGAGTGTTTCTGGAAAAGCAGTAACAGAGCCTGCAGAGGTCACGAGGCACCTGGACCAAACCCTGAGATGCTCCCAGGAACAGCACTTGAGTTGTGCAGTTTAAATTCGAAGCGCTGTCCACCTTCAGCAAGCACCTGAGCCACAGAAGAGGCCCCCAGAAGCCGTCTCCAGCAGACAGGAATGAGGAGGCACTGCACACGGGCAGGGTGCATGCGGGCCTGCAGTCTGAGGAACACACCTGACGTGGGGCAGCAAGGATTTTCCACCACAGGGTCACTCTGTCTGTTCAGGGTCCCAAGGGCACCGAGAACACCAAAGACTTCAAGGGCCTGACATCAAACACTGCTCTAAGGGGTGAGCAGACACCTGCCAGGAGCAGAGGGAGGGCCCCCTGGAGAGCAAGAGGACTCAGCCTTCCAGCACTGGCCGAGACGTGGAGCTGCGAGGTCACTCACCAAATAACACAACAGCCTCTAGAAGTGGGAACGGCCCTAAGCTGACAGCAGCAAGAACACAGAGACCTCAGTCCTGCAACCTTAAAGAACTCAGTCCTGGTCACAGCCCTTGTCACCAGTGGGATCTGGTCTTATTTTTACAGGAAATAAACATGGTCTATGAGAATGTTACCAGGTCCATGCCCTTCACCCAGCACCCTTCGGCCTGCTTCTCCTGCACATGAGAACATTGTTTTAATCAGCACCACACCATCAGCATGTTCGGGAGACTTACAGGACCCCATTCTGGCATCTCTCAGGGCATGGTGTTGGTCAAGAAGGTGTTTCCGGAGCAAAGCGTGCCCTGCTGACCCCCAGGCAGGTGGCATTCTCTGCTTCAGGGACTGTCTTCATTCTCCTGTGTCTTTCGGGCTGGATGGGCGGTCCAATGTCCACTCCACATTTCCCCAATTTCAAGTTCTTTCCTGCATTGAGGGGGAGAAGCCAGGAAGGACCCCCAGGCCCTGTCCCCTAGATGGCTCCAGTGAGGTTGGCAACAGGAGGAGTAAGGTGAAATTTGGAAGGTGGCGGGGGGACCCAGGGCCTTTTCACCAGCTGGTGGCTTCTCCGGCTTTTCCACCCACTCCCCCGTCACCACTACTGATGGCGACTCGAGATTTGTGGTAGTTTCCTGGGTAACCCCTGAGGACCCCTGCCATAGTGATTCAGGCTGGGCCCATCTGGGCTTTCTTTCCAGCCCCTCCTACCTCACCTCCCTGTGCTGGACCCTCTGCTCTACTGCTTGGAGCCCTCCATTTCCCAGCCCCACCCAAACCCATCCATGCTTGAATTCTTTTCTGCTCTATTTCTTGTTGTTCTTCTTTCATTTTTCTTTTTCTTTTCTTTGGAGGCAGAAACAAAAAGATCCCTCTTCTCCCTAAATGCCTGTATCTCTACTCTCCTCCGCTTTCTCTGTGGCTCAGAGGCCACTCCATGGCATAAGGTTGCCATTCTGATGTTTCCCAAAGCTTGAGGCTGCCTTTCCTGGCTGGGCTTCCCACTCCCCAGGAAGCTCACTCTCTACCCATGGCTCCCCCACATGTCTGGGTGGCCCTGACGTCCTTGCTCCAATACCCATGGAGATCACCTTTTCTAGCTCTGGCGAGAGCTCCAGGTCCACACCTTGGCTGGAGCGGACCGGAGCCTCCTCTCAACCCCCAGCCAAGTGGGCACCTTTCTCTTTCCAGACCTGCCAAGCCCCCCGCAGCCAGTGCTGCATCGGCCACTCCCACTGCCAGCAACAAGCTGGGCAGGCTCTGAGCACCGCCCCTGCTGCCCCGGGTCCTGGGTCCACCCCTACAGAGCAAGCCCACCCGTCCAGTCCCCACCGTACCACCAGGCACAGCCCTCCACAGCCCTCAGCAGCACAATCTGAAAGCTTCTGGATTTGCTCTTCCTGGCTGTTTGCCTCTCTCCCCATGGGGAGGCTATCAGGGGAACCCACCCCCAATATTTCAACGTAGGTTCTTTCTATTTTCCCTACGTTTTGGCTGGCTGAGAAATAAAAAGAAAGAGTACAAAGAGAGGAATTTTACAGCTGGGCCTCTGGGGGTGACATCACATATCGGTAGGACCATGATGTCCTCCTGAGCTGCAAAGGTTTTTATTAAGGACTTTCAAAGGGGAGGGGGTGTACGAACAGGGAGTAGGTAACAAAGATCACATGCATCAAAGGGCAAAAAGGAGAACAAAGATCACATGCTTCTGAGGCCAATAAAGATCACGAGGCAAAGGGTAAAGCAAAGATCACAAGGCAAAGAGCGAAATCAAAATCTCCTGATAAGGGTCGATGTTCAGCTGTGCACGTATTGTCTTGATAAACATCTTAAACAACAGAAAACAGGATTCGAGAGCAGAGAACCAGTCTGACCTCAAATTCACCAGGGTGGGTTTTTTCCCCCACCCTACTAAGCCTGAGGGTACTGCAGGAGACCAGGGCATATTTCAGTCCTTATCTCAACTGCATAAGACAGATACTCCCAGAGCGGCCGTTTATAGACCTCCCCCCAGGAATGCATTCCTTTCCCAGGGTCTTAATTATTAATATTCCTTGCTAGGAAAAGAATTCAGCGATATCTTCCCTACTTGCATGTCCGTTTGTAGGCTCTTATAGGCTCTCTGCAAGAAGAAAAATATGGCTCTATTCTGCCTGACCCCGCAGGCAGTCAGACCTTATGGTTGTCTTCCTTTGTTCCCCAAAATCGCTGTCATTCTGTTCTTTTTCAAGGTGCACTGATTTCATATTGTTCAAACACACATGTTTTACAATCAATTTGTATAGTTTAACACAATAGTGGTCCTGAGGTGACGTACATTCTCAGTTTACCAAGATAACAGGATTAAGAGATTAAAGTAAAGACAGGCACAAGAAATAAAAGTATTAATTTTGGGAACTGATAAATGTCCATATTAAAATGAAATCTTTACAATTTATGTTCAGAGATTGCAGTAAAGACAGGCGTAAGAAATTTATAAAAGTATCAATTTTGGAAACTGATATATGTCCATATTAAAATGAAATCTGCACAATTTATATTCCTTTGCCACAGCTCCAGCCAGTCCCTCCATTCAGGGTCCCTGACTTTCTGCAACAGACACAACTCTCTGAGTCCCCAGGACCTGACTCTCACAGTGCTCAGTGATTATTTGTTGAATGAATAAATGTCCTTGACACCACCTCCAGCAGTCTCCCCTGCTTGCTTCTGAGACGGTTTCTCTCTTTCACACCTGTCCTGACTCCACTGGCTCGCTTTCCCACCCTATTCTGCGACCCTAGCATCTTTCGTTTTCTTGTATTTCTTCTTAGGTTTTGTTTTTCTTCATGATCTGTGTTCTTTGCTCCAGTGTTTTATTATGGGATAGTTCCAACATTGAGAACAAATTACGTAGGATAATATGAACTGAACCCACCACCTGGGCATGACAAATATTAGCATTCTGCCATATTTGCTTTAGGTAATCATTTTTAGAAGTAAAGCATTATGAATAGAGCCCTGGTATATCATTCAGCAATCACATTTTCCTCTCTCCTCCACAGCCTTCTCAATCATGTTTGATATCTTTACCACAATCTATCCTGCTGTTTAGTAAAGATATGTTTTAATACTTTACACAAATCGTACCCCACGGTGCTTATAATGTGTGCCACTTGTTTCTTTTTTAACTCAACATTGCATTTTCAGGTTGGTCTGCATCTGTGCAGGACCAACTGTTGCAGATGCCTCTGTCTTACTAATTTCTGTGAGTTCTCTACACACGCTGGATGATGAACACTGGTCTGTCATGTGTATAACAGACCAACTACTGGATAGTACTTTGTACACATATGCCATGGATGTATAGCCTGTGCTCACTCGCCAGCCTTCATTGTTTTGATGGGTCACTGTCATAAGGGGGGCAGCAGCCCACATTCCTGGGGAACCTTTCTTGTGCAAACATGCAACATGGTCCCTAGTCTAGGAGAGAGGGACTTTGCCAGGTGGAGGGACATGCCTGGTTCCAGCTTCACTAGGAGTAGCCAAATGGCTCTTTGAAAGGTGGAGCCAATGAACCTTCCCTTCAGCATGGGCTAAGCGCTCCCTCGCCCACTGCCAGCTTTTTTACTCTTAGATCCCTAATCTTTGTTAATCTGATGACTGTAAAACAAAAGGTTACTTTAATTTGCATTTTCCTGGTAACTGGGGAGAGTCTGCATCTTTTCACGGTCATTGCATGTCTCATTTCCTTTTCTGTTAATTGTGAGTTTGTATCATTCGCCTGGTTTTCACTGAGTTCATTACACAGTAAACATGCATATGTAAGCACATATATCTTTACTGAAACAACAGGATACATTGTAGTAAAGATTTCAAACATGATTGATAAGACTGTCAAGGAGAGAAGAAAATGGGACTGGTAGATGACATACCAGGGCTCCACTTTATTCATAAATGTTTCACTTCTCTTTGTCTCATTGATTTGTGTGAGCTCTTTATATGAGATGGATAATCATCGTCTGCCTGTTATGTTTATAGCAAACATTTCCTCCTGAGTGTGGCCGGTCTTTTGACTTTCAGCTTTGTTTATGGCATCTTTTGTTGTATAGAAGCTATTAATCATAACATAGTCAACTTTATCAAATTTCAGTTTTATGGGGTTTACGTTTGTATGTCTTACTTGAGAAACTTTTCTGGGCCAGGCGCAGTGGCTCACACCTGTAATTCCACCTCTTTGGGACGCTGAGGCAGGTGGATCACTTGAAGTCAGGAGTTCAAGACCAGCCTGGCCAATATGGTGAAACCCGTCTCTACTAAAAATACAAAAATTAGCCTGGTGTGGTGGTGTGTGCCTGTAATCCCAGCTACTCAGGAGGCTGAGGCAGGAGAATCACTTGAACCTGGGAAGTGGAGGTTGCAGTGTGCCACTGCATTCCAGCCTGGGCAACAGAGCAAGACTCCATCTCAAAAAAAAAAAAAAAAAGAAAGGAACTTTTCTGTATTTTGACATCATAAAGCTATTTCACTGTAGTTTATTCTAAATGTTTTAAAGTTTTGCATTTCGTATGTAGGACTTTAACCCATCTGAGCTTTATTACCGGTGCAGTGTTAGATAATAATGTGAATATTTTACCTTTCTATCAGTGGCATTTGACCAACAAACCCCCATTCCTGTTGACGTATGGATCCCTGTGGTGCACAGCAGGTTTCCACTCCGTGCAGGTCTGCTTTTGCCTTTCTGTTCTGTTCTGCTGATCTGTTTATTCTTGAATAGTCTTTATCAAAACTAGAGGAAATCGCTGGCTATTTGTTAGAGAAAACATCTCTACCCTCTGCTTCTTCTTCAAACCTGTCTTCACCATCTTTGGTCCTTTGCTATTCCATGTGAAGGAATAATCCACCTTATCAGGTGCCAGGAGAAAATGCTGCTAGGATTTGAATGAAATTGCATTTAATTTATTGATTATTTTACAGGAAAACAGAACATTTGAAACTGAGTTTTTGCATTCATGATGTAGCCTTCCAATTAGTTAAATCTTTGTCTATAGCCCTTAATAAAATTGTATTAGTTTCTCATTTAAGATGTCCCACATCTTTATTATACTTATTTCTAAATACCTCAGTGTTTTATTGCTATTGCGAATGGTGTGTTTTTTCTATTACAGTCTCCAATTAGTGTTGGCTATTGCATAGCCATGCTGTGGACTTTTATATCTTCTTATATTAAACCTCATTAGCTCTCATTGTAAATTCTTAGAAAATTTTATGCAGAAAGTTATATTGTCTACCCCAAAAATATGAAAATGTATGTCTCCTCCTTTCCAATCCTCACTCCTCTTTTTCCATCTTGGCCTGTAACATTGGCTAGATCATCAGACCATGCTGAGTGATGGCTATGAGAGAGTCAACTCCCTGTTTTCCACTTTAATGGGACTGCATCTGGAGTTTCGCGGGAAGCTTGAGGCTTGCTGCAGGCTGGCCGTGGTGGCCTTTTATCAGGCGAAGGTCGTCCTTGTAGCTTTTGTTATCTACGAGCCTCTGCTGGGAAGGAGGGTGAAATAAATGTGGGTTACATCCTCTGAGATGACCATAGCTTCTCTCCTGAGACCTGCTGATGAGGCTGATGATAAAAGTGGATTGCCTAGCGATACTTTATGCTTATGTTCCCAGGACAAAGCTTGCTTGGTCATAATTGATTCTGCAGCCAGTTGCCCATCCTCACCCCTGGTGTGGCCAGCCAGGCTGGCGGTGTGCCCACCCTCTGCTGACCACTGGCTCTTGCTGATGACCCCCACCCCCACATATACACATAGCTCAATGGACAAAAAATTCTAGGAAGAGACTGGAGCCATTATCCAGGTATCTATTACCAAAGAGCCTCCCATAGTGGGGTAGTTCCATCAAAAGTAGTAACCGACCCAGGGAATAGGTGGATGTATTTCTCTCCAGAGCAAAAAGGTTGATGCATACACATCTGTTCTACCAAATAGGCAATCTGGTGACTGTTGGGCTAGGGATCTGAGGGCCTCTCTGGGTTCTCCAAGTGCATTCTCTCCCAATGCCGGGATGCAGGGCCTGCCTCCTCTGAGTGGCTGTCATCCGCTCTGTCTCTAGGACGATGCACCCACAGCACCATCAGCCCAGCACAGCACCCACCGCATTCCTTGCTGCCCTCCGACGGCTCAGGTGTCCCAGACGTTGGGTGCAGTCTAGCAATGGGGTGGCAGGGCCGTGACTGGACTCCTGGCATCTCTTATGTTAGATTTCTTTCCTCTGCTCAATGCCCCCCACCCCGAAAGGAAAAGATGTGTTCCAGGGCAGAGGATGCGAGTTGAATTCACCCATTGAAGTTAGGGGTACCGTTGACAGGGGCAGCGGTCAGACACAGCCATGGGTCAGCAGTGCATAAAAACGATTTGGGAGTCATGAGGCTGAGGATGGCATCTGACACCACGGGAGCATGTCTGACTCACTCACACGCCCGCCATGGGGCTGAGGGTGAGCTGATGAAGGAAGAAAGGAAAGAGGAGCTGGCAGATAAATTGGTTTTAAAATGACTTACAATGTTGTGATTCATTGGTTACTCCCTGGGCCTCCCCTCGCCTGCTCCTGACACTGGGACTCACCGTGGAGGTGTCTGGACCGTGCTCCGGGGGGCAGCTTCAAGCATCCCCAGGTGTCTCCTTCAGCCATTCTCATTACTCTGCTCCAGTGGTCTCTGACCGGTCACTGCTGTGGGAGAGAAAAGCTATCCCTTTATGTCACTTCGTTGCAGAATTTGTGACTCGCAAAATATTAACTGACTGATGTTTAGAGACACGTCGTCCTTGGCAGAACTGGAGGAACAACTTCCCTTGAAAAGCTTCAGAGGCAGGTGGCTTTGGCCACCTGGCCCTCCTAGTGGCACTGGTCTCTTTCTTTCAAGTCAAGGGCAGAGACTTGGGGCGTCTGATGCGACTTTCCACTTTAAATCATGGAAGAGGAATGCTGGAAGCACGGCTGTGTCCCTCCCTTCTCAGATCAACCTACCCACCTCTTCTGAAATGGATGCTGGCTCCTGGGTGGACTGAGTCCTCCCTGCTCCAGACAGGGGGCAGTAGAAAGAGGTTGAGAGCAGTAGCAACTTGGAAGACTTACAAGGCTTACTCATAAACATGTAGATTGCCTAGTGATAATGTAGATAAAGGTATCACTAGGCAAACTACATTAGAAATACATATGCCTATGTATATACACCACTCTATGTATATATACATATATTTACATATATACACACATATATATCAGTAAGGATTCGTGAACATTTATTTTTATTTATTATTTTTTTGAGACAGAGTCTCGCTCTGTCACCCAGGCTGGAGTGCAGTGGCATGATCTCGGCCCACTGCAACCTCCACCTCCCAGATTCAAGCGATTCCCCTGCCTGAGCCAACCGATTAGCTGGGACTACAGGCACACACCAGCACACACAGCTAATTTTTTTTCTTTTTTTTTGTATTTTAGTAGAGACTAGGTTTCACTGTGTTGGCCAGGATGGTCTCGATCTCCTATTGTGCACTGCATGTGCTTTATTTTGTTGCTCAGATTATTCCAGCTTTGGCTATTGGGAGCTCTTTCAGTTGGTTCCTGTGTCCCTCTGGCATAATCTCATTCTTGTGGGGGTTTTAAACACTTCTTTACCTCCTGGCACTACACGATGCTCTAGGCCCCTCTTGTATAATCCTTACCCTAGCCCTAGAATCAGCCATTTATCTAAAGATTTCTGATTCCTTTTATTGGAGAGAGACTTTAGAAACCAAGATGTGGGCACTGGGTGCACTTATTGTGACTGGAGTGTCAATGGAAATTCTGGAGATTAAAAGTATAATGATTAAAGCGGAAAATTTACTAGAGAGGTTTGATGGTAGATTTGAATTGGCAGAAGAGATCACCAACTAATTTAATGACAAATCAATACAAAGTATTCAATTTGAAGAAGAGATAGAAAAAAACTAACAGAGCTTCCGTGAAATGTGGAACACCACTAAGCACCCTGACCTGCACATATTGGGAGTGCCAGAGGAGAGGAGAAATAGGAGGAGACAGGAAAAGTACTCAAAGAAATAATGGCTAAAAACTTTCCGAATCTGATGAAAAGTACTAGCCTCACATCCAGGAAGCTCAATATGGCAAGTGGGATAAAAACAAAGAGAAACACACCCAAACACATCATAATCAAAATGTTAGAGACAAACACAAACAGAAAATTTTGAAAGCAGTTGATGACAGAAAAATCCAAATGTTGCCAAAATATATTTAAAGAGGTTTACTCTGGGCCAATATGTTTGACTATGGCCCAGGTTACACAATCTCAAGAGGTCCTGAGAAAGTGTGCCTGAGGTGGTTGGGTTATAGTTTGGTTTTACACATTTCAGGGAGACAGGAATTGCAGGTAAAATAATAAATCAATATGAGAAGGGTGCACATTGGTTTGGCTGGAACAGGCGGGACATCTCAAAGTGGGGGCTTACAAGTCATAGGTGGGTTTAGGGGATTCTTCAGTTGCCAGTTGGTTGAGAGAGTTAAGCTATTGTCTAAGGACTTGAAATCAGTAGAAAAGAATGCCTGAGTTAAGATTAGGGAGTTTTGGAGACCATGTTCTTATTATGTAGATGAAGCCTCATGGGTGGCAGCTCTCAGAGATATGATAGCTGATGAGTGACTCTTTTCAGACTTTAAAGGTGTCAGGCTCTCCCTTAATCTCTCCTGGATCTGAGAAAACCTCCTGGAAGGGAAAATACCTGGTTATATTCATGGAGATTCTCTATAGCTGCAAATTGTCCCCATAAAAGATGGCTTTGCAGGGCCATTTTAATCTGTTGGCACTGTGGCAGCCATTGCAAAGTACATTAAAGAAATATATTTTGTGGTAAAATATTTTTATTAATATGTCCTTTAGAGTCTGCTATCTGTCATGTGATATTATACCAAAGTCAAGTGGAAAGCAAGCCACATTTTATAAAAACCTGTCTGATGAGATTTTTATGGTTTGTAGAGCATGACTCCCCAGTCCCCTTAGATAGGTATTTGGGCAAGAGAAAAAAGGTCCCCATTTACTCCTCACAGCAAGAGAAAAAAAAAAAGCAATTCATGCAAAGGGACACCAATAAGATTAACAACTAAATTCATTAGAAATAATAGAAGCCAGATGGCAGCGGAATGAAATAGTCAGTGTTGAAAGACAAAACACTGTCAACCAAAAATCTTATTTCCAGCAAAACCATCTTGAAATATAAAGGTGAAATAAAGACATTCCCAGATAAAAACTGAGATAATTTATTGCTAGCAAATCTGCCTTACAAGAAATACTAAAGGAAGTTCTTCAGACTGAAAGCAAGCAACACAAGATAGTAATTCAAATCCACACAAATAAACAAAAGTGTCAGTAAAGGTACTTATATAGATAATTACAAAAGACTGCATAATTGCATACTTTCCCTTTATTTTCTTGCCTTACTTAAAAAGTAATTACATAAAACAATATATGTAATATACAGGTGTATTGTTGGGCCTCAAAATGGCATCAAAAAATGGGGAGAGAATGGAGGAATATAAGGGTAAAGCTATATTTCTCTGGAAATAAGTCAGTATAAATCTGATATATTAAGATATACACTGTAAGCCCTAGGGAAACTGCAAAAAAAAAAAAAAAAAAAACTCAAAATACAATGTAAACATTATTTAAGAAATTAGTGATATCTAGTGTTGCATTAGAAAATATCTACTTAATACAAAGTAAAACAATAAAGGATAAATCATGTAACAAAGATGATAAGAGACCTATAGAAAAAGGTAAAATGTCAGATGTCAATCTAACTATATCAATCATAACATTAAATATGAAAGAATTAAACAATCCAATCAAAAGGCAGAGATTGTCAGACTGAATTTTTAAAAGATCGAGGCGGGGTGGGGTGGCTCACGCCTGTAATCTCAGCACTCTGGGAGGCCGAGGTGGGCAGATCACGAGGTCAGGAGATCAAGACCATCCTGGCTAACATGGTGAAACCCCATCTCTACTAAAAATACAAAAAAATTAGCCAGGCGTGGTGGCACGTGCCTGTAATCCCAGCTACTCGGGAGGCTGAGGCATGAGAATCACTTGCACCTGGGAGGTGGAGGTTGCAGTGAGCTGAGATCACACTGCTGCACTCCAGCCTGGGTGACAGAGTGAGACTCCGTCCAAAAAATAAAAAAATACAAAATAAAAAAAAAGATCAAATTACATGTTGTTTACAAGAGACACATTTTACAAGCAAAGATACAAATGGGTTGAAAGAAAGGGTGGAAAAGAATACACCATGTAAACAACAATTATAAAAGACTTGGAGTGGCTTTCCTATGATCAGACAAAATACGCTTTAAAACAAACAAGTGTCTGGGCATGGTGGCTCACGCCTGTAATCCCAGCACTTTGGGAGGCCGAGGTGGGTGGATCACAAGGTCAGGAGTTCGAGACCAGCCTGGCCAAGATGGTGAAACCCTGTCTCTACTAAAAATACAAAAATTAGCCAGGTGTGGTGGCAGGCACCTGTAACCCCAGCTACTTGGGAGGCCGAGGCAGGAGAATTGCTTGAACCCAGGAGGCGGAGGTTGCAGTGAGCCAAGTTCGCACCATCGCACTCCACCCTGGGCGACAGAGCAAAACTCCATCAAAAAAGAAAAAAACAAAAAAACAAGTAAAAAGGTTACTAGAGATAAAGAGGAACATCTTACAATGATAAAAGGGTTAATTCATAAAGAAGCTAAAACAATTATAAACATATATGCAACTAGCAAGAGAGCCCACAAACATTGGAGATAAAACTGACAGAACTGAAATGGGAAATAGATCATTCAACAATAATAGTTAGGGACTTTAATATCCCACTTTCAATAATGAATAGAGCAACTAAAGCAGAAGACCAATACGGAAATAGAATTGAACACTGGAAACAACTAGACCTAAAAAACACCAATGAATATGCCACCAACAGCTGTAGAATATGCATTCTTCTCAAGTACACGTGGAACGCTCCTTGAGATAGATCATTAAACACAATTGTCTTGTGTTAGACAATTAAGCACATCCCCATAAACTTAAAATATTTAAATGATACAAAATATTTTCTCCACCCACAATGAAATTAAATTAGAAATCAATAATAAAAGCAAATTTAAAATTCACAAATAGTGGGAAATAATATACCTCTAAATAACTAATGTGTCAAAGAGGAAATTTCAAGGGAAATCGGAAGATTCATTTAGATGAATAAAAATGAAAACACAGCATACCAAAACTTGAGATGCAAATAAGCAAATAAAGACGCTCAGAGAAAATTTATACCTGTATCTATATTTTAAAAGAAGAAAGATCTCAAATTAATTACCTAGCCTTCCAATCTCAGAAAGTAGAAAAGCAAGAGTAAACTAAACCCAAAGCAAACAAAAGGAAGGAAATAACCAAGATTAGAGTAGAAATAAAGGAAATAAAGAATATAAAACAATAAAGTCGACAAAACCTAAAGTTTTGTTCTTTTGAACACAGGTTTGGTTCTTTGAATAGATGAACAAAAGTGACAAATCTTTAGCTATACTGGCCAAGAAAAAAAAGAGAGAAGACTCAAGCCACTAAAATCTATAAGATGTCTGATCTTACAGAAATGAAAAGGAGAATAAGGGAATGCTATAAACAACTGTCTGCCACCAAATTAGACAATTTAGATGAAATAGACAAATTCCTGGAGAGAGAAAACTACTGAAACTGGTTCAAGATAAAATAGAAAACCTTAACAGACTTATAACAAGTAAAGAGATAGGATTAGAATTAAAAAAACAAAACAAAACTTCGCATTAAGGAAAGCCCAGGTCCTAGATTCACTGCCAAATTCTACCAAATGTTCATAGAATTAATATCAATCTATAAGTTCAGTATTAACCTGATACAAAAACCTGACAAAGATATCATAAGGAAAAAAAATAACTCTGGTGAATCCTCTTCTGAATAGAGATGGGAAAATTCTTTAAAAAAAAAATACTAGCAAACTAAATCCAGCAACATATAAAAAGGATTATGTACCATGACCAAGTGGAATTTATCCCAGAAGTACAAGGTTAATTTATCATTAAAAAAAATCAATTAATGTAACACACCATATTAATAGAATAAAGGACAAAAATCATATTATCATCTCAATGCAGAAAAAGTACTAAACAAGCAACATTTTTTGTGATAAAAAATTTAACAAACCAGATATAAAAGGGAACTTCCCCAGTCCGATAAAAAGCATGTACACGGCCAGATGCAGTGGCTCACACCTGTAATTCCAGCACTTTGGGAGGCCGAGGTGGGCGGACACGAGGTCAGGAGTTTGAGACCAGCCTGACCAACATGGTGAAACCCTGTCTTTACTAAAAATACAAAAATGAGCCGGGCGTGGTGGCACAAGCCTGTAATCCCAGCTACTCAAGAGGCTGAAGCAGGAGAATTGCTTGAACCCAAGAGACAGAGGTTGCAGTGAGCCAAGATCATGCCACTGCACTCCAGCCTGGGCAACAGAGTGAGACTTTGTCTCAAAAAAAAAAAAACTTACAGCAAACTTCATACTTAATGGTGGAAGAATGAAAGCCTTGCCCTCTACAGTCAGGAATAAGACAAGGATGTCTGCTGTTGCCATTTCTATTTGACATTGTACTGAAGTTTCTAGCCAGGACAATTAGGCAAGAAAATGAAATAAAAGCATTCAGATTAGAAAAGATGTAAAACTATCTCTGTTTGCAAATAATATTATTTTGTATGTTTAAAAAACCCCAAAGAATCCACAAAATAAAAATCATTAGAGCTAATAAGTGGCTTAAACAAATTTGAAGGATACAGGATTAACATATTAAGACAAAAATCAGTGTATTTCTATATACTACGAAAGAATACTCTGAAAATAAAATTAGGAGAAAAATCCGTTACTAATTGCATTCAAAACATAAAATCTTTAAGTATAATTTAAACAAAATAAGTGTAAACCTTGTACACTGAAAACTATAAACATTGTTGAAATAAACTGAAAACAATCAACATTAATGGAGACATAT
The DNA here is from genome assembly GCF_000001405.40 of Homo sapiens. Taxonomy (NCBI): domain Eukaryota; kingdom Metazoa; phylum Chordata; class Mammalia; order Primates; family Hominidae; genus Homo; species Homo sapiens. Next base: position 104,493,394 of record NC_000014.9, read on the forward strand.
CATGTTCATGGGTCAGAAGATTTATTATTGTTAAAATGACAGTACTGCCCAAATCAACCTACAGAGTCATCTCAATCCCTATCAAAATCCCAACTGACTGTTTTATAGAAATTGACAAACTGACTCTAAAATTCATTTGGAAACACAAGGGACTCAGAATAGCAAAGAAAACAAATTGAAAACAAAGAATAAAGTTGAAAGACTCACACTTCCTGATTTCAAAACTTACTACAAAGTGACAGTAATCGAGACAATGTGATACTGTCATGAAGACAGACACACAGATCAATAGAATAGAATTGGGAGTCCAGAAATTAACCTTTTCATTCATAGCCAATTGGTTTTCAACAAGGTGCTGAGACAGTTAAGTGGGGGAAAGAAGAGTCTTTTCAATAAATGGCATTGGGACAGCTATATTTCCACATGCAAAAGAATGAATAACCCCTAATTCATACCATACACAAAAATTAAAACTCAAAATAGATCGTAAACCTCAATGTCTATGAGATAAGAGTTAAAACTACAGAACTCTTAGAAGAAAACATAAAAGTCAATCTTCATGACCTTGGGTTAGGCAATGGTTTCTTAAATAGCACACCAAGAGCACAAACAGAAACATCAACCAAAAATAGATAAACTGGGCCATATCAAAATTTAAACTTTTATGCTACAAATAATACCACCAAGAAAGCAAAAGTAGAACACCATAGAATTGGAGAAAATATTTTCAAGTCATATATCTGCTAGAGGCCTTATATCCACTATATATTTAAAAATTCTTGGCCGGGCACAGTGGCTCATGCCTATAATCCCAGCACTTTGGGAGGCCAAGGCGGGCGGATCACGAGTTCAGGAGATTGAGACCATCCTGGCTAACATGGTGAAACCCCGTCTCTACTAAAAATACAAAAAATTAGCCGGGCGTGGTGGCGGGTGCCTGCAGTCCCAGTTACTCGGGATGCTGAGGCAGGAGAATGGCATGAACCCAGGAGGTGGAGTTTGCAGTGAGCCAGGCTGCACTCCAGCCTGGGTGACAGACAGAGTGAGACTCCATCTCAAAAAAAAAAAAAAAAAATTCTTATAGCTCAATAACAAAAAGACAAAAATACCATTTAAAAGGGGGCAAAGGGCTTAAATAGACATTCCTTCAAAGTAAATATACAAAAGGCCAATAAGCACGTGAAAAGCTGTTCAATATCTTTATTCATCAGGGAGGTAGAAACCAAAACCACAACCAGATTCTACCCCACATCCTGAGGACGTCTAGGATCAAGAAGACAGACAATGACAGCTGCAGACGAGGATATGAAGGAACTGGAAGCTGATGGGGTTGCAACATGCTGTAGCTGCTTTGGAAACAGGTTGGCAATTTCTTATAATGTTAAACATAGATTTACCATATGACCTGGTAATTCCACTCTTAAGTGTATATACCCAAAATAAATGAAAACACATGTCCACAATTTTTATATGCAAATTTTCATAGCAGCACTATTCGTAATAGACAAAAATTGAAATAACTCAAATATTCATCAACCAATAAATGAATAAATAAAATGCATTCTATCAGTACAATGAAATATTATTTGGCAATGAAAAGGAAATGAAATACTGATAAATTCCACAAAATGTTGATAGTGATGAACCTTGAAAACATGCTAAGTGCAAGAAGTCGGTAACAAAGAACCACATATTATAGGATTGCATTTGTAATAAAGTGTCTAAAACAGGCCAATCCATAGAGACAGAAAATGGATTAGAATTTTCTTAGAGCTGGGAAGTGAGCAGAGAGGAATATGAATGACTGTTAATGGATAAAGGGTTTCTTTTATGAGAAACAAAAATGTTCTAAAGTTAGATTATGATGGTGGTTGCACAACCCTGTGAATGGTGAATGTACTAAAGCACATCAATTTGTACACTTTAGGTGACTCATATGGTATGCAAATTATATCTTGATGAAACTGTTTCTTTTTTTAAAAAAAGTCACCAGGTTTAAACAGGTCAAAGCTGGCTTTCTCTATATAATAATACAAATAATTTCAATGTTATTTTGAACATTCTGGGACATGGGAAAAGATGGGAAATTTTAATTGTATAAGTGAAACTTTAATTGTATAATTAAAAGAGAACAGAAAAAGATAACTATAAACTGACTCACAATATATATGTAAAAAGAATCTGAATAAAATATTAGAAAATAGAACCCAGAAATATATTTCTAAAAATCTGCTATGACCAAGTATTATGTGTTGGTTTTCAGGAATGCAAGGGTAGTTCAATACCAAGAAACTAGCTACAAAATTTAGTATATCCATCAACCACATGATCCCATCAATAGACACCGAAAAAGCATTTGAGGAAACTCAGCAATCGGTCCTGCAAAAAAATCTGGAGAAAAGTAATACTAAAAAGAAACTATTAAAAAAGAGATCTCAAATCCCAGCTGCTATTTGTAGGGGAATGGCTCTCCCATGGTGCCCCTACCATGTTGCACATCTCCTTACAGGCCTCCTAGAGGAGGCTTGGCCACAGTCTAAGCTGAGTCCTGGGAATGACTCCTCCTGAAGCAAGGGGAGATTAGGCTGGGGAGGAGTCAGCAAGGGCAGCCCCTGATCCGTGTGAGAATGCCTCCAAGGGTTGCTCATCCATCTCCCCGGTTTCCGTTGAGCACAAAGCTCTTCCTCACCACTCCCCTGTCATGTGGAGCTGCTGGCTTCTGTGTAGTCTGTACAAATGCTTGGCCATAGTTTAGAGAGGACTCCTCAATGGCAGAGTGACCCAACACTCAAGCCGACGATCACCAGACCTTTCTGTTTCAGTCGACCTGTGGATTAGGGGCACCAGGACCTGACACTGCACTGGTTGTGGCTTTGCTGTCTGTGTGAGTAATGAACTGTCTTGAATCCTCTTGGCTGCTCTGTCTTCTTGGCAGCGAGGTCTATGGGAGTGAAACCTGCTGACCTCACTGCCGCTGCCACGCTCCCTTTAGGGATGACTTGGCCACCTGACACAGATAATATCCAAATCATGAAACACCAAACTAATACAATTAAAACCAGAACTTAGCAAGGGAGGTCCACCATTTTTATTTGATATTGCACTGAGGCTTCAAGCAGATGCAAATGGCCAAGAAAATGAAACACATACTTTAAGCGTTGGAAAAGATATAGCTATTAGTTTTCACAACCCAGATATTGTATTTAAAAATTAGAATTAAAAAGAAAATGTGATAGGATGAGATGATGTCATATAATTATGCAGAAACAAATGCACTATCTCTTTTCAAATGATAGGCATCTAGAAACGGAAAGGGGAAGAATCAGTCTGTCCACAACAGTGACAAAACCGTGAGCTACTTAGGGAGCAATGGAACAGGACTCGGGAACTGTGTGCCCAGCATCTGCCCACTGCTGCTCGGAGCCATTTCCTGTCCTGCCCTGCTCCATACTCCAGGCTCCCTTCCCTTCTGTCTTCCAGTAGATTTGGCCAATGGGCGGTGCTGACCCAAGATTGAAGGGTGGGATGAAAGGACACGTGAGGCCCTTCTCTCCCTCTCTCTGTTCCAGTGGCACCTCCAGCTGCAGCTGGGTCTCCTCGGTGGCTGTGGGCTCCCACCTGAAAGCTCCTTTCTCCATGGTCCCAAATGGGGCTGAGAGTCTCAATATGATTAGAGCATGCTCTACACTGACCCTCCAGGCCCAGCCCTGGGGTAGAAGTGACCTCACCACCATACAAAGTAACCCCTACAACCAGCTCCCTGCATTAAATTCCCTCTGCTTAAAAGATCTAGAGTGATTTCTGGTTTCCAGGTCAGAACCTGACTGATACAATCCCTATGGGATAAAAAAATGATAAAATCTTATTTAAAGACACAAAGCAGACACATTTTTCTGGATAAGAACTTTCAATTTAAAAATGTCAATTCTCTTGAAATTTATCTTTTAGTCAAATGCCATTTCATTAGATTCCCAACAGAGTTTTAGGGGTTTTGGTGTGGTCTTGTTGGGTAGAATTATGTAGACATTTTTATGGGAGGATAAATACTCGTGCAAGATGAGACAACCCTGCCACTGTACACACACTGACAACACGCCACGAGTTGGGTTAGAAAACCAGAAAATGACCTCAGGATAAGCAAGAAGATAAGACCAAGCTTCATTTGTTTCAGGGTAAACAGAAGCATCATTTAATTAATGGACTAGCACACCCAGCTGCCATCTAGAAGAAAATAAAAGTGGATCCACTCCTTCATCTTAATCAAAACTAAATTCTAAGTGGATTAAAGACTTAAATGTAAAAGAAAGTAAAAATAAAATAAAAATACTGCAAGAAAATCTGGAAGACCATGCCAGCTAGGGTAAGGATTCCTCATTAAGCAAGACTGAAAACTCAGAAATTCTTAGAAGAAAGTATAAATATGATGGACTATAAAACAATTTAAAACTCATCTATGAATAGATACCTAAAACCAAATCAACAGACAAAGTATAAGTTTAGAAAAACAAAAAGTGGGCCAGATGCAGTGGCTCACGCCTGGAATCCCAGCAATTTGGGAGGCCAAGGCAGGTGGATCACCTGAGGTCAGGAGTTCAAAACCAGCCTGGCCAGCATGGTGAAACCCTGTCTTACTAAAAATACAAAACTAGCTGAGCGTGGTGGCATGTTCCTGTAATCCCAGCTACTTGGGAGGCTGAGGGAGGAGAATCGCTTGAACCCGGGAGGTGGAGGTTGCAGTGAGCTGAGATCAGACCACTGCACTCCAGCCTGGGCAACAAGAGTGAAACTCCATCTCAGAAAAAAAAAAAGAAAAAAGAAAAACAAAAAAAAAAGTGATTTATGATGAAAACAACAGTGAGAAAGCTGTTATCTGTAAGATATGAAAAGTGCTTACAAATTGATAGGAGAAAAAAATCCAATAGGAAAAGGGTCAAAACAATACACATTCACAAAAGAGTAAATCCAAATGGCTAACATCATATAAGAAATGTTCAAAACTACCAATAATTGGTGACATGCAAGTTAAAGCCACAAGGAGCTGTCACTTAAAACCCACCTGACCAGCAAATTGAAAGGGCAGCAGGACCGATTGCAGGAGAGGATGCGAAGAAGAGAGAGCGTGCATCACTACTGCTGGGAAGCGGACATTCGGCAGCATTTTTGGAAAGTTATCTAGAAATGTCAGTTCAAAGAAACACCATCCATGCTTTTTAACCTCCAAATCCCAATCTGTAGTATCTGCTTGGGTAGCCACAGCACAGCAGCACACATGGTGCCCTTCACGGGAGGAAAAGGGATTCTCACACTCTCGGCGGCTGAAGGTCCGAGGTCAAGGTGGTGGCAGGGCTGCTTTATCCTGGGCCTCCCTCCTGGGCATGTGGTGTGGTCTTTTCCCTGGGTCCTCACATGGTTGTTCGTGTGTGTGTGTGTGTGTGTGTGTGTGTGTGTGTGTCTGCTACTGTTCCCCCTGCCAGGAGGTGATGACCTATGGGTTGCCTCCATCCTGCCCAGGATGTCTGATGTCAGACAGAGCCTGAATCCTGTTCCCAGACTGAACACTGGTATCACTCAGACTGAGTCCAAATCCTGATCTCAGACTGAGCCTGAATCCTGATTTCAGACTAAGCCCTAAAAATTCTGCCTCAGATTGAGCTCTGACCCTGGTCTCACACTGAGCCTGAATACTGATCTCAAACTGAGTCTGAATCTTTATCTCAGACTAAGCCTGAATCCTGATTTTAGACTAAGCCTGTATTAGTCCATTTTCACACTGCTATAAAGAACTTCCCTGAGACTGGGTAATTTATAAAGGAAAGAGGTTTAATTGACTCACAGTTCCACATGGCTTGTGGGGAGCGCTCAGGAAACCTACGATGATGGAGGAGGGCGAAGGGGAAGCAAGTGCCTTCTTCACAAGGTGGCAGGAGAGAGAAGAGCGAAGGAGGAACTTCCAGACACTTATAAAAGCATCAGATCTCATGAGAACTCACTCACTATCATAAGAACAGCGTGGGGGAACCGCCCCATGATTCAATCACCTCCCTCCCTCAACACATGGGGATTACAATTCGAGATGAGATTTGGGTGGGGACACAGAGCGAAACCATATCAAAACCCAAATCCTGATCTCAGAGTGAGCCCAATACTGATTTCAGACTGAGCCCTGAATCCTGATCTCATACTAAGCCTGAATCTTGATCTCAGGCTGAGCTATAAATCCTTGTCTCAGACTGAACCCTGGCTGTGCTACATTTCCAGACCTTTCTCACCCCCATTTTTGTTGCCACCTGAGGTCCCCTGGGAGCTTCATTCTGGGCTGGCAGATGCCCTAATGTTCTAGAACAGGAGCTCTGGAGTACCTGTTCACTTTCCAGTCCCCTTTTCCCATGTCCCCTCCCAGTTGTCCTCTTGCAGCCTGAAGAAGTCTCATGGTTCTAGACTGCAGACTTCTGCTGGGGCAGCTTGTTTACCTAGAAGAGGTGGCCAGAGCCCAGGTGACCAGGGAAGGAGTTCCCTGCAGTGTAACTCCACCTGGGGACTGATCACTCACCATTGCCTGCCACCTGGGGAGGAAAGGCTCACCTCCACTTCCTTCTCAGATGGCCCCACCCTTGCATCCTCTGGTTGCCATAAAATTCTTTTGCACAGGAGGTTCCTGCTTAGCCCTGTGTCACCTCTGGGACCAGCCTGCAGGCCTGCCCAGTGCTGTGGCTCTGCCCAGGACAGCAAGGTGAGTTCAGAAGCAGAGGTTGGGCACTCTCAGACTCCCAGGGGCCAGGTATAGCAGCCCTGGCTCAGGCAGCTGCTGTGACCGACTGGGATCCCAGGCCGCTTTCCACCTCTTTCCTTCCTGGGAAGCACTGCCAGTCCTTGTCCTTCCAACTGACCAGGACAGGAGGTCAGAGGGGAGGTCATCCCCACAGACAGGGCTCCCAGGACGGCACCTGCAAAGCTGCCCTCTGTGGTCCCGAGAGCCAGTGCCTGGCACGGCCGCCCGCTTCAGACTGTGGCTGTGGGCAAGTGTGTACTCTCCAGGAAGAAGGGGCCTGTTGCCTCACTGTTGATCATCCTTAAAAAAGAAACTAGAGACACCCCGGGTGCCTCTCTGCGGCCCCATAAATCTGGAGAGGAGGGAGCTGCACCGAGCGAGCTTAGGCTTTTGAATTTTAAATGGCCAATTTGGTCAATGAATCAATTTCACTGGGCTGAGGCAGCGTGGAGATGAAAGCGGTTTTAAGACCTATTGAAGGCGGTGAGAGCCTCTTTGTCCATGCTTTTCTCAGGCTGCCGCCCTCTAATATTTCATCTATATTCATTTTTATGGCTTTCCAAATTATAGATGTCAGCTAAAAAAACTGAAAAAAAGAGAGGGTGAAGAAAGGAGGGGGAAATTCACTGCTGTTGAATAGAAAGGCGAAGTTATCCCTCCCAAAGCCAGCCAGTGTGCTGGGACGTGACCCAGAACTCACAGCCGGTCCTTCCATATCTGGGCCTCATTCCTGCATCTGGTCTGTGACCCAAGGCTGAGCCTTTGCTGCCCATGGGGCAAAGGATGAGGCAGACAGTTCTCCCTCCAGTGGGGAGCTCATGTTCTAGTGGGAGAAGGAGAGAGACCTCCTAAAAGTGAGCAGAACAAAGACCCTGGTACTCAGGGCAACACAGAGTGGGTGAGGCAGGGCTGTGGAGGAGGGAGTTGAGAGCAGGGTAGGAATGACCTGCCCTTGTGCAAGCATTTTCTTTCCAATTTCCACCATGCTCAAACTGTAACCTGAGGTTATGATGCCCATTCCTGGGAATTCATGTTCTACTGATCTGGAATAATTCTGACCTAACTGGCTAAAAATTAATGTGTACATTATCTTTGATAAAGGGCTTGCTCTGCAATTTGTAGTATAAAGGGATCACAAGGTAAATACTTTAAACCAGGGCTCAGCAAACTTTTTCTGCAATAGGCTGGCTAGTAAATATTTCAGCCTTGGTGCACCATGCAATCTGTTGCAACTACTAAACTCTGATGTTGTTACGTGAAAGCCGTCATAGACAGCAATACGGTTTGGCTGTGTCCCCACCCACATCTCAAATGTTAGCTCCCATAATTCTCACATGTTGTGGAAGGGACCTGGTGGGAGGCCATTGAACCATGAGGGCAGGTCTATCCAGTGCTGGTCTCATGATAGTGAGTAAGTCTCACAAGATATGATGGTTTTACAAATGGGAGCTCCCCTGCACATGCTTTCTCTCTTGTCTTCTGCCATGTAAGACAGAACTTTGCTTCTCCTTCACCTTCCCCCATTATTGTGAGGCCTCCCTAGCCATGTGGAACTGTGAGTCCATTAAACCTCTTTTTCTTTATAAATTACCCAGTTTCAGGTATGTCTTTATTAGTAGCATGAAAATGGACTAATACAGACAGTACGTAAACAAGTGAGTGTGGCTGCATTCCAGTAAAACTTTATTTATAAAAATGGGCAACAAGCTGGATTTGGCCCATAGGCCACAGTTTACCAACCCCTGCTTTTAAATACCAAAGTGAATTCACTGGTTTTTCTGCAGTGTACTGTCCCATCCAGTGAACTTTTCACTTCAGAGATTGGCACAATTTGCCACTTCTAGAAATTCCACTTGGAATTTCTGTGTCCCCTATTTCTCTCCTCGCTCTGTTCATGTTTTCCTTTAAGTCCTTGAGTATATGGAACATATTTATAACAAGTGTTTTAACATCCTGGTTTGCCTTTTCCATCACCTCTGTCAGTTCTGGGCCTATCTCTATTATTAATAACTAATTTTTTCCTGTCGATAGGCCCTACTTTCCTACTTGTTTGTCTAGTGATTTTTGATTGGATGCTGGACATTGTGTTGAATACTGTACATTGTTGAGTTCTGAATTCACTTACATGCCTTTAAAGAGTGTTGGGCTCCATTCTGGCAGGCAGTTAAGTCACCTGGAGAGAAGTTTGATGCTTTTGAGGGTGAGTCTAGAGTCACCTTTCCTCTTGGGTGAGTTAAGCCCCACTACTAAAGCAAAACTCTTCTGAGTCTCTAGTGAATGCCCATGTCTTCAATAACTTCTCTCCATTCTGGCTGGTGGAAACTTAGATGGTTCTAAGCCATTCACCTTGCAGCTCTCTGATAATTGTTATTTCTTCAGCATTGCCCTTGAAGTTTCACGCCTTGCGTGGGACAATTGACATTCAGGCACAGACCTATGGGAACCCCTATGCAGAATTCTGGCACTCTTTTTCTGCCTATTTCCCTCTTCTCTGGTATTCTGCCAGCAAATTCTAGCCATCTCAGCCTCCCAAAATTCTGATCTCTATCTCCTCAATCCAATGAGACCACCAGGCTCTGTGTGGATCCCTCCTCTCATAAGAAGACAAAGAGCTGTCAGCCTTAAGGAAGGACGGAGAACTGAAAAAATGTCCAGCCATCCTAAAGGAATCTCCAAATCAGTACCAAGGAAGCAGGTCCACCACACCTTGACTAAGGCCTTCCTTCCCCATCACAGCCCATTACTCCATAATCCAGTCCTCAGCATAGCAGCCCTCCTGGACATTGTCTCCACACAGAAAGTCCAGGCCTCAGAGGGGTCACTTTATTTGTTTCCCTCTGAATGGGTGTCTCAGTTCTGCACTTGCTGTGGTTTGAATGTTTTCCCCCCAACCTCATATTGAAATTGGATTCCCAGGGTTGGAGGTGGGGCCTAATGGAAGGTGGCTGGGTGGTGGAGGTGGACCCCTCATGCATAGATCATGCCCTCCCTCAGGGAGGAGCGAGCTCTTGCTGTTAGTTCTCATGAGAGGGGCTTGTTGAAAAGGGCCTGGCACCTCCCCCATCTTGCTTCTTCTCTTGCCATGTGGTCTCTGCACACACCAGCTTCCCTTCACCTTCCCCTGTGAGTGGGGAAGGTGGCACAGCCTGAGGTCCTCACCAGAAGTTGAGCAGATGCTGGCACCATGCTTCTGTCCAGCCTGCAGAACCATGAGGCAATAAAGCTCTTTTTCTTATAAATTACCGAGCAGTAGGTATTCCTTTATAGCAACAAAAATGGACTAAGACAGCGCTCACTCTCCAATGTCTGAGAACAGTCGTTTCATACTTTTTTGCCCAGTTTTCTAGTTGCTTAACTCAGAAGAGTGAGTCTGGAAGCTGTAGTAGGAGACTCTGCCCATGGATCTTAAATAATATAAAAGTACTCATTTCTATCTAACCCACTTTACCACTTTAATATAACTGTGGTGAGTTGGCAGCATCACAGACTTTAGGTTGGACGGAGCTTAGAAACCACGTGGTGCTAGCCTTTCACATTGCAGACAGAGAAAGGGAAGCCCAGGGAGTGGTGGGGCATGGCCGTTTAGCAGCTGGTGGCAAGCAGGCTGATACAAGACTTGTCTATCCCTGCACCACCCTCAGCTACTGCCCACCCATGTCCTCCTGCAGCCTGGGCACCCAGGTAACAGCTCTGAACTCCGTGTTTACAACCCCCATGCCGACACACATGCACACTGCTGCATAAGCATCAATTTCCTACCAAGTTGGTCCATGGGCCAGCGGGCTGCACCTAGAGGAGATCTGTCCACACCAGCCCGCCTGAAAACAACCGAGCCACAGTGCTGGGCCCAGAACCCAGTACAGCCCCCTTTCCTCTCAGGCCATCCCAGCCTACCAGAGGAGTCTAGTAATGCCAGCCCTCCAAAGCAAGGTTCCTCAGCAAACCACACCCCGCCCACACCACAGAGCCCTCAGGCCACAGCATAACACACATAACACAGCTTCTCATTCATTTAGGGGCTAAATGTCAGCAACTGCAGGCACAGGTCTCTGCTGAGGCCAAGGTATTAGACCTGCTGGGGAGAGGGAGGAGCAGTTATCAGCCTGCCCTGAGCTGGAGGTGGGTGTGCCTCAGACCTCGTGCCAGCCTGGGTCCTGCCACCCTCTAGGTGTCACCGGCCCCCTGGGCCCCCACACAGAGAGTGAGACTCATTCAGCAGGAAGGGCTGAGAAAGCTGGGAGGGGTGGCCGGCAGCTGGCACAGCACAGGCTTCTCCATGCACGCATTACCTCCCAGGGTTGCCTGACTGACTGTTGAGAGTCAGGCTTCATCCTGGTGCTGCAGGTGCCCTGGAGACATGAGCTGCTAAGGTGAGGCTGCCACAGAGGAGGGCGGCTCCCCATCCCTTTGCTTGGGACTGAGGGGTTTCCCAGGGCATGGGACTTTGAATGCCAATGCCGGGAAGGCCCCAGGCAGACTGGATGAGTTGGTCACGCCACCCTAGTGTAATAGCTGATAGGCTGACATCTCAAAGATTCACATCCTGGTGGCTGGGGCCTGTGAATGTGTGACTTCACATGGCCCCTGCCGGTGTGATTAAGTCAAGGACTGGAGCTAGGGAGTGGCTCTTGGATGGGGTGGACCCTGCATGCAATCACGGGAATCCTTTTAAGAGGAAGCAGGGGCAGATTTGGCAACGCAGAGGAGGAGACCGCGCAGACAGAGGCAGAGATGGAGGGGTGCAGCCACACCAGGGCCACCTGGAGCCCCCGAAGCCTGGAGAGACAGGGACGAGATTCTCCCTTTGAGCCTCCAGAGGGAACCAGCCTTGCTGACATCTAGATTTTAAAGCCATGAGACTTGTTCTGAATTCCTGGCCTCTGGAAATGTGAGATAATAAAGTAACGTTTTCTAATAAGGCCAGACCTCCAAAGCAAGGCTCCTCAGCAAACCACACGCCACCCACACCACACAGCCCCTCAGTCTGCGGATTCACAACACAACCCAGGAGATAGGACCCGGGAGACGCCGGCCCCCGCCTGCAGCCAGGCTGAGCTTGACGGCCACAATAGGGGCAGCCATAGCAGAGGGCTGCCTCAGAAGTTCTGCTTCACCACCGGGGAAAGTGCCAGGAGGCCTGGCACGTCCCGGGATAGTGAAGACGGGTAGCCACTGGGCCACCTGGAAGGTGACTGCGGCACCTGCACCCCCCGCATGGTTGCTCCCCACCCCCAGAGCTGCTGCAGGCACACCTGGCGCCTGCTCCAGCCAGCCTTGGCATCTTCCTCTCTGTTCCTCCCTCCGGGCAGGGCAACTGGGCAGGCTGGACACCCAGCAGGGGAGCTGTCCACATCAAGAGCTCCCCTTCTACTACCATTTCTGGGCCACGTCCTCCGCCCTCAAAACAGCAAACCCGTCTCCAGTGCCAGACTCGGGGCTGCACATGACCAGGGCAGGAGTAACTGAACTCGCAGAGGACAAAAAGAAGAAAGAGGAAGGGAATCCCTTCAGCGCCACAGCTGAGCTGTGTTTGCTGTAGTTTCTCCAATTTCTTTGTGAAAATGTAATCGCGGTCCCGGAGCACGTGGGACCCTCTGCACACTGACAGTGGGAGGGAGACTCACTGCAGGGGCTGCCGAGAGCCCCCGCCTGGGGTCCTTGACCTGCTGGGCTGGGGGGCTGGGGAGAGTCTGTGGGTGCAGAGAGCTGAGTCTCTGGGGCTGGGGCCCCTCCTCCTCCATGTCTTTCAGACAAGGTGTCAGGGCCCCACCTGGGACCACACTGACCTATCATAGCCAAGGTGACCTTGGCTGGCTGGCCCCTGAGTGAGGCTGGGGAAGGAGGCAGGAAGCAACAGGCCTGGATTTGGGATGACTGCCCCGCTGGGACCTCCTAGAAGGTGTCACCCTGAGGGGCCAAGAGGGAGGTGAGCCTCAGAGCTGAGGTCCACCTGCAGCCTTTGCCTGACCTTTGGTTCTGGGGGCAGCTTGGGGACCCCCACCTGCCACTGTCAGCCTTTCCACCTGCAGGGTCAGGCAACTTAAAACCTGAGGACATCACAAAGCAGGAAATGAGTTCCTAAATAGAAACCCACTGGGGTCTCCCACCTACTACCACCCCTCCTCCTCTCCTGCCTCCCTGCTCCTCCTGGCATGTTGGCTCCCCCAGCAACGCCGCCCTCCTCTCAGACACACACTCCCTACCTGCCTGCACCCTTACCCCACCCAGCCTCCTCTGGCCTCCCTGGCCCCCAAGTTCAGCCTCCTCGTTCCCTGTCCCTGCTCTGTCCCACCCAAGGAGCAGTGTGCAGCCCCTCCCCTGCACCCCTCCCTGGCGACCTCACCCCACATCTTGGCGCCAGGCACCTCCAGACACTCTCCCCACTTGTCTGCCATTAAGGAGACCTCTTGTCCTAGAAGCTTCCAGCAAGGCAACCACCACATTGCAGACCCCCTTCCTCCTGCCCCCTGCCCCAGGCCCAGGTTTGGAGCAGCTGCCCATCGCAGAGCAGCCACCGTGGGGTGTCAGCTGGCCGGGGTCACCTTCTCAGTGTTTGGCCATTTCCTCACTGGCAGGACCCTGAAGCTTCATCCAAAGCAAGAGGAGAAGACAGGTAAGGACTGCAAGCCACACTGGGCGCTTGGATCTGGAAGAGAAGGGCAGAGACTTGGCTGGCTGAGGGTGAACCTCTCCTCCACCGTGGGCAGCCCAGGCCCTGCCTGGAGAACAAGCAGAGGGGGAGATTCTCCCTCAGGAGAGAGCGGAGGGGGAGATTGCCCCCAGGTTGCCATGGGGCTGGGATAGAAGATTCTGTGACCAGGAAATGGCCCAGCCTGCTGCTCCACCTGGCTGCAGCCACCCCTTTCTCCAAGACCAGACTTATGGGTCTGTCTCCCTGCTGCCTCCCTCTGCCGTTCTGCAGCTCTGGGGAGCTCTGTAACTGGGGGGCCCAATTCTGCCATTCTGCAGCTCTGCAACTGGGGGGCCTGGGTCGGTGGGGAGGTGGAAGTTGCCCCTGCAGAGAGTGTGTTCTCTTTTCGGGGAGACCTGGGCCTCCTGGTGCTGGAGGGGCTCCCAGCTGTGAGTAGGCAGGCCCCATGTAGCAAGGAGACAGCTCGCCATGTGGACTCCCTTGGGTTTGGTGATTGGTCACTGCCCACTGGCGTGCACTCAGTGCGTTCCTGGGCCCACCCAGGCTTCTTGATCTCTTGTGATGTTTGTAATCTGGCATTTGGGAGAGAGTGAGGTAAAGGCAATTTTGCAACTGCAATAAAACCAGCAAAGTGATCCTCTGATGGTTCTTAATGAGATCCGTCTATCTCCCCTGACTGAGCCGGCAGACTGCAACCCCATGTGTGAGGTCAAAATGAATGTCACATGGTCCCCCACAGAACCAGAGAAGCCATCACCATGGTGCCTGGCCTAATCTGCTCCAGCATCCGACAGGAGTGATCAGAAGATACTCACAGGAAATTGTTTTTCCTGCCTCGTAACCATAACAACAGATGAGAGCTGGTCTTGCTCAACTTTCCGAGTGAGCATCTTTGTCAACATGTAGCCAAACCCAGGACACAAAAGCAGAGACCAGGGCTGGCAAAAGGGCACTTTGGAGATATCAGGGTTTGGGGCTCCTGTGAGGTCTGGATTCTCCCCTCTCCTGCCCCACCCGACAGGGATGGCTTAGAACGTTCCTGAGTGTGGACTAGAAGGTGGGTGGAAGGACAATGGGCCCCCTGGAAGTGTGCATACCTGGCATCACAGTGAGCTGTGGCTGCTGCCTGGGCAGAAGCTGAGAGGCTGCCTTGCTGCCCAGAGTCCCCACAGGCCTGCAGGTGGGCACCAGTCCTTGCTTCCCAGATTACAGTCAAATGCTCTGCCCATATCATTCCCTAACTCTGACAGCACCAGGTCCAGATCTATCCCCTAAACTGCAACAGTATTGCTGAGAGAAATTAAAGAAGAGCTGAATGAATGGAGAAGTATACCAAGTTCATGGATGGGCAGACTCTCTATGGCTAGGATGTTGTTCAGCCACCCCAAAATGATCAGTAGACCGAATGTGATCTTCATAATAATTCCAATGAGCTTTTTGACGGAAATTGATTGATTGATTCTAAAATGCATTTGCAAGTGCAAAGACCTGGAAAAGAAACATGATCCTGGATAAAGAGCACCGTTGGACTAATACGATCTGATTTCAGGATGCTGCAAAGCCCAGTAATCAGGGCAGTGAGATACTGGCGAAGAAATAGACACTTAGATAATGGAAGAAAATGTAGAGACAAGAACTAGACCCATAAATACATTTCCCATCGATTTTTAGCAAAGGCTGCAAGGAAATTCAATAAAGAAAGAAAGTCTCTTTGACAAATGATGTTGGAGCAACTGGATACATTTATGGGGGAAATAAACCCCAACCCCTTCCTCACACCATACATGAAAATTAATTTAAGATAAACCACAGATCTAAATCTAAAATATGGACCAGGAAATACCTAGAACACACAGGAGAAAATCTGCAACATTGAGGTAAACAAAGACTCTTTAGAGAGGACACAAAAGGCTCTGGCCAATAAAGAAAAAACAACAAGCAGAAATTAATCAACATTTAAAATTTCAGGTCATCAAGACATTGTCAAAAAACAAAAAGGTATTTCATAAAATTAGGGAAAAAAATATATGTGTGTGTATATATATGTGTATATATACACACACATATATTTTCTCTAACTCTATTAATATATATGTATATATATATGCACACACATATACACATATATATACACACTCACACACACATACATCTTATATCCAGAATATATTGAGAGTTCTTACAAATCAACAATAAAAAGACAATCCACTTATCCAAAATATATAAAGAGTTCTTACAAATCAATAATAAAAAATCCAATTAAAAGATGCTTCATAAAAGAAGACACATAAATGCTGGATAAGCACATGAAAAGATGTGTAACATCATTAATCATCAGGAAATAGATACGAAAATCTCCAGGAAGTAGTTTTTTGCCCATCGGGTTGACAATACTAAATGTCAGTGTGGATATGCAGAAGCCGGAACTCGCCTATACTGCAGGTGAGGGTACAAAACGGTGCTGCCACTTAGAAAACTGCTTGGCAATCTCTTACATAATTAAACCTCCACCTGTCCTATGGCCCTCCTAGCTATTTATCCAAAGGAAATAGAAACATTTGTACCCCAAAAATACTTGCACAAGAATGTTTATAGCAACTGTATTTATAATAGTCAAAAACTGGAAACTACCCAAAGGTACACTGGCAGGAAAAAGCATAAATAGATTTTATATTTATAAAATGGAATACCCTTCAAAGATAAAATGGATAAACTACACAGATAAAGCTCAAAACAACTTGGTTGGGTGTTGGTTATGTGTGTGTATTTGTCAAAACTCATCAGGTTGTACCCTTAAGATCTGCACATTTCACTTTATGTAAAATTTATTTCATAAAAAGCAATTTCCCCAAAACAATATGATAATAGCACAAAAGGGCTGCCCTCTCCCCTCAGCCACGGCCAAGTGTGATGTTGCACTCAGACCCCACCCGAGCGTCCTGGCTTTGAGTCTCCTTCAGGATGCCCAGGTGTACACTTTGCTCGGAGCTCCGGAGCAGCAGACAGGGTTGCAGGGGTGGGGGGCTGCTGCCCTCCAGTGGTGCATGGCCCTAGCAGGTCCCCCCTCACCACACTACAAGCTCCCCACTGGAACCCTGGAGCCCGCATGCCTCCCAGAGGGCTCGTGCAGGGACCCCCAGGCAGCAGATACGGGCACCCCACGAGTGTGGCCACAGGAGGCTCCGTGAAGGGCAGCAGCCTGCAGCCATCACTCTGCCAGTCTCCCCGAGACACCCCAGTGCGCCCTGCAGTAGAGCTGGCTGGCCGGGCTGGGATCTGCAGACAGGTGGCAGCTCCACCTGGAAGGATAGAAAATGCAGTTGGGATTGCCACTTCTAGGTCTTGCCTGACTTCTGCCCTTTCCCAAACACAGGGCCTTGTGGTGCCTTCAGCTGGTCCCTCCTCCTGGAGTCCCCTCCCACCCATCCCAGCATCACCTGCAGCACTCTCCCGCCAAGGTCAGGCTCAGGCAGGGCCTCCCACCCCCATCCAGGAGGCTTGGCCAGGCCCATCCTCTAGGGAGCTGGGGACCTGGCCTTCCAAGAGCCACCAAGACATGTCTCAGAGGTAGATGGGGGCTGGGCAGTGAGCCGGAGCCTGCCCCCTCCCCTCCTGCCCCAGGGCCAGGGGCAGCAGCATGAAGCCTCCTGGTCTCCCTTCCATTCCCTGGCCAGGATGGAGACGCCCTCAGGGCTGGTGCAGGCCTCCAGCCCCCATGCCTAGTGGCCTGGGAGACAGCCAGCCCCACCAGATGAGGATGTGAGCCACACAGGCAATTTTCTCTAGAAATAAATGGAGAGAAATTGCTCTAACAGGCAAACGGCCTCTGTTTCAAAGCTAATTTCCACATAATAGAACCAAACTACTTCCCTTTCCTCTCCTCTGTCTCTTCTGCATAATTTGACAAATTGCAAAGCTATTTGATTCGGGGGCTCAAACACAAGCACTGACTCCAATAGTCAGGGACAGATGGGGAGAGGGGAGAAGGCAAAGCTCCCCAGAAAGCGCCCGCTGACTCCAGGGCTCTGAGAGGACATTTCTGGGACTGGCAGGTCAGAGTGCAGGGGTGGGGCAGTGGCCAGGGCTGGGCACCTCCGCATTCTGCCACCATCTCCCCAGGCGAGCAGAGGCCCGTCTGGGAAGGGCTGCCGTGGTAGCTGATGCACAATATGTCCCGCGGGGCTTGCCAGCGCGCTCCTGGCTCTGATCTGGTGCCTGGCAGGGCCAGCCCTGCTCCCAGCCAAGACCAAGGCCTGTGCTTGTGCTGCCGGCTTGGCCACGTGCTGAGACCGAGCCAGACCCAGCCAGGAGAAGCAGCTGGTACCTGAGCACCCCAGCCAGGCCACGGTGCCCGTCACCAGCGCCGCACAGCCCGCCCCATCTTCAGCTCCAGCCGCCGAGCTTGACAGCTCTGGCCCTGGAATCCCCACAGGCCCTGTGTGTGTCTCTCCTGCATCTCCTTCCCTGTCCATGTCCTCCCGGGAACTCAGAACCCCCCTCGCCACCCGGGGACCTGCACATCCCTACCACACACGCAGCCCACAGCCGGGCACGTGGTACGGTGCATCCTGTGTGCAGGGGACGCATGAAGAAATGCACGCAGCTGGGGCTGAGGACACGGAGGCCTCCAGGCAGGGGTCCGGGCCAGCCTCCCACCCACACCCCAGGCAGGTGGGCAAGTCACGGAGCACAGGGGACAGAGAGCAGTGGCATTTCCTAAAAGGACTTTCTATTATTTAACCTATTAAAAGATGTCTTTAGGCTGGGCATGGTGGTTCACTCCTGTAATCCCAGCACTTTGGGAGGCTGAGACAGGTGGATCACCTGAGGTCAGGAGTTCGAGACCAGCCTAGCCAACATGGCGAAACAGTGTCTCTACTAAAAATACAAAAATTAGCTGGGCATGGTGATGCGCGCCTGTAATCCCAGGTACTCAGGAGGCTGAGGCAGGAGAATCGTTTGAACCCGGGAGGCAGAGGTTGCAGTAAGCTGAGATCATACCACTGCACTCTAGCCTGGGCGACAGAGCAAGACTCCATCTCAAAAAAAAAAAAAAAAAAGAAAAAGAAAAAAGTATTTAAATGAGGATGTTATTTTTAACAATATTATTTTACAGCTATACAAATACTACACGAAAGCAGGCTTGATATTAAAAAGTGAGAGCCTCCTTCACCTGCACCCCAGTCCCCCATACTGTTCCTTCCCCGAGATTCTCCCCGCAGTGCACCTGTGAGCACCTTCCAGAGCTGTCCAGGTACCTGTAGGCAGGTCTGAGTATGCAGACATGTGGCTCGGGGCAGTCGCAGGAGGAATCCCACTCGCCTGTGATCCCCTGCCCTGCGTTTGTGCTTCTCATGTACTTCCACATAGAGAAACAAGGGTCACACATGGACCCTCAGCAAGACCATGGACAACAAGTGCAAGACCCAGGACAACCCAGCCCAGCAGATCCTGCCCGCCCACCAGCTGCCATGCAGTGCTCAGAGGCTGGAAGTTGAGGGTCACTCGTGCACCACC
This sequence comes from Homo sapiens, assembly GCF_000001405.40. Classification (NCBI taxonomy): domain Eukaryota; kingdom Metazoa; phylum Chordata; class Mammalia; order Primates; family Hominidae; genus Homo; species Homo sapiens. The sequence goes on from NC_000014.9 coordinate 104,512,332, forward strand.
CCTACCTGCAAAGAGCACCCATCCAGGGGCACAGGGCACAGGAAGCTCCGGCCGAGAGGCGTGCAGATGGGAGATGCCCTGGGGAGTGGTGGGGAAACTCCTGCCACAGGGGGCCTTCAGGGGCCCTCGGAACCACAGAATCCTTTTGGAAGCCAAGGACATCAAGAGAGAAGGATCAAAAGAAACCGAAGCACAGGCTTGCGATGAGCCTGGGTGACATGGTGAGACCCTGTCTCTACAAAAAATACAAACATTAGTCAGACATGGTGGCACACGCCTGTAGTTCCAGCTACTTGGGTAGCTGAAGCTGGAGGATCACCTGAGCGCAGGAGGTCGAGGCTGCAGTGAGCTGTGATTGCACCACTGCACTCCAGCCTGGGCGACAGAGCAGGACCCTGTCTCAAAAAAGAAAAAGCACAGAAGCTGCAACAAGCCAGGCATGTCGGGTGTCCCCAAAGAATACCCCGCCAAGGGAATGGTGAGGTGAGGGAGGCAGCCACAGGCTGCTGAGGCTAAGCCTGACAGTGGGGCCTTAGATGAGAGGCTGGGGTGGTCGGGGCTCCCCCCGTGGTCAGCGCAGAGCCAGGCAGCGATGGGGAAGGAGAGCCGAGACAGGGAGCCTGGTAGGGTGGCTTCGGCATCGCCAGCCCCGCGACGACAAGGAGCCATGGGAGGGGACAATGCAGAGCCGTCCTGTGGGGGACGCAGACGTTGTGGAGGCTGGCACATGCTCGGAGCACACGCTGGTTGAAATAGCAGCCGAGAGACATAATTAAGAAGGTGAATCTGCTGCCAAAACATGCACCGTGCTTCAAAGTCAACAACGTGTGGTTTGGGGGACAGCCTGTTTCTGGGATAAGTTGGCCCCTGCAGGGCAGCTCACAGGGAGTGAGCATGGTGGGGACGCCTTCAGTCACTCTCTGGCATGGGCACCCCACACCCCGCCAGGGCAGGGAGGGAGGGGCAGCCGAGGGAAGCATGCGCCCAGCGCCACATCCTCCAAACCCTGGCTGCAGACACACGGGACAGGCTGAGCAGGAGCTATCGGGCTGGGCTACACCACGCACACCCAAGCACAAGCACTCCTCGGGCTCAAGAAAGGAGTGGAGGGTCGGAACGTTCTAGAAGGCCTCCCAAGGGAGAGGGGCTTGTGCAGATGGGGCACTCCAGGCCAGGAGCCCAGCCTATACAAAGGTGCGGAGGTGTCCTGTGCTGGGGAGTGGGACCAGGCCAGGCCGGGTGGCTGGGCCCGGGGATACAGAAGATCTGGGTCAGTCGGGGATCAAGGGGGCCAATGTTCAGGAGAAGGTGTTGATGGTGCAGCCCAGCTGCCCCTAGCTAAGCTGTTCCCTCAGGAGTTCACCAGAAGCCCATCGCGTCAGCAGCAGCCCCCTCGGGTTTGTTCAGCAGCATCCATGCAACCACATCAGCTCAGAGCGGGGATTTCAGACCCAAAGGGCCACCACCAGGGGGGATTTGTCCTGGGATCAGGGACCACCGCTCCTCAGCCTGGACCTTTCACATCGAGTGCCCAGAGAAGCAGGGGCTGGTGGGCACCTGAGGGTTCCCTGAGAGTCCTGCCCTCCAGTGGCTTAGAGATCAACCCCTGGCCCAAAGGTCCTGCTTGACAGGTGCCCCAGATTCTGTGAGTTACTTAAGATCAAGTAACAAAAAGATCACCCTCATGGCAGATGAGAGGTTAATTCAGTCACATCGTTACTGGTGACAGTCCCACAAATGATTTATTGATTTTTTTTTAAATAAAAATATGTCACATCCTCTGGTATGGGTATAGACCAATTCTGTGCTTGGGCCAACTGGATAAGAAGTTACTAGTTTGTACCAGATGCCAACTTGCTATTCCATGCCAAGCAGAAACAGCACTACCCATGATACAGCACTGCTACCTGGCACTTCCTCACGCACCACACACACACGCCCCTCCAGGAGTCCGCACAGCCTGCAGTGAGCACCTCCTCCGTGCCAGGCGCCCTGGCAGGGTTGCTGTGTACTGTGGGGGTTGCCAAGACCAATCAGACTTGGCACTGCCCTTGAGGAGCTCAGGCTGCAGAGGCGAGAATGGGAGGATAACTCAGCCCCATGTGCCGTCCTTGAATGGGTCTAATGGGGCCCACGGTCATTGCATGTGGCTGACGTGGCGTGACTAGGAGGCTGAGGAGGGTGTCCCCATGGAAGTGACGTTCCAACATGGACTGGAAGGATAAGTACAGCCCAGTCATGGGAAACAGACAGAGATGCTCAGCCTGGGCAGTGAGAAGGCAGGTGGGAAACTGAGGCAGGACAGAGTGTGGTGAGGTGGAAGATGGCAAGCAGGGCGTGGAGCCAAAAAGGATGAGGGTGGGGTGGTGCAGAGGAGTCCCCGGGGCCCCAGGGCTGGGCCACAAAGAGGCCTGTAGATCTTGCTAAGCCCCTGGAAGGTTCTGAGCAGAAGAGACTTCACCAAATGAATGCTTTAAGAATCTCCTTCTGGCCCGATGTCCATCGCGGATGAATGGATGAGCAAATCGTGGTCTAGCCACACAACAGAATATGTATTATTCAGCCATAAAATGAAATAAAATACTGATTCCTGCTACATGGCTGGAGCTTGAAAACTTTCTGCTGCAAGAAGCTGGACACAAAAGTTCACGTGTTGTATGACTCCTTTTACATGAAATATGCAGAATAGACAACAAATCCGTAAACAGGAAGATGAGGGGTTGCCGGGGGCTTGGGAGAGGGGCAATGGGGAGCGACTGTGTCATGAACACAGGACTTCTTTTTGGGGTGGTGATCATGCTTCGGAGCTCGGTGGTGGTGCTGGCTGCACAGCACTGTGAATATACCAAATGCCACTGAATTATACCCTTTAAAATGATGAGTTCACCTCATTGAGAAGGAGGAGAAGGACAGCAGCTGCTCCCTCTGACAGCCGTGCAGAGACAAGGCTGCCGGCAGCTGGGTAGGAACTGGGAAGAACGGACCGAGACCCCTGCACTGGGCCAGCCCAGAGGGGACGATGGCCCCAGCCAGTGTGACAGCCATTGCGGGGAAGGGCAGAGAGAAGTGGGTGGGTTTGATGTACTTTTAGGAGAAGAGAACACGAGGAATTCACAATTGCCCAGATATGGGGAGGAAGGAGGAGGATATGAGATGCATCTGGCCCAGCACCCGCCCTCAGGATGCTCATACGTCCCTAAATGACAAGAGGTGGGCAATGGCGATGGACTGCACTCCAGTCGTGCTGGAGTGAGGCCCTCAGGAGGCTCCTGACTCAGCTGGGCATCCAGGAAGGCTTCCTGGAGGAAGCATTGCATGGAGACAGACCCAGGGCTTGGGGAACACGAGCTGCCTCATGAACTGCGTTGTGAGGGAGTGGGAGACTCCCACCTGGGGACATCTGCATGTCCTGTCACTCATTCATTCATTCGCTCTACACATCCACACTGAATGCCCACTATGTGCCAGGTGTCCTTCCAGGCACTGGGGAGAGGGTCGTTTTGCGAAATGCCTGCCAACATTTGAACGCACTCTGAAAACCAGTGGTTACCCGGATAGCTCGGAATAGTAGCTGGACTTGAGTTTGGTGTCATGGAACCCAAGGTCAGAGGCCGCTGTTGTTGTTATTACTATCATCGGCACTTACACAGCATGTTCGGGGGCCAGGCACTGTTCTAAGGCCCTGGCAGAAGTCAGCTTGTTTGCATCTGGCCTGTTCCCAGATATGAGGCCTTTCATAGACATGAGGGTCTTGACTCTCGGGCTCCAGGCCTTTCCCACCCATGAGTGGACCTCAGTTTCCCTCTCTGAAAAACAAGCAGGGTAAGTGTAATGGCCTCCAGGGACCCCCGGCTCTTCAGTTTCAAAACGTGGTAGAAAGACCCTGGCTGAGTCCAGGGAGCTGCACACAGCAGCTCTCCCAGGCTGGAGGGGCTCCGCCGTGGACATAGAAGGGCTGGGGTGGAGAGTCTTGTTCTCCCAGAAGGCTGGGCTGAGAGGGAGCCATCCTGGTGGAGGCAGGGGTGCATGCTACCTGGCTCAGCATGTCCTGGAGCAGGGCCAAGGCATGGACTACGGTGATGCTTGGAGGGCCCAGTGCTGGTCCCGCACTCCACCCTGCCCAGCACAAAGGCCTCACAGAGGCAAGATCCTGCAGCAAGGAAGCCGAGGAAAGTGATTCCTGCCGGGAAGGAGATAGCCCAGCACCTGGCCCCTCTCAGCAGCACCCATGGTTATCGCTGAACAGAGAAGCAAGAGGGTCTGGGGAATGAGAGCGGATGGCCAGAGGGCCTTCCCGTCTGAGGCCAGGGAAGTTGAACAGAACAGGTCAGTCACGTCCCAAGCAGATCTGCTGGGCTCGAAGTCCGCTGGAGCAGGGTAGGCAGGAGGCTGAGGGGGAGGCAGGGCTGGCAGAGATGCTGGTCTTTGTGGAGACAGCATGTCAGATCTCCAGAGTCCCTTTCTTCTGACCCTCCTTCCCACCTAATCCACGGCCTCAGGGCCTCCCAGTTTCCTGTCCCCTCTCTAACTCTCCAGGCAAGACCTTCTACTATGCCCCCCACCCCAGAAAGTTTCCATGACATCCAAAAGATCTCTTATTTATTGAAGCCCTAGGGCGAATGTTGTTGAAATCAAATAGTGCAGTGTTTCCTGTCTCACAGCCCAACAGTGCTCTAACAGGCAACCTGTCTGCCAGGAGCTCGCCACGGAGTTCCACAGCCCGGCACCTCCCCAGGGGGCATTTCCCAGCACGTCATCTGCAGGGGTGGCTTCCCTGCAGCCCTTCCCACCCCTTCCCACCCACTTCGGCAGCATGGCATCCCAGCAAACCTCTCCCCCACCCTATGGGCCACACACACACTCTCTCCGCTGGAGTTGGGATCACAGCCCGGGATGGGATTTGACCTCTCCAAATTTGCTTCTATTTGGGGAACTCTGTCTCCACCTAGAAGTAGCTGCTGCCTGTATCTGCTGTTCCTGTGCTTTTGGCATTCTCATGCCACTCAACAGGAAACGCCCTCTTATAGTTAAGAATTCTTTATATTAAACTTTCACTGTTCAAATTGCTGCATGACGCCTGTCTCCTGATTGGACCTTGACTGATAGAGAGTCAGTACCAGGAGCCATCCTGAGGGACACCCCATGAGGCTGGGATTGGATTGGTTTGTCTGTATTTGTGACGCAAGTGCAGTGCTGAGTTTATTGCCAATAAGAAATCAGATGCTGACGACCCACAGCCCAACCCCAAGCCCGATCCCCAGCCCACCTTCACATCATAATCAATCAAGCCGACACCTGTGGTGGTTTCATGAAACGCCAGCTGAAGCGTGTGCCTCGGGGTTCCATGAGGCTGCTGCTCTGACGTGTACAGTGGCAAGTGTGATGACAAGGACCACAGTGTGGGACAGTGTTCCTGATGCACTGGGGCCCCTCCAAAAGATGATGCTCAGCTAGGGGGCCCCTCCCCATGCAGACTATGCTCTGAAAAATAAAGTATTCATAGTTGCTCCAAAAGAATCCCTCATTCCTGCAGCCACAGGGAGAATACTGCTGAAAATCAACATGGAGCACCTTGTAGTGCCAAAAAGTAAGGAAATGCCCACATCACACACACAAACACATACAAACACGCACACAAACACACACGAACACACACACACAAGCATGCACACACAAACACAAACACACACGAACACACACGCACACACACACAAACACCCATGCGCACACAAACACACACGTGCACACACACACGCACACACAAACATGCACAAACACACACAAAAAACACATGCACCCACAGACACACAAACACACACATGCACGTGCGCGCACACACACACGATGGGGCGTGTCAAAGGGACACCAAGGCCAACCTAAAGTACTCCCCACCAGGTGCGATGCTTCACGCCTGTAATCCCAGCACTGTGGGAGGCCAAGGTGGGCAGATCACCTGAGGTCGGGAGTTCGAGACCAGCCTCACCAACATGGAGAAACTCTGTCTCTACTAAAAAAATACAAAAATTACCCAGACGTGGTGGCGCATGCCTGTAATCCCAGCTACTCGGGAGGATGAGGCAGGAGAATCGCTTGAACCCAGGAGGCGAAGGTTGCAGTGAGCCAACATCGCACCATTGCACTCCAGCCTGGGGTACAGAGTGAGACTCTGTCAAAAAAAAAAAAAAAACAAAAAAAACTCCCAACAGCCAAAGCTGGAACAATTTGAGCAAGAAAATATAGCATTAGATTTTAACCCAAACTATAAAATAAATATCCATAAATGCATATTGATAGAAACAAATGATTAAATAAATGAATAAATAAATAAGTGAAGGAAAAGAGGCAAAGCCCCCATGCTGAAGAACTCCACACCACTTCCGTAGCTGCTCCACACCCCTTACATGCGGGCTGTGCAGACACTTCCCTCCAAAGAGGACGAACTCTACATCACTTCTGTAGCTGCCCCACACCCCTTACGTGCGGGCTGTGCAGTCACTGCCCTCCAATGGCAGTGCAGTCACTGCCTTTGCTATGAGAAAGAGCAAAAGAATGATCAGTGTGCTGAGGAGGCGTGAGCAAGGAAGCCTGACATGCTATCCCACCAGGTGATAGAGGCCCCAGCCAGCCACGAGCCACATCAACTGTGTGCGCCCGTGGATGGCATGAGCATGGCACTTCACCACTGCGGTCTTCCTCCCCCAAACCTATGACTCCAGTCTCATCACGAGAAAAACAGACACATCCTGGTTGAGGGGCAGCCTAATGCCTGAGCAGTGCTCTTCAAAACTTCAAGCTCGTCAAAAGCAAGGGAAGTCTGGGAGCTGTCACAGCCAGGAGGAGCCTAAGGAGACGTGATGATGAAAGGTCACGTGGGATTCTGGACGGGCCCCTGGGGCAGAAAATAGACATTAGAGAAAAACCAGGAAAGAGGAAAGTGTGAATGAAATGTGGGCTCTAGTGAAAAATGTGTCGGTATTGGTTCATTACCTGGAACAAGCGCACCCCACTAAGGGGAGACGTCAACATGGGGGAATGGGACGTGGGTGTGGGAAGCAGGTTCACTCAACGCCAGTCCAAAGGGAGTGATGCAGGGCAGGTGAGCCCCAAAGTGGGGCTCAGCCCGTGAGAGTACTTGGCTTCACCCAAGAGAGAATTCAAAGGCGAGCTGGAGATGGAAGAAACAGCTCTATTGAAGCAGCCATGTCACAGCTCTGTGACTCCTTCTGCAGGGCAGGGCTACCCCATAGGCAGAGAGTAGCCGTGCAGGGTGGCTCTGCAGTCGTATTCATGCCCACGTTTAATTCCATGCAGGCTAAGGGGCGGTTTATGCAGAAATTTCTGCATCAACTTCTGGGTCGCTGGGTCATTGCCATGGAAAAGAGTGGTAACCCCGGGGTTTTGCCACGGCAATGGTAAACGGACATGGCACACTGCTGGGTGTGTCTTATGGAAGGCTGCTTTACCTCACCCCTGTTTTAGCTAGTCCTCGATTTGGTCCAGTGTCTGAGCCCCACCTCCAGAGTTGAGTCCCAACTCCCACCTGTGGAGGACAGCAGAGATCCTCACTCTGCCAAGCCCAGAACATGAGTCCAGACACTTCCCCCACGGCACTCTGCCTTTGCATTGGCTTGTGCCCCTGTGCCTAAGACTCTCCCCACTAGGCTTGAACACCCTGCAAGAACCGAACCCGGGCCAGATTAGGTTAGATTCAGGATGCCCTCTCTCCTCAAGACGCCCCATAACTAGCACCTGCCACTGGTTAAGTGGGGTCAGATCTCCAATGCTCCAGGGAGAAAGACACACACTAAGACCCAGGAGGGATTGATTTACACATAAAAAGAATCGCAGTAATTTGCTAATATAAATCTGCAGTAACATGGGGAACGTGTTTGAGAGTGGATTAAATGGGCGTTAGACCAAGGAGGGGAGGGGAAATATAACCTTAGATTAGGCCAAATTCCTTGACACAGGTGCACTTTCCAGAGAGCTTGGATTTCATGTGTTAACGCGTGCATCTGGAGGTGGCTCAGACAGCTTACTTGGTGGCTCGACTGAAGCTTGAACTTTGTCGTGGCCTACAGTTCATGTAGGAGGTGTGATGTGGAGGAAAGAGCCCAAAAGCTTAGGGAGAAAGGACTATTGGGCTGGATTTATGTGCAACCTCACAGCCACCTCCCAGCTGTGGTCCCTGAGGGGCCACAGGACACTCTCTTGACTAAGGTGTGAAGCAATGCTTTCACCTTGGCTGTAGGCTCCCTGCAAGCTCTCTGGTTGTAGACCAGGTGTGACTGTGGAAGATGTCACCATGAGAAATTCCTCCCTTCAGTGGGGACGATGGTATCCTGAAGTAGCAGAGGCTAACACAGCACCTAGACATCAGAGACCAGGCAGCCCACCGACAGCGAGGGAAAGCAGGGACACACATAACCATGGCACCTTGATCACCAAGGTCTTTGGTGGCAGCTAATTAATCACAGGGTCTCAAGGACAAAAGTGGTGGGCAGCCTACTAGGGTATTCTTTGGTCTAAATAACAGGAGAACCCCAGGTGTGCCAGCCAAACCCCCGACCTGAGTCACCGCAGTGGCCAGTCGCAGCCTCTCACCCATTTGCACACCCAACTCAATGCACAATCCAATGACCTGTGATTTGCAGCCCATGCTGGAAATACTCCTCCACGCCTTTCCCAAAGGGATGTACGACCATTCATGGGAGTAACTGTGAGCTGGAGAATGGAACTTTGCAGGGCTCTGAATTGATGCTAATCCTTGGGAACCCAAAACACGAGCACAGCCCATCAGTCACATGGGAACATACAGTGGTCAGGTCATGGATGGAACCCCCATTAGCTCACCTCTCACAGGGTAGGCTGTCCACGGACCCACAGTCTGGTTGTATCCCCAGTTCCTGAATGTATAATTGGAATAGACATACTGCCAACTAGCGGGATCCCCAGCATGGTTCCCTGAGCCCTGGAGTGAGGGCATTTGTGGTAGAGGAACTAGATGGAAAACGCTGGGACTTCCTTTCCTATCCATAAGAGAACCAGAATCAATATCACATTCCCGGGGAAACTGCAGAGATTAACGCCATCATCAAGGCTTGAAAGAAACAGAAGTGATCATTGCACACACACACACACACACATTTAATTCGGCTGTCAAGCCTGTGTAAAAGTTGGGTGAACCTTGGAGAATGACCGTGCACTGATGTAAACTGAAGCAGGTGGTGAATCCAGGTGCACCTGTTGTCCCACATGTATTATCTTTACTGTAGAAAATGGCATGGCCCCTAGCCCTTGTTATTCAGCTCTTGACCTCACCAATGTCTTCTCTGTACCAGTTTGGAAAGATCACCAGAGCAGTTTGGTTTTCTCACCTGGCCGGGCCAACAGTGCCCTTTCACAGTCTTGCTTCTGGGTCATGCCAGTTCTCCCACCTGCAGTGATAAGAAGCAGAGATTTTCCCACCTACAAAGCATCACGCTGGTCCTCTACACTCATGACATTACACTGAGCTGACTGTGTCTGATGAGCAGGAAGTGAAAATAACTTTAAATGCCTTAGTAAGACACACACTAACTAGAAGGTAGGAAATAAACCCCACAAAACATCAGAGGCCTGCCCATCAGTGAAGTCTCCAGGGCCCAGAGGTGTGGCGTATGTCAAGCTCCTTCCTCCAGGATGAATACAAGATGCTGCACCTCACGCCATCTTTGTGAGTGTGCTCCATGGTCATGGTCTTCTGGGTTCTGTGGACCACACTGAGGGGCCAATTGTGCGGATATTGGCTGCTGTTTTGAAGATCGTCTGCCTCTTCCAGCTACTTTCAGGATTTTTCCATCTTCTGTTTTCCACATTTTAATAGACAGTTTTGTTGGTTCACTCTGTCACTCTTACCTGGGTCTATAGAGTCCCTGGGGGCTGCAGCCTGGCCACTGTGGCAGCGGCATAGAATTGGAACCCACTGTCTGTCGCTCCCAGGACTGCCCATTCATCAGTGTGGGCAGAGTGGGAGCCATCTAAGGAGGTTGTGCAGGGAGAGTCAGAAGTGAAAGCATCTCAGGGAAGGTTTCCCGAGCTGGGTCAGCACCACGCCTTGCCAGGATGCTGGGGCCACACAAAACTGAGCATCTGCTCAGCCTCAGAGGTGGACAGGGGCCTTCTGCTTCATCTCCTTAGAGCAGTTCAGGCCTCTCCCCATCAGCTCTACAAGGTCCCAGGCCACAGGCCTGGCTTCCTTATCCTCTCCCTGGCTGCAGATGCAGGCCCCCTCAGGGTACCTTCCCAGCAGCCATCCTGGTCCTGGAGATCAGGCTTGGAGCCTGGTTTCCTGACCTCCCATGGCCCTTTTCCCCTGTGGCCTCCAGGCCCCTTCCTCTCTTAGGATGGGAGCCCTGCTGCCACAAGTATGGCTCAGTGATAACATCCTGCCAAGGCCTCTGGGGTAAAGTCACAGGCCTGCAGTGTGCTGGCCTCCCTCACAGGCCTGCGCTCCCCCAAGGACTCGAGCGGGAACCCCTCCTGCTTCCTCCAGCTTCTGGGGGCTCCAGCATTCCTGGGCTTGTGGAGGCCTCCCTCCAACTCCGTCTCTGTCTCAATGTGGGCTTCTTCTGCCTCTGTGTGCCTCCTCCATGTTCTCTTACAAGGACATTTGCCATTGGATTTGGGGCCTGCCGGGTCAGCCAGGATGTTCTCATCCCAAGCACAGGAAGCCAGGAGGACAGTCCTGCTCAGAGCCCTGAGGCCCAGCTTGGGGACGGCAGCAGCCTCCACTAGAGGATGGGGTCTGTGGCTGTGGGTGGTGTGGGGACCCCCGGCCCTCAGTGCTGCTGCCTTCCAACCAGTCTCCTCCCACGCAGACCCGCACCATCTCACCCCCACTGCATGGGCCTTCCCTGAACATCAGCCATCCTGGGACCTGGGGCTCTTCTTCCAGGATAACAGCAACATCCGGATTGTGGCCATGGAGCTGGGGCAGACACAAAGGTCACTGGAGAGGCCATCACTGGACAAGAGACCCAGAGCCCTCTGAGGCCCAGCACTCATCCACCTGATGAGCTCTGAGCCCGGTTTGTTCAGCTGGCTGCCCTCAGACAGGAGGCGTCGTGGCCTCCATCCCACCCGGCCACGCACAGATTCCACGGCCACCTCTCTCACCAACACCACTGCACCCGTCTGACAAATCCCAACATAAACCCCCAGCTGTATTAGGCCATTCTTCCATTGCTATGAAGAAATACCTGAGACTGGGCAATTTATAAAGAAAAATGGTATAATTGGTTCAGGGTTCTGCAGGAAGCGTGGCACCCACATCTGCTCGGCTCCTAGGGAGGCCTCAGAAGCTTTCAGTCACAGTGGAAGGTGAAGGGGGAACAGGCATGCCACAGGGAGAAAGCAGGAGCAGGCGGGGCGGAGAGGTGTCCCACACATTTAAACCACCCAGTCTCACAAGAGCTCACTCACTATTGCGAGGACAGCACCAATCCATGAGGATCCACCCCCAGGACCCAGACACCTCCCACCGGGTCCCACCTCCAGCACTAGGAATCACAATTCAACATGAGATCTGGCAGCGACATGCATTCAAACTAGATCCCCTGCTGCCTGATTCTCTGTGTCTCCACCTAGCTGCTAAACACTGTTTGAAAAGTCCCACACAAGCCATGGATCAGGCCTCCTCCAGGGTGTGGCCTCCTGAGCAGCCATGCAATTGGCACTTCATTTATTATTATTATTATTTCTTTTTGAGACAGAGTTTCATTCTTGTCACCCAGGCTGGAGTGCAATGGTGCGGTATTGGCTCACTGCAACCTCTGCCTCCCAGTTTCAAATTATTTTCCTGCCTCGGCCTCCTGAGTATCTGGGATTACAGGGGTGTGCCACCACACCCAGCTAATTTTTTTGTGTTTTTAGTAGAGACAGGGTTTCACCATGTTGGCCAGGCTGGTCTTGAACTCCTGACCTCAGGTGATTTGCCCACCTCAGCCTCCAAAAGTGCTGGGATTACAGGCATGAGCCACCGTGCCCAGCCTAATTTTGTCTTTTTAGTAGAGACGAGGTTGGCCAGGCTAGTCTTGAACTCCTGACCTCAGGTGATCTGCCTGCCTTGGCCTCCCAAAGTGCTGGAATTACAGGCGTGAGCCACTGTGCCCAGCCCTCATTTATTATTTATTGATTTAGAGACTGGGTCTTTCTCTATTGCCCCGTCTGGAGTACAATACCACAGTCATAGCTCACCGCAGCCTTGACTTCCCCACCTCAAGCGATCCTCCCACCTCATCCTCCCTAGTAGCTGGAAATACAGGAGTGTGCAACCATGCAGGGTTCATTTTTTAAAGGGTGGGGCTTACTCTTTTGAAATGTACTAAGTGACAGCTGAGGAGATGTTCCAGACCCAGGAAACAAAAGAAACCTCAGACCCTGCTCTACACCACTAAATGGCAAAAGCAAGAAGATTGACGACACCAAGTGTTGGTGAGGATGTGGGGCATCTGAGATTCCCGGGCCCTGAGGGTGGAGGGACATGGTCCCATCCAGATGCTGACATCAGGAGCCAGCCCCGCAGGGCCTCATGAGGTGGCGTACCCACCCCACAACCCAGGCACTCCTCTCCAGGGTGCCCGCCCAAGAGAAACGAAACCTGTCCACACACAGATCGGTGATAAACACCATGCAGCCTTATTCCTTGAGCCAAAAGGGAAAAGACCCAAACGTCCATCCACAGGTGAATAAACGTCCTGTCCATCCACACCATGAATGGTCCATTGGCAAGGAAAAGCAATGAAGGCTGGTAAAAAGATACACATGCCTCTCAAAATCAGCGTGCTGAGTGAAAGAAGACAGATGTAAGGGGATTGGTTTGGCTGTGTCCCCACCCAAATCTCATGTTGAATTTCCCACATGTTGTGGGAGGGACCTGGTGGCAGATAATTGAATCATGGGGGCGGTTTCCCCGTTACTGGTCTCATGAGATCTGGTGGTTTTACAAGGGGAAACCCCTTTCACTCGGTTCTTAATTCTCTCTTGTCTGATGCCACGTAAGACGTGCCTGTCTCCTTCGGCCATAGTTGTGAGGCCTCCTCAGCCACATGGAACTGTGAGTCCATTAAACCTCTTTTTCTTTATAAATTACCCAGTCTCAGGTATGTCTTTATCAGCAGAGTGTGAACAGACAAATACATAAAGGGACACTTACTCTACAACTCCCTGTACAAGAAGCTCTAGAGCAAAATGACTCTATCATGAAAGACATGAGAACAGCAGCTGCCCCTGGGTGGGAAGGACTGAACAGGAAGGGCCTGGAAGAACCTGGGGTGTGGAGTGTGCTACATCTTCATGGAGGTGGGGGCTGTGCTCAGATACGCATGCCTCAAAACTCCTCAAACTCTACACTTAATATCTGCACATTTCACTTCAATTTTTAAAAATAGATGCTACACCAAGAGGACATTTTCCTCCATCAGAGTGGCAAGAACCCAAAAGCTTGATAGCACCCTGCCTGGCCAGGCCGGGGAGAGACAGCCCTCCCTGGCATGAGCACACACAGGTGCAGCCCCTCTGGAGGGCAATGTGCACACTTCCATCAAAATTACAAATGCATGTTCTCTTTCACCCAGCGACTCCACTTTTGAAAACGTTGCAGTCTATAAACACTCTCGTTCACGTGCCCAGAGAGCGGCACATGTAGAGGCCTACTCCTCACAGCACAGTGTCTAGAGGCAAACTCTACAGCAGTCTATAAATACTCTCGTACACGTGCCCAGCGAGCGGCACGTGTAGAGGCCTACTCCTCACAGCACAGTGTCTAGAGGCAAACTCTACAGCAGTCTATAAACACTCTCGTTCACGTGCCCAGAGAGCGGCACATGTAGAGGCCTACTCCTCACAGCACAGTGTCTAGAGGCAAACTCTACAGCAGTCTATAAACACTCTCGTTCACGTGCCCAGAGAGCGGCACATGTAGAGGCCTACTCCTCACAGCACAGTGTCTAGTGGCAAACTCTACAGCAGTCTATAAACACTCTCGTTCACGTGCCCAGCGAGCGGCACATGTAGAGGCCTACTCCTCACAGCACAGTGTCTAGAGGCAAACTTCACAGCACCTGCAAAGGAACAGGTGTACTATGCTACCTATGCTACCTTTTGCATAAACATGGAAACATGAATAGATTCAGATTTGCTTGTAATTTCCTAAAGAAACTCTAGAAGACATTTGAGACGTTGATAATAGTGATTATCAGCTGATGACATAGGGGCTGTTGTCTAGAAGCATCTATAAGCCACAATTAACGGCCTGCACTAAAGGCTGAAGGGGTGTGTGTCCACCAGGAAAGGAAAACAGATATTGTGAGAGAGCCCTTGAGAAAATAAACCAGAGTGGAGGCGTGGCCTGCAATGGCCACACACACAATTCACACACACTCACACACAGTCACACACTTTCAGACACACGTACACCCACACACATTCACACTCTCTCACACATACACACAGACACACATTCACACACAGACACTCATATACACACACTCACATTCACACATACTTTCTCACACACACCCACACACATGCACACACACTTTCACACACATACACACATTCACACACTTACACACGTACACACAACACACATTCACACTTTCACACATACATCCACACACTTTCACACACATACACCACACACTCATTCAGACACACACTCATACACATTCAGACACACAGACACACACATACACACCCACACACATACACATTTAGACACACATTCACACATACACCCACACACATTCACAGTCATACACACATATTCACACACATACACCCACACACATTCACAGTCATGCACACATTTACACACACATTCACACACATACACACCCACACACTTTCACAGACATACACCCACATTTTCACACTTTCACACACATACACCCACACACATTCACACTCATACACCCATTCACGTTCACACTCATACACACATTCAGACACACATTCAGACACACATTCAGACACACACATACACACCCACACACATGCATTCAGACACACACCCACACACATTCACACTTATACACACACGTTCACACACATACACCCACATTCACACACACTTTCACAGACATACAGCCACATTCACACTTTCACAGACATACACTCACATTTTCACACACACTTTCACATACATCCACACACATTCACACTCTCACATACATATATGCACTCATGCACCACACTCACACATTCACAAACACATTCACACACACTTTCTCACACACACACATTCAGACACACATTCACACACACGTTCTCTCACACATACATTCAGACACATGCTCACATATGCACCCACACACTTTTGCACACACTTTCATGCACACATCCCACACACTCCCACACATACGCACTCATGCACACACACACACATACACTCACACACATACACTCTCTCCCACACCCCCAGCAGATAGCCCTCCCCTGTTAAAGACAAGTTACTATTAGGAAGTGACTTCACACCTATGCATAAATACTTCAAAAATTAAAATGAAGGAATTATACATAAAAGACAAATGAAAAACATTCACCCCTGGGAGAACGACCCAAGGAAACACAGGCAAAGTTCAGACAAAAAGGTTTCTTCTGCTTCAAGACAACCTCATCTCCTAAAAGGGAGAAGCGCTCAAAAAGGAGATGTGTGGTTTCAAAGAAGAGATGATAAGATAACAGAAGGTGTGAGCCACTGGAGCCCAGAAAAGAGATGGAAGAGAGAAGTTGATTGGAGACCATAACCACATCTGAACAAAGAGAAAAATAAACATGGCTGAAAATGCCTTTAAAAGGATAAAGTGTTGAGCTTGAGGAAGTCACACACAATAAAGTGAAAGTTTCTACAATGTAAAAATAAGACGGTAAGTACAGAATTCAAACAAAGAAGATATAACACATGCACAATTGATGTTCCTGAAGAAGAAAACAAAACACATAAGCCTGAAAAAAAAAAAATAGACTCTGGGCTATCACAAAATACATGTTCCTTAAGCCTGGATCTGCAGCTCTGCAGAGCACACATTCTGGGGGCAGGAGTGGGGCCAGCAAAACAGCACGATGTATGCTGCTGCCATTGTTAAACTTCAGGGGGTTGGAAATAATCAGACGGAGCATCACTTAAATATCAGAACACAGTAGCTACAGAGTTCTGATGGAAAAAATGTTTGACTTGAGGATTTTATATCCGATAATCCTGACTTGACGTATAAAGGAAACAGACTCTTAGGTAGGCAAGAACTTGAAGAATACACAGCGCCCACAGGAGGAGAAAGCGGGGATCTCCCGGGCCTGTGGCAGCCCGAGATTCCCATTGTCCCAGTGAGACAGGAGGTGGGGCTTGACTCCAGAGGAAGGGCTCAGACACTGGACCAGATTGAGGACTAGCTAAAACAGTGCTGGGGTGAAAGCAGCTTTCAATCAGACCTGCCCACCAGTGTGCCATGTCAATTTACTGTTGTCATGGCAACGCCCAGGAGTTACTGCCTCTTTCCATGGTACCCAATGATCCAAAAGTTACTGCCCCTTCCCTGCATACTCCTTAATCTGCATGCAATTAAAAGTGGGAACCCAAGTGCGGTAGCTCACACCTGTAATCCCAGCACCTTGGAAGGCCAAGACCGGTGGATCACCTGAGGTCACGAGTTCGAGACCAGCCTGGCTAACATGGAAAAACCTCATCTCTACTAAAAATACAAAAATTAGCCAGGTGCAGTGGCACATGCCTGTAATCCCAGCTACTTGGGAGGCTGAGGCAGGAGAATCGCTTGAACCTGGGAGGCGGAGGTTGCAGTAAGCTGAGATCACACCACTGCACTGCAGCCTGGGTGACAGAGTGAGACTCTGTCTCAAGAAAAAAAAAAGTGGGTATAAATATGAGCAGAACAGCCCTGAGCTTCCCCTCTTTGCCTATGGGGTAGCCCGGCCCAGCAGGTGCAGTCTTGGAGCTATAACACCACTGAAGCTGTGACACTGCAGCTTCGATAAAGCTGTTTTCTTCTGCCTCTGGCTTGCCCTTGAATTCTTTCCTGGGCAAAGCCAAGAACCCTCTCAGGCTGAGCCCCACTTTGCGGCTTGCCTGTCCTGCATCACCAGCATAGTTGTCCATAGCAAACTCTTGCTCTAAAAAGTGCTCAAGTTTGAGAGGGAAAGGGTGCTACAAAGGCTACAAATGACATTAGTAGAGGCTGGATGTGGTGGTGCGCACCTGTGGTCCCAGCTACTCAGGAGGCTGAGGTGGGAGGATCGCTTGAGCCTGGTTGGTTGAGGCTGCAGTGAGCCATGATTGCACAACTAGACTTCAGCCTGGTAACAGAGCTAGACCTCATCTTTTAATTCATTAATTACAGGATATTATTAGAACATCTGACAACATTGGAATACAGATGGCATATCATGTAAAAATACTTCTTATTAATACTAATGGAGATGTATGAGGTTGATGACTGTGTTGAGGTTATGTAAGAGAATACTCCTGTTCTTACAACACAAATGATACAGCAAATGGGATAGAATAATAGGTAAATCTGAGCAATGGGTATATGGCTATTCCTTGCACTCTTTTTGCTTTTGTGACTTTGTCTAAGTTTGAAATCATTTCCAGATAAAAAGTCTAAAAAGTAGAAGTCAAGTGCTCCAGGTAGGATGATAAATTACACGGTGAGCCAGCACAGGGGCCTCTCCAGCAACCTCAGATGACAAAATCCAGGTGACAAACGCTGATGAAGACAAAACTCAAGGGGGTAGGAACCACAGCAAAGGCTGGGGACAAGCTCTGGAATCATCTGAATGTTAAACCGGGTGACAGTGACAATGGAAACCACGGTGTGAGGAACAGAAGTTAAATGTTACAAACTTTGATCACGTCCAAAAAATAATAACGTTAGAAAGCATGGAGGGGTTGGGAGTAAAAATGTAACTTGGAACCCGGAACATCTGGTTTACCAACGTGGAGTTCCCTTCGTTCGCAAGCTCTTTCACGGTAGCTTTTAGCAGGTCTTCCAGTGCTTGAGTCTCTGTGAGGTGAAACCTTTATTTCAAGTGTTTCCTTCGGCTTCACCTTGGTTTGTTCTTGTGAAACTCAAACACAGGAGATGCTCTTTCTGATAAACGATGCCCGTGACTAACATTATTTCTACTCCTGTCCCTCTTTCCAGTTCTACTGGACCCTTGGAGGAAAGTTGTCCTTTGTGAGATTGAACAAAGTTGGTTATCTGGAAGGAGAGTTTGGAGCATGCTTTTGACTTCCTCTTGGTCTCCTATGTTACTCAGTTTTTAAATATGAGGCCGGACCTTTCTTACAAAACAAAACCATGATTCTTCTTTTTAAAGGGGAGGAAGGGGCTTAGCACCCCATGCCGCCTGCCTGAGATGTGGGGGCCATGATGCTGCTGAACGTCCCTCGGTCTCCAGGGCTTTCCCACACAACCGTGGAGGAGATCCCTGCCGTGTGGTCACCTGGGTTGCTGCCCCGATGTGGAGCGGTCCAACCCTGCCCGGGCCTAATCAGCAGAATGACAGCCAGGCATGGCTTTCTGCATCTTGAGGGAATGCATGTGGGCAGCAGGACCAACTCACATTTCACCTCCAGAGGAAATGAGATGCATGTTTTCCAAACCCTGGGATTCCAAACACAGACCTGTGAATGGCTTTCGTTGATGTGAAGTCTTCACCTTTCATGCACACGACTTCATGAGGGCTGCTCCCCATTCTCCAGAGCTGCGTGCATGTTGCTGACAGTTTTTTAAGCTGACTTTATTTTTAGAACAGTTTTGACAGGAATATTGAGAAGATGTCACAGAGTCCCCATATAGCCCTCACACAGCTTCCCTTATTATTAAAATTTTACATTAGTGCTGTGCATCTGCCACCACTGATGAACCAGTATTGAAACACAAGTATTGGCTAAAGGCCCTGTTCTACATGGTGCATTCAGATTTCCCTGATTCTTCCCTAATGTCCTTGCCCTGTCCCAGGAAGGGCCCGTCCAGGACACCACATGACATTTGGTCGGCATGTCTCCTTAGGTGCCTCTCGGCTGTGACAGTTTCTCCAACTTTCCTTGTTTTTGATGGCCTTGACAGTTTTTAGGAGTACCAGTCAGAAATTCTGCAGGATGCCCCACTCTTGGAACGTGCTATTTTTCTCATGAGTGACTGGTGTTATGCGCCAGGGGAAAGAAAGCGCGGCGGCAGCACTCCACTGGCGTCACATCCTACCCAGGGCGCGTGCTCTCAACAAGGCTGTCCTTGCTGACATTGACCTTGGCCCCCGGCTGAGGTCGTGCTGTCAGTCTTCTCCGCTGTGAAGTCACTGTGGGGTCCTAATTAGGGAAAAGGAGTCAGGCTGCAGGGAGCAGGGGAAGCAAAAAGAAGCAGCAGAAGAGGTATAAGTCTGCCTTTCTTCACGGTGCAGGACACACAGCCCTCCTGCACAGATAACTCACAATCTTCCTGCACCCAGCTATCACCAGACCCTCAGCTGATAGAAAAATGCAAGGTAGCTCCCTGCAACCCTGGCGTTATCAGTACCGCACGCAGCCCTCTGCAGCCCAAGAACCATCCTATAAAACCTCCAGCAAGCCTTTGAACCCCAGCAGTCAGCTCCTCTTCTGCTGAGTCCGCCTGTTTCCTCCTCGCAACGTATTTTCCTATTTTCTCTAATAAATCTGCCCTTCTTTATCTACAACTGTCTTGGGAAATTCTTTGATGCTCCCCCTACCCCGGACCACCACCACCCAGATAGTCATCACCCCCCTCAACAGTTATCACCTGCCTTCCATACCACACTCTTGGGAAGGAAGTCAAGGTGCACAGCCCACACCTGAGGAGGGGGACTCGCGGTCCCCTCCTTGAGGGCAAGGTATCTGCGTAAATTATTTGGAATCCTTTGGCAATGGTGATTTGTCTCTTCTTTCCCATGTAGTTTATTCAGTCACTGATGTCTGTCAGCACTGACTCATGGACACCTGTGTCATATTTTGGGTCATGACTCAACCCTACTTTATTTTGTTGCTCAAGTTGTTCTGGCTTTGGCCATTGGGAGCTCTTCCAGTTGGCTCCTGTGTCCCTTTAAGGTAGGATTTGGAGATTTTTTTTAGTACTTCCTTTCTATAGATTTATCTTGTATATTTCTTGCCCCAGTCCCAGAATCAGCCATTTCTCTGAGGAGCCCTGTTTCTTTTTATTGGAGAACAGTATTAGAAGCCAAGATCTGAGCACTAGGTGTGTTTATTGCTACTGGAATATGATTGCTTCTAGGCCGTCTCAGATGACAGAGGAGAGGTATATGTATACTAATTAACGCACATACGCATATCTATAAATATTTCTATATGTAATCGTTTGTATCTGTATTATGCTAAACATGAGTTTATACTGATACCTTCCACTCAAATTCAATAATGCATGAACCATTCTAGTCTCATCCCCTGCTTTATCTGTAAATCCTCAGAGTGAGAAGCCTGACTCCCACTACTCATGATCCATTTACTGAATCACTCAATTCCGGCCGGGCACGGTGGCTCACACCTGTAATCCCAGCACTTTGGGAGGCCGAGGTGGGCGGATCACGAGGTCAGGAGATTGAGACCATCCTGGCTAACACGGTGAAACCCCATCTGTACTAAAAATACAAAAAATTAGCCAGGCATGGTGGCGGGCACCTGTAGTCCCAGCTACTCAGGAGGCTGAGGCATGAGAATGGCATGAACCTGGGAGGAAGAGCTTGCAGCGAGCCGAGATTGTGCCGCTGCAGTCCAGCCTGGGTGACAGAGTGAGACTCTGTCTCAAAAAAAAAAAAAAAAAAAGAATCACTCAATTCCAGTGCACATGAGCTGTGGGATCAGATTGTGAATCTGTACTTCCATGGGAAGCACCATAAGCTAGAGTGCAGTGCTTATGCTCAGTTCCCTTTTGCCTTTGGTCTTACCCACTCCACTCATTTATGCAGTACCCTTAGGGCAGCACCTGCTCTCCCATTGTCTCTTCAGTGAGGTAATTTTACACATTTGTAATACAGTTGGATTCTCTGGTCACAGTCAGTATTCCCTCCTGGGATCCCTTGACCTCCTAAATAATTTTTTTTTATTTGTATACATTAAGAGTTCCTCTGGGCTATAAAGTTCTATAGGTTTTGACAAATGCCTGTCAAATATCCATTATTACAGTGCAGTTTTACTGTCTGTGTCCCATATATTCATCCCTCCCTCCCACCAACCACTGGAAACCACTGGATGTTTTACTGTCTTTGTGGATGTCTTTTTCAGAATGTCATATATTTGGAATCATACGTAGGTAGCATTTTCTTTTTTTTTTTTTTTCTAGGCAGAGTCTTACTCTGTCGCCCAGGCTGGAGTACAGTGCCGTGATCTCAGCTCACTGCAACCTCTGCCTCCTGGGTACAAGCAATTCTCCTGCCTCAGCCTCCTGAGTAGCTGGGATTACAGGCACATGCCACCACGTTTGGCTAATTTTTGTATTTTTAGTAGATATGGGGTTTCACTGTGTTAGCCAGGAATGGTCTTGATCTCCTGACCTCGTGATCCACCCACCTCGGCCTCCCAAAGTGCTGGGATTACAGGCGTGAGCCACCGCTCCCAGCCGTAGGTGACATTTTCTGACTGGCTTCTTTCACTTAGCAATACACATCTAAGATTCCTCCAGGTCTTTTTGTGGCTTGATAGGTGGGTTTTTAATCACCAAATATTCCATTGTATGGGTGTACAAAGTCTATCTGTTCACCTATTGAAGGACATCTTGGTTGCTTTTCGTTTTGAGTGACTGTGAGAAAGCTGCTATAAACATTCATGTGCAAGTTTTTGTGTCGACATACGTTTTTAAATCAGTTGGATAAATTCCAAGGAGTGCAATTGCTAGATCTTATGGTAAGAGTTTATTTACTTTGTAAGAAACTGCTGAACTGTCTTCCAAAGTGGCTGTACCATTTAACACCCCAGCAGCAGGGAATGGCCAGGCCTGGTGCCCTGACTGCTCACCAACTTTAGGTGCCATCAGCTTCTTTTCTTTTTTTCTTTCCTTTTTTGTTTTCACTTTCACCATTCTAATCTGTGTGTAGAGGCATCTCATTGTTTTAATTTGCAATTCCATAATAACAAATGGTTTCAAATATCTTTTTCATATGCTTATTTGCCATCTGTATCTTTCTGGTGAGCTGTCTGTTCAGATCTTTTTCCCATTGTTAATCAGAATGTTTGTTTTCTTATTGCTGAGTATTGAGGTTTCTTTATATATTTTGGACAACAATTGAAAGATTAAATATACAAATGGACAGACCTTATAGAAATAGAACTCTGACCAATAAGTTGCAGGAAGCAGCCCTGGAAACTAACCCATTATCTATAGTAACCAGCCCAGGAAGCCAGCCTGCTATACCTCAGACTTGTAAGATGTCAGATCGCTATCTCTACCAACAGTCCAGGAAGCCAAACAATAGCCTTTGCAACAATCAGCCCCAAATGGCCAGGACTTGACTTATAACTGACTCCGTCCCATTTTTTTGTTCCCACTTCCAACTTAGGATCAACCAAAGGAAGTCAAATGTGCTCCCCTAACCAATCACATAGGAGCCCCACTTCTAGATAGCTACCCCAACTTCTCCAGGTCAATAGCCTCCAATCGGGGCACCACTGAGGCTTGCCATTTTCAATGGTGTCTTTCACAGAACAAAAGTTTTTAATTTTAATGAAATCTAACATCAATATTTTCTTTCTTGGGTCATGCCTTTCGTATTGTACCTAAAAACTCATTGCCAAACCCAAAATCACTTTGATTCTTTCCATGTTATCTTCTAAGATATTATAGTTTTGCAATTTATATTTAGGTCTATGATCCATTTTGAGTTTATTTTTGTGAAGAGTATAATATCTGTGTCAAGATTCATCTTTTTGCATGAGAATGTCCAATGGTTCCAGCACTATTTGTTGAAAAGACTATCCTTTCTTCACTGTATTGTATTCACGCTTACATCAAAGATCAGTTGACTACACTTGGGTAAGTCAGTTTCTAAGATCTGTATTCTGTTCCACTTATACACTTTATACATTGTTGGATTCAATTAGCTAATTTTTTTTTTTTTTGAGACAGTGTTCTCTCTCTGTCGCCCGGGCTGGACTGCAGTGGTGCAATCTCGGCTCACTGCAACCTCCACCTCCTGGGTTCATGCCATTCTCCTGCCTCAGCCTCCTGAGTAGCTGGGACTACAGGCGCCTGCCACCACTCCCGGCTAATTTTTATTTATTTATTTATTTTAGTAGAGACAGGGTTTCACCACATTAGCCAGGATGGTCTCGATCTCCTGACCTTGTGATCTGCCCACCTTGGCCTCCCAAAGTGCAGGGATTACAGGCGTGAGCCACCGTGCCTGGCCTCAATTAGCTAATATTTTGTTGAGAATTTTTGCATCTATTTCATGAAACATATTGGTCTGCAGTTTTCCTTTCTCATAATGCATTTATCTAGTTTTGCTATTAGGGCAATCCTAGCCTCATAAAAAGAATTAGGAAGTATTCCCTCTGCTTCTCTTTTCTGGAGATATTTTAGAGAATTGGTACCATTTCTTCCTTAAATGACTGGTAGATTTCACCAGTGAAACCGTCTGAATCTGGTGCTATTTTTCCAGAAAGTTATTAACCATGGATTCAATTTCTGTAATACACATGTGCCTATTAAGATTACCTCTTTCTTCTTGTGTGAGTTTTGGTAGTTTGTGTCTTTCAAGAAATCGGTTCATTTCATCTAAGTTATCAAACTTGTGGATATAGAGTTATTAATAGTATTACTTTATTATCTTTGAATGTCCATGGGATCAGTAGTGAAGTCAGTCCGGCTCAGACATCCACAGAATGAACAGATTATGACCCTCCGCTGGGCCTGGGTCCAGAGGTTTTGGGCATTGGCCTCAGGGGATTTGAGACCACATTTGAAAACTTTGCATGGATTGCTGAGATGTAGTCCGAACTTGCTGTGTCACTGGGTTTATTTCCAACCTCTGGCCTCCCCATCTTTAACTGGCTTATGGTATATGGTATAAGTTTGGGTAAGCATCTTCTTTTTGAGACAGGGTCTCACTTTGTTACCCAGGCTGGAGTACAGTGCTACAATCTCAGCTCACTGCAGCCTTGACTTCCCGAGTTCAAGCAATCCTCCTGCCTCAGCCCCTCCAAGTAGCTGGGACTACAGGGATGTGCCACCATGCCCAGTTAATTTTTGTATTTTTTGTAGAGGCAGGGTTTCTTCATGTTGCCCAGGCTGGTCTTAAACTCCTGAGCTCAAGAAATCCACCCGCCTCAGCCTCCCAAAAATGCTGGGATTACAGGTGTGAGCCACCATGCCCAGCCCAATCTTGCCTTTCAGTTTTACCCAGGTGAAGTGGACTATTGAGTTCTGGGGTCCCAGTAGTTGTCTATTTTGAAGCAGACATGTTCTCAGGATTGGAGACTGCAGCCCAAAGCATGGAGATCTGGGGCCTTTGGGCAGAGATGGGAGGGCTTGTCTGTGCCCACACACAGCTGTGGGGCTCAGAGGGGACAGTTGTACTTCACTAGGGTCACTGGCTCACACAGCACAATGTGGACATAAAAGTCCAGGATACAAGGCAGGCACACCTGATGGGGAGCAATTGGAGCACGGAGGCAAGGTTCACAAACTTGTCTGCCTAGAGCAACTGCAGAAAAGTACTGACACCTGGGCCCCATAACCCATGTCAGAGATGCTCACTCAGTTGGCTTGGGGTACAGCCCCATGTTCAGGTGCCCTTGAGCAAGGGCCAAACACAGGCATTGACTGCACTTTGGAGTAGGAAGAATGAAGTAGATGAGCAGAGGTGGGGGACCTTGTCGAGGGATCCCTCCTCAGGAGGCCAAGGTCTTCATCCACCAAGTGACAATGCTGCCTTCGCCTGCGACTTGGAACACTGACAACTCCTCACAGGAGAAGCTGGCGGAGCCTTGTGCAGACCATTCCAGTCCCATGAGGTCATCCTCATACGTACTAACAAGCTAAAGAGACCAGACAAGCCCGATACCTCCCACTCAGTCTTGAAAACGTTGATGCCTTAAACCTCCCACTAGACATTAAAGGAAGCTTCTGCCTGGGGCCCTGCATGAGAAGGGAGGTGAGCCATTGGATGTCATCACTGTCAGTCATCCAGGGTACAAGAGGAGCCTCAACTGGTGTTTGCACAGGACTTGACTACAGAGGCATAGGTTTTTGCCTTTTCCTCCCTGGAGTCTATAGCTTGGCTTCAATCCCAGGTAAATGTCAGAAGGAACCTGGAAAAACTTCTAGAATGCCTAAGTGCAGCCAAGTAAACAGAAACAGGTTTAAGAAAAATGAACAAAATGTATTGGCTTGTCTAATTGAAAAGTCCAACAGAAGAGTGGCTGCAGGCTCGGCTGAATCAAGGTGCTCCACGATCAGCATCCATCTGATCCCCCCCACCCATGCTTTTCTTTCCTCTGCACTGGCCACTTTCTCTCACAGGCTTTCCATTCACCGGAGGAAATTGTTTCCAGCATTGGACTCATGTCTTTCCAGTTCAGGAACCTCAAAGAGAAGGAAGTCTATAAACCACATCCTGCCTTTCATTTTTGGACTCTTTTCTGTTCCATTGACCTATTTGTCTATCTTCATAGCGATAAGACATTATTTTTATTAATGTAGGTTTATAATAAGTTGAAATTGGATAGTATTAATTCTACAACTTTCTTTTTTTCTCCAAGTTGTCTTGCCTATTACAAGTTCTTTGCATTTCCATATGAATATTAGAATCAACTTATTAATTCTTACAAAAATGCCTAATGGGATTTTGATTGGGATTGAAATGAATCTATACATCAGTCCAGGGAGAATTGACATCTTAACAATTTTCAGTCTTCTGATGTATAAATATAGTATAACCATTCATTTATTTAGATCTTTTTTAGTTTCTTTCAGCAAAGCATTGCAGTGGGTTTTTTGTTTTGTTTTGTTTTCTGTTTTTGTTTTTGTTTTTGTTTTGAA
Source organism: Homo sapiens (assembly GCF_000001405.40). NCBI lineage: Eukaryota > Metazoa > Chordata > Mammalia > Primates > Hominidae > Homo > Homo sapiens. Next base: position 104,538,395 of record NC_000014.9, read on the forward strand.
ATGGAGTTTCGCTTTTGTTGCCCAGGCTGGAGTGCAATGGCCCAGTCTCAGCTCATTGCAACCTCCACCTCCCGGGTTCAAGCAATTCTCCTATCTCAGCCTCCAAAGCAGCTGGGATTACAGGCTTCCGCCACCATGCCTGGTTAATTTTTGCATTTTTCGTAGAGATGGGGTTTCCCCATGTTGGTGAGGCTGGTCTCAAACTCCTGACCTCAGGCAACCTGCCCGCCTCAGCCTCCCAAAGTGCTGGGATTACAGGCGTGAGCCACTACGCCCAGCCAGCATTGCAGTTTTTAGTGTACAGGTCTCTCATATATCTTGTCAGATTTATCTCAAAATATTTATTTTATATGTTTATATTATAAATGGGTTTGTTTTGTTTTGTTTTGTTTTGTTTTTTTGAGAGAGAGAGTCTCACTCTATAGCCCGGGCTGGAGTGCAGTGGCTAATCTCAGCTCACTGCAAGCTTCACCTCCCGAGTTCACGCCATTCTCCTGCCTCAGCCTCCCAAGTAGCTGAGACTACAGGCGCCCACCACCATGCCCAGCAAATTTTTTGTATTTTTAGTAGAGACGGAGTTTCACCGTGTTAGCCAGGATGGTCTCGATTTCCTGACCTCGTGATCCACCCACCTTGGCCTCCCAAAGTGCTGGGATTACAGGCGTGAGCCACCGCACCTGGCCTATACATGGTATTTTTAATTTTTATTTTCTGATTGTTTGCTAATAGCACATGGCAAACAATAGATTTTTGTTGATTGATCTTGTATCCTTTCACTTTGCTGAACTCGCTTTTTTTTTTTTTTTTTTTTGAGACGGAGTCCCGCTCTTTAGCCCAGGCCGGATTGCAGTGGCACAATCTTGGCTCACTGCAAGCTCCGCCTCCCAGGTTCACGCCATTCTCCTGCCTCAACCTCCCGAGTAGCTGGGACTACAGGCGCCTGCCACCGCGCCCGGCTAATTTTTTGTATTTTTAGTAGAGACGGGGTTTCACTGTGTTAGCCAAGATGGTCTCGATCTCCTGACCTTGTGATCCGCCCGCCTCGGCCTCCCAAAGTGCTGGGATTACAGGCGTGAGCCACCGCGCCCAGCCAGAACTCGCTTATTAATTAAAATATTTTTAAGGATTCCATTACACTTTGTATATAGATGATGATGTTGTCTGCAAGTAAAAACAGCTTTATTGCTCCCTTTCCAGTATGGACGCCCTTTATTTCTTTTTCTTGCCGTATTGCACAGACTAGAACCTGTACAATATTGAGTAGAAGTGATGAAAGAGAACACCCTTGTCTTGTTCCCAGTCTTAGGGAAAGAGCATTGAAGCTTTTACATTAAGCGTCACGTTCACTGTAGGGTTTTTACAGATGCCTTTTGTCAGATTCAGAAAGTTTCCTGCTATTCCTACTTTGTTGAGAGTTTTTATTATTAAAGTATATTGAATTTTTTATGTTTCTGCATTTTTGGCTTCGTCATATGATTTTTCATGGTTTTATTAATATGATAAATTACATTGATTGATTTTCTGATATTAAGCTATACCTGCATTCCTGACTTAAATCCCACTTGGTTGTACTGTCTTTCTTTAACTAAACTATTGTTAGGTTCATTTTGTTAAAATGTGTTTAGAATATTTTCACCTATGTTCATGAGGGATATTTGCTGTAATTTTCTTTTATTTTAATGTCTTGGTTTTGGTATCATAGTATGATGGCCTCCTGGAAGGAGTATTCCCTCCTCTTCAGTTTTCTGAAAATGTTTGTGTGGATTTGGTATCATTTCTTCCATAAATGTTTGGCATAATTTGCTAGTGAAGCCATCTAGGTGTGAGGTTTTCTTTGGGGAAGAATTTAACAGTAAATTCAACTTTTGGAATAGATATAGGGCCAAATTATCTGTTTCTTAAGTCAACTCTGGTAGTTTGTATCTTTTGAGTAATTTGTTCATTTTATTTAAGTTGTCAAATACACTGGTATAAAGTCCATAATATGTGCCTTTACCATCCTTTTAATATTTGCAAAATAAATTTGCAGTGATGTCACCTTTCTCCTTCCTGATACTGGTAACTTGTGTCTTCTCTTCTTTTTTCTTGATGAATATAGCCACAGGTTTATCAACTTTATTAAGCTTCTGAATAACTAGCTTCTGGTTTCATTGATTTTCTCTATTATTATTGCATTTTATTATTTTCTACTTCATTGATTTCTACTCTGATCTTTATTGTTTTCTTTTTCTGCTCCTCAAATTTAAGTTGCTCTTCTTTTTCTGGCCTTTAAGGCGCAAGATGAGACCATTGATTGAAGTTCTTTCTTTTTTCATAATGGAAGCATTTTTAAGGCTAAAAATTTCCCTCTAAGTACTGCTCTAATGGCATCCCACAAATTCTAATATGTTTTCATTTTAGTTAAATATAAATACTTCCTAAATTATATTTTAATTTATTTTTTGACCATTGATTATTTATAAATGTGTTATTTAATTAAGTATTTAAGGTTTTTACAGATTTCCTTTAGTTATTGATTTCTAATTTCAATCCACTGTGGTCAGAGAAAACACTTTTGTATAGTTTGAATGCTTTTTAATGTACTGAGACTTATGGCCCATAATACAGTGTATCTTGGTAAATGTTCTGTGTGCACTTAAGAAGAATGTATATTCTGCTCTTGTGTGGAGTGTCTTATAAATGACAATTGGGTCAAATTGATTGACAGTGTTCAAATCTATTTTTCATTAGTTTTTCCTACTTGTTCTATCAATTATTGAAAGAAGACTGTAATGTTCGTTTGTCTATTTGTCCTCGTAGTTCTATCAGTATTTGTTTCAGGTGTTTTGAAACTCTATTGTTAGGTTCATCAACGTTTATGATTGATAACTCTTCTTGATTAACTGACATCTTGGTCATTATGGAAATGACCTTCTTTATACCCCAACAATATTGTTTGTTCTGAAATCTACTTGGATATTGGTATAACCATACCAATTTTCTTTTAACTAATGTTAGTATAGTACATATTTTCTCATACCTTTACTTTAAATGTATATGTGTCTTTACAGCTAATATTTGTTTCTTATAGGCAGCATATAGTTAGGTCTTGCTTTTTTATCCAATGTTAAAATCCTTATCTTTTAATTTGGGTGTATAGGCCATTTTTACTTAATATGAATGTTGATATGATCTATTAAATTCTATTTGTCCCAATTTGATTTATAAGGCAGGATTTGAACAGATATTTAACCAAAGATGATATCTGAATGGCCAGTGAGCATGTTGGAGGATTCTCAACTTATTTTTCCATTACAAAAATGCAAATTAAAACTACAATGACATACAGCTGCACACTACTTAGAGGGGCTAAAGTGGCCGCCCTCACCTGGTGCTGGTGAGAATGTGGATGGACTAGGGCTCTCATTCACTGCTGGTAAGAATGTAAAACAGTGCAAGAACTTCGGAAAATAGTTTGGCAGGTTTTTTTAAAAGTTAAACATGCACCTGCCATATGACCCAGCCATTCCACTCATAGGTATTTTTACCCAAGAGAAAGGAGGTTTTTCTATACATATATCTGTATATCGATGTTACATCAACTTCATCTGAAATTGTCCAAACCTGGAAACAACTAAAACGCCCACCGACAGATGAAGAGAGAAATTGCTCCTCTATCCATACAGTGGAACATACTCAGCAACAGACGGATGAACTGTTGATACGTGAGACAACATGGAGAAATCTCAAAATAGTTATTCTGAGTGAAAAAACAGACAAAAAAGGGAGTACATATTTCATGACTCTATGTGTGTAAAATTCTAGAACACGCAAACTAATCCGTAGTGACAGAAAGCAGATCCATGGTTGCCTGGGGAGATGAAGCCACAGGAGATAGGGAGGAAGGAGAAAGGGAGTTCGAAAGCCAAGAAGAGGCTTTAGGAGCGGGGATTTGTACATCTTGATTGTGGTGACGCTTCACAAATGTATATATATGTCAAAACGTATCAAATTGTCCATTTTTAATATGTGTCACTAATTGTATGCCAATTACACCCCAAAAAAGCTGTTTTTCAAAAATCCAACTTAAACTTAGAATTTACCACCAAAAGAATACAAATAAGGACTAGGCCTTCCAAAACACTAGAGAAAAAATAAAATAGTAAAGAAAACAGCTCACAAAGCCAAAGATAGGGAAAGAAAAAGGATAACAAAGCATAAATAACAGATGTATCAACAAACATGTCTGTTTTGACAATAAACACTATTTAAAGAAAACCATCCAAATATACACTCCTCACAAAGGGTACACGTAAAATAAAATACTTAAATGTTAAAAAGAAAAGGAAAGCAAATATATGTTAGGCAAGCATAAACAATAAGAAAGAGAGTTGGTAAAATGAGTATCAGATAAAGCCAAAAAGCACTAAAAGAGACAAAGAGTAATTTGATTCTGAGGAACAATTAAAGACCCAATGAGGGCACAGCAACGATTAACCTTTAAGCAGGGAATAATTTATCATCCAAATCTACAAAGCAAAAACTGTAAGACATACAACTGGAAATTAGCAACAAAAAGGCAAATGTTAGCCCCAAGGATCAAGCTATATAAAGGCACACTTTGTTTAATTGTGTCCATTTTTAATTTGAATGGTGAGATTGTTTTGAATGAGTGGGAGAAAATTTACATCCTCCAACAGCGACTGTGAGACACAGCTTGAGGAGTGCATAGGGAACCCTTAGCCCTCCCTCCCCACCTGCCCAGCCCTACTTTGGGCCACGAGGAGAGGAGGCAGAGCAGAGACTGTCTTCAGCCATGAGAGTGATGGTGTGTGAGAGACTATTCCTTCTCCTAGTGGCAAACCCAGCTCAGAGCTGGCTCTTCTTTCTCCCTAGAGCCCAGGTCTCCAGCCCAAGGAACCGCCTCACCTTGTCATCCCAGGAGGGTTGGTGCCCACTTATCTGCAGCTTCCTGACCCAAATAGCCAGACCTTCCACAGGTTTGCCTACAAGAGGGCTAGTGCGTCCTGCAACTCAGATGCTTTTCCATCAAAATAAATGCCCATATAGAAGGAGTCAAGAATAAATACCCACATCCACCATCGCAGTGTGGTAAGAACATTACAAGGACACTGATGAGAATGAAGCCGGACATCACTGAGCCCCACCGTCCTGTGTCATGTTGGCTAAGGCCCCGTGCTCCGTCCTGTATGTAAGAAGCCAGCCGGGTGCCTCTCAGGGTTCTGGGCATCCCTGGGGGGTTACGCCCTGTGCTCACTCTGGCTGGAGGCCCCGACTCCAGCAGAGGCCACTCGCCCCTTCCTCGGCTCCTGCTGCCGCTCTCTTCTCCTGAGTCCATGAAAACACTGACGCCAAGTTACATCCTGTTCCTTATTTGTCCCAACACTCCTCCAAGAGCCCAAACTACTGTGATCTCAGGAGCTGGAAAAAGCTTGCCGCTCAGAAAGGCAAACACCTTGCACATCTTCCACCAGGACACCTGAAGTCAAGCTGCTCCCCACAAGAGGCACACCAGTGCAGATGGTTAAACGACAACTTCTGCACCCACTCCTCAAAGAAGTCCATAATCTCTTGCCTCCTCTTGGTCCTGGGAGCCATGTGCTCTCTGCACTCTTGCCTTGAGCCCAGTCCCAGCTCTGGGAGGCATATGCTCCTGGCCATCACCCCTAATCAAATGGGGAAACTGAGGCTGGGAGAGGATAAGGGACTCAGCCAAGATTGTAACCCTACTAGGTTTGTAGCCCACTGTGCAGCGCGTCAATACACAGATACAGTGTATTGCACTGGGTTGCAGCAGGGGAAGACTTTAGTAATTGTAGGGCAGCCGAATGAGGAGATGAGAGGAAACCTCAAATCCACCTGCCCAGGAAGTTTGGGATGGGCTCTTAAGGGGTCTGGGCAGGTGATGGGCTAAAGTGTGGGGATTGCTGACTGGTGGAGAAGTGTGGAGGATGAAGAAACCGCATTCCTGTACTTTACTGCTTCCTTGGTCGGGGGTCTTCATACCTGTTGGCCTCAGCCGTGCTACTAGAATTCAGGATCTGAAAAACACCTTAAGCAATTCTTGAGTAAAAAGACCCAGGGCCAGAGAGTCTCTCTGGTGGAAGAACGGGGCAGCAGGTGCTCAGCCTGCCGAGGGACTCTCTGTGCATTAGAGCTGCAGGGGACTGGGTGGAAGTGGCCCTGCACACCCGGGTCGGTGCCTCGCTATAACTCTGCCTGAAGCCTGGCTTGGATTGTCGTTAACCCTGTGAGGTGATTCAGTGTGGAGTCAGGATCCAATATGGGTTTATTTCACATGCTAACACCAAATGAGAGCCAGATATTTGAAAATGCAGATTTCCAAGCTTCTCGGGAGCACCCTCAAGTAGGTCAGCGGCTGCTCCATCGGGCCCCACGTCGCTCAGGCTTAAGTAAAACGTGCCTGGCTTCAGGCAGACGAGTGAATGTGAGTGTGTCTGTGAGTGTGTATGTCTACGTCTGTCTGTCTGTGAGTGTGTCTCTGTGTCTGTGATGACTGTGTCTGTCAGTGTGTCTGTGTGAGATCGTCTATGAGTGTATGTGTCTGTGTGTGACTGTGTGTGAGCAAATGTCTCTGTGTGCCTGTGTGTGTCTGTGTAAGTGTGTCCCTGTGTGTCTGTAGTGTGTGTGTCTGAGTGTCTGTCTGAGAGTGTGTGTCTGTCTGTATGCCTGCAAGTGTGTGCGCGTGTCCCTCCATCTGTGTGTCTGTGAGCACCTGGGTCTGCATTTGAGACCCCTGCCCTCACCCTACAATCTCCCTGCTGCCACACCCCAAAGCTCCAGCACATTCCTGGAGGAATTAGAGAGACGATGCTGTGCCACTGCCCTCCCTTTGAAGTGCACCTGATGGGGACACAGGGTCTCTGCCATGATCCCCACTGGGGCCTTGCCCCTGACCGCACACACTGTCCCATCTCAGGAGGGTCTCACTGCTGCCCTTTCCTGGCTGTACTGATGGCCCAAGGGGATGCGGGAACCATCAAGACCGAGTCCCTCTGGAGGTGCCTCATCCCCGCACCGCCCGGCCCTCAGTGCACCCTCTATGGGGTAGCACTAAGCCATCCCCCAGGTTGCAGGAGGGAGATGAACTAATCTGAAACATTAAGTATGGCTTTGGAACCAACTTGGCTCTCCGGATGACAACTCCCTTGTTCCAGATGGTTCCTGTGTGCGCCCGCGTTCGTTAGCATGCTAATTTATTCTGACTCATTCCGGAGCTGGCGCGCGGGCTGGCGCACACCTCTATGCCAGCACGAGTCCCCGAGGCCCGCGATTCCCAGCTGGAGCGGCCCCCTCCCCGGGGGCTGTCACACACGCCGAGGGGAATAAAGGGAAGGGAACAGTTGGGGATGTGGCTTCAGTGGCAGCCCAGGCAGGCTATAATTTCAGCCCTGGCGCCCTGACATTCACAGCAAGCTCTCGCTCTGTGGCAGAATCCTCTCGGAAGGCAGCGCCACCCTCTGAGGACGTTCAGGCTGGGAGGTCCCGGGTGGATCTCCCGCTGCAGCTAAAACACCAGTCAGGCCCCCACAAGGAAACCCAGAGCAAGCAAACACCGAGGAAGAAGTCGCTCCCTCAAAGGCAGCGTCTGGGGGCTGGTAGGAGGCTCCCGGCTGCCGGCCCCACCCCTGGTTGTGAACTCTGTGACCAAGACAGCAGGGACCGAGGGCTACCCACACTCCACAAGCGGGAGGGATGGGAGCCGCCCGTCAGTGCCCTGCCCACCTCCGGGTGCCCGCCTTCCCTGGAAACATTCCCACCGTCTTCCTGCAGCTGAAGCAGCGGAATCACCCTGGGATGGCCTGGGGAGGAGCCCGCAGAACGACCCGCATGAGGACACTGAGCTGCAGGAAGCACACGCAGGGCTGGGGTCTCCGGACCGTGGGGCAGAACTTGGGGGGTCAGAGAGAACACACACATTCGAATCCCTAAATTCCTGGTTCAAGGGACAGACCAAACCCCAGGTGCTCGGTGGGACCACGGGAGAAGCCGGCTTAGCTCAAGAAGGCACAAGGGCAGTGGCCAAGTCCCACCCCCAGGCTGAGCCCTGCCAGACGCCCTTTACAATGTCAGCCTGGGAGTCTCTCCTGAGTCAGGGCAGCCATCCACAAAGAGTGGACCCCCTAGAAGTCTGGGGGGTGTCCTTGAATAACACTGTCATCCCCAAATCAGAGAGGGAGTTCAGGGGACCTGGGGATGAGGGGATTCAGGGGACCTGGGGATGAGGGAGTTCAGGGGACCTGGGGATGAGGGGGTTCAGGGGACCTGGGGATGAGGGGGTTCAGGGGACCTGGGGATGAGGGGGTTCAGGGGACCTGGGGATAAGTGGAGCTCTGCCCTTCAGCGGCGCCCGGAGGGCCCGCAACCCCATCCCCATGTCTTCCTCAAGCTCCTGAGGGCGTACTTGGAAAAGCACTTCATGAATTCCCACACTGGTCCCCTGACCCCAGGACTGAGGAGCAACACGGTGGGACCCGGCACTCTCCCTGCTGCCAAACCCCAAAGCTCCAGCACATTCCCGGAGGAATTAGAGAGACAGTGCCATGCCCCAAAGATTTGGAAATGCAGTCAGTTCTCCCTCTACCCGCAAGCACGGCTTCTGACGCGATGACACTGTAAATACAACTCGGAGCTGCACCCGGCAGCAGCTGCTGCTCCAGATGCAGGGTCCTCATGGGCATCAGCCAGGCACCTGGTTTTCCCTCCCGTCCAGGAAATCAGGAACCCTCCAGCCCTTGGGCTGGAGGGAGGCTGGGGCGTCTCCACCACCTGCTCTCAGGGACACCGCAGCACCCCTCTCTGTGACAGAGTTTGGTCCACAGAAGTGATGGCTGCAGCACTACCTGGGCCTCATGCTGGCCCATGCGGGGGGACTCACCATAGAACCAGAGACGGACACGGAGCACCTTACCTGCCAGAGGTGGGAGACAAGCCCCACTGGGTAGCACAGCTCTTGACACAGCCACGAAGGAGGGAGTGGCAGGCGAGGGAGAGGGGACAAAGCAAGACCAGGCCCTTCCTTCCACCCCTGATGACCGAGGGCATCACCGATGCCCAAGGGTTAGGCCGCTGGGAATTCCGGGCAGGCGGCTGCAGTGGGAGAGTTCCAGAAGAGAGCCCTCCCAGCGAGTAAGATCCTCACGTGAGAGAGAGCTCCTGGCTCATGTTGGGCCTGGGAGGCTGTAGACACCTGACAATGGGACACCAAATGACAAGGTGGCCCAGCTGCCCCATGTGAACTGGAGGTCCCCTGATCCACTAAGCCCTCGAGCTGGGCCACGCCCAAGATGCTCCTCCCTCACCAGGTGAACGCCACATGTGCCGGGCCAGGCCCATGTGCCCACAGGCCCTCAGGCACCCACGGCTACACCTGTGGCCTCATCTGTGGCTCCCGGGCTGGCTGATGGGTGGTCTGGAGGCTGGTGGCAAGAGGCATCATCCAGCAGCCAGGCCTGAGCAGGGCACAATGACAGTCACGTTTCCATGAAGTGGGAGTGATGTGAAGCCACAGTCCTGTGGGCCCCCAGGTGTGGCCAGAGGCTGGCCATGAGAAGGACCGAGCTGGTGACAAGGAGGAAGCTGTTGGTGGCAAGGCTCGTTGGAACAGACACGGGCTGTACACACATCTGCATCCAGGTGACCACTCAGGAAGACCCAGATGGGGAGGCTGTGAATGACCAGGTGACAAGACACCCCAGCAGGTGAGCCAGAACAGGGGCAAGGTGGCTCCGGGGCGGTGGGGGCTCGGCAGGGGCTCCGGGGCGGTGGGGGCTCAGCAGCACAGACTCCCCTCAGGGATGCCCCTGCTTGGGTCCATGTTGTCCGCAGCCACCACCCAGGGGACACTGCCAACTGCCTGGTGCAGGTTGGTTATGTTGGGTGGACAACAATCCATCCTCTCTAGGAAAGATGGCCATTCGGTCCCCAGCCCCTGGCCCCAGCCCAGCTTTCCAAATGTCTTATTCCCCAGCAGGATCCCCACAGAATGCCACTTCTGCCCCAGGAGCCGCTGCAGAGGGGAAGAAGGGAAGAGTGAGCAGGTGTCATGGGATGACCCGGTCTCATCCCAAACCCACCATGAGCCCCTGTGAACAGCTAGAAGAGTGCGGAAGATGAGGGGCCGCAGCCTTCTTCCCACCACAACAAGCCACCAACACAGAGGCTCCCCATGGCCTGAGTCCTGGGGTGTGAGGGCTGCACAGGACAGGGCCCTGCCCTGCCCCCACCCCAGCCCCAGCGTTCTCCCCAGCCCCACTCCCCACCCCTGCTCCAACATCCTCCCCAGCCCCACTCCCCACCCCAGCCCCAGCATTCTCCCCAGCCCCCTGCCCTGCCCCCACCCCTGCCCCAGCGTTCTTCCCAGCCCCCTGCCCTGCCCCCACCCCCGCCCCAGCGTTCTCCCCAGCCCCCTGCCCTGCCCCCACCCCCGCCCCAGCGTTCTCCCCAGCCCCCGCTCCCCACCTCTGCCCCAATGTCCTCCCCAGCCCCGCTTCCACCCCTCCCTCACCGGTCTCTGGTCTGTCCCTCCTGTCCCTCCCAGCCCCTCCCAGTTCGGCCCTTGGAGGTTCCACAAACGAGGTTGTCAAATGCCTGTCCAAAGCACGTGCCAATCAGGCCCAGAGGGTTTTACAGCCTCTGAGGAGGAGGAAGAGGAGTTGGGGAGCCATGCCTCCCCATCCAGGAAGACAATATTCCACCATCAAGGACACGACCCTGGGTATTTACAGATGGTAATGAGACTGTCCACTGCTTGAAGTTACCATCAATAAGCAGTGAAAACTGCTGAGTTTCATGCAATTCTCCCTGATTGCCTGGAAGGCATCATTATTTTAATAAAAAAACTCATCAGCCAGCCTACCCAGCGCTCAGCGTGTTAATTACAGAGGCTAGTGCCCCGCCTCCCTCTCTCAGCCCCAGCTTGACTCTTCTCCCCACAGCCTTTGATCCCAGGGAGTCGGGGCAGGTGGATGGTGCCGTCCAGTGGGGAGGAGTCCCAGCCCTGACCCCTCTCAGGTGCCCAGACCACCTCCCCACCCCACACAGCACAATCCTGGCACTGTCCTTTCCCTTCAACCACAAGGACTCACTGGGCCATGGGCACAGACCAACACCAGTCAAGCCCAAAATTCTATGTGGCCCCTAAAAGCAAGGGGACAAGGACAATGGGACCCCAAGAACAGCAGATTTCATGAAAAGGACCCAAGAAGCCAAGGCATGTCCAGCACAGCACGCAGACTGGGTCAGGCCTGTCTCCAGCTACATGGACAGGCGTGTCCAAACACATGCCACAACCCTGCAAAAAGCACAAAAGGAGGCACCACACACATTCGTCCTCATTGTGAATGCCTGCAGTGCGTCTGTCATCATGGCTGGGGGAACAGGCCCAGGCTTTTTTATGGTAAAAGAAGTGAATTGAAAGAGGAATTGTGTTTCCTCTCCGTAAAGATGATAGCACACCAGGATGTCCCCACCTAGGGGAGACCAATGACAGCCTTCCCATTATCTCCTGGGCCTTCTGGGGGCAGGACCTGCAGCCGCTGATTCTGCCCAGGCATCAGTGAATCCTCTTGAACATAAATGTATCTTGGGTCACCTTGCAGCCAGCAATGACCACACAGCACAGTTCTGGGCCACTGATGTAAGGAGCGGCCCTGGGTGGGTGCCCCAGGAAGTACTATAGAAGAATAAGACTCAGCCATCAGTCTTGCTTCCCTCTTTCACTCTCTTCTGTCCTTGGTCCTGACCCTTCTTCCTGCCTGGAACACGGATGTGATGCTGGAGGTGAAGCAGCCATCTTGCAACCATGAGGCTAAAAGCAGAAGGACAAAAGCTACCTTGCAGATGAATGAACAGAAAGACAGAAAGAGCCTGAGTCCCTGCTGGCACCATGGACCCCACACCAAATTTGGGTGCCTGCTGAACTCCAGACTTCTTGATACATAGAAATTGAAAACTCATTTGCCAAACCATGTTAACTTGGGTTTTATGTAGTGCAAAGTTGAATGTATTCCTAAGCAATGTACCCAAGAATAATTGTTACTAACAACAAAACCGAAGAAAGCCCCTTGTAGTGAGTGGAAGTGAATTCGTGTAACCGTGCAGCTCCCCAGCTCCTGGATCCTGTATCCCGCCTGCCCTGCAAAGTCAGGCATAGTGGTTGGACTTGGTTTGGCTGCTGGAATGGGAAAAGTTCCGTGTCACCTCCGGGAAGCCGCATTCAGCGGGCAGTGCTCAGCTCTCCACCTACTTCTATGTTCCTGTTTCAGAAAACCTGGGACAGGTGACACATGTTGATGGAGAAGTCAACGCTCAGCCCTCCCCAGGAGGGCAGGTGCCCTGGAGGCCTTAGAGGTGGTGTGGGGCCGGCAGTGTGGAGTTGCTGCAGCTGGGAGATGGCTTGTTACTGCCACACGGTGCAGCCGAGCTCAACGTGTCACAGAAAATAGCGGGGGAAAGGTTTAAATGGATCTTTATCTTGAAAAGTAAAACCTCAAAAATAGTCTGATATTGCACTGGATAGAGATTTGAGTTTTCACTGCCACCCTGCGCTGGTTGTTAGAATGCAAGGAGAATGCATTGTTTGAGTTTGTTATCTGTTCTCCCAGGAAAATGATTGGCCACGCTGCACGGGCGGCTGCATGTGAACCCCCCACGACAGTCACAGGCCCCTCGACACGGTGCTCAGACCATCTCCCTGGAAGCATCCTTCCCTCCACCACCCTTAGCAATCAGCTCGCCTTTGATTTTCACCTGGAATGACTCAGCGGGCACTGATCCGTCAGTGGCTTTGCAGGCACCTGCGCTGTCCCACCCATCATTCTCAGCTCCCGAAACCGCATCAGTCACAGGCAACTTAACTGCAGTCCCCGGTGACCGGCCACTATTGGGAGACTGACCAATAAGGACTGGAAGGGAATCAATGTTGGGGCAAGTTTGGATGAGGGGGTTGAGCAGGCTGCCTCCCTCCAGACATCCCCCAGGGGACCCCCTTTTCCTCTCACTGTTTGTGCTCCCAGCCTGCCTCTCTCTGGGCCTCCTCCCTTCCTTTTTCACCTGGACGCACCTCCTGGCCCTACAGAAAGAATGGAGGTCGGCACCCCATCTCCCAGGCCAAGGAGGGCAGCTCCCTGCAGCGATGTCGGGGTATGGAGGGCAGGGGCCGGGAGCAGGGGGCTTCACTCCAGGCTACAGCCAGTTCCCCCAAGTCGGGGTCAAAATTACAGCCTATCCCACGGCCCACCCATCCTCTGCCCTCCCTTATCCAGTCAAGGTCCCTATCCAGTCCAGGTGTGCAGGTGAGGGATTCCGAGCTGGGAAGGGCAGGCAGACAGTTCCTGCAGGCTCCCGCTCACATCCAGGGCTTTTTAGGGACCCTGCCCCAAAAGAGGTCCTTGAAGCCACTTGGAGAATGCCCAGCTGTGGATGTGTCCAGACAGCAGCCAAGGACGCTCAGGCCAGCGGGAGCCGCTGAGATCAGCCAGGCCCAGCCTAGCCCAGTGGACGGCTCCTGCTGCACCCTCCCTCCTGGGCTGGGCCTGCCAACTCTCACAACTCCCACTCCAGCCACGGCCAGACCTGAGATCCTCTCCTCCCTGAGGCTAAAACATCTACCACATTCGGCTGGTGGCTGCCCCAGCTCTGCCTCAGGTCCCTGACAGGCCGGCCCCCTGCTGCTGGCAGCCAGGCACTGGAGTGACACATCTGTCTGTGCCCACACCTCCTCCTGGGGTCTCAAGTCTTCCAGAAGGGGTCGCGAGTCTTCCAGGAGGTCCGCCCCAACCTGTGATGCTCCTGTTGTGGGCGGGGGAGCAGCTATGACGGTGGGGAGAATTGCCAGTGCAGGAAGGACCCACGGGTGCTGCTGTGAGGGTGGTTTTGGGGTGCCGCTGTGAGGGTGGTTTTGGGGTGCCGCTGTGAGGGTGGTTTTGGGATGCTGCTGTGAGGGTGGTTTTGGGGTGCCAAGTGACGGTGGTTTTGGGGTGCTGTTGTGAGGGTGGCTTTGCTTCCACCTGAATGCAGAGCTCGCCTCCTTCGGCTCTCCCTCCCCCCGGGTGAGCAGCCCAATCCCGGGGACCTGTGCTAGCCCCTGTCTCGTGGCCTGTTACTGCTGAGGACAGACCTGACGGCAGTCCCGGTAGGTCAGATCCCGGGGGCACCCGCGAGACCTGGGGCAGGAGGTGGGCAGGTGCCAACCTCGGGCACAACTCCAGTGCGCAGCGTCCATGCCCGGGTGGCTGCCGTGTTGTCCTGCTGTGGCTCAGCCTGTCCCCTTCGCAGGGAATTGGCTGTGGGAGATCTACTTTGCAATAAACCCGTCCATAAAAGTGAAATGTCGATTGAAGGCTCTGTCTCGTGGGGAATCGGTTTTGATGTCCCTGTGCATCTTGCAGAAGCAGATGCTGGGCCTCAGCAGCATCACAGGGAGCTGCGCCTGGCCAGGGAAAGTCTGGAACTGCCCAAAGAACTTCTGCTCACCAGACCTGGGCCCCAAGCAGCAGCCCTGGGTAACCTCCCTCTGGGAACCAGCGGGACAGAACCAGGGGGAAGGCTGGGGACGGGGAGGACAAGGGAGTGAAGGGGGCTGGAAGGACAGAGAGGGAAAGGAAACTTCTCACCCACCTCCACTCACCAGACGCCCTCCACTCATCTCTGCCAAACCTGGGCGATCTCACCTATGACATCTTGCAATGAGACAGGCGGCATCACCTATTTTATAGGAGCACCAGGTTAAGCCACTGGCCGAAGTACCCGGTAGGAGACAGGCTGTGTGCAGAGGCCAGGCGTGCGTCAGGCTAACTTCAGGAGCCTGGACTCAGGGTGGTGGGTAGGGCCAGACCACGGGAGGCACCTGGCACAAAACCCAAGGAAGCCCTCTCAGGGGGTGCCAGCCCCTCCCCGCACCCCACAGGGCCCAAGATCGTGTGCCTCCTCCTCTTGGCATCCTCCACGGATGATGCACCGGGCCTGGTGGAGAAGGCGTCTCTCTGCGGAAGCCACATCAGCAAAGGAACCAAGAAGGAAGGGGACCAAAATAACCAGCTGGCCACTGCCGGGGCAGGGACGCCCACAGCTGCTGACAGCCAGAAAAGAGAGACCAGCAGAAGGGGCACACGGCCGGGTGGGGGTCAGAGCAGCACCCCCGTGGGTCCCACCTCTAGCTACATCAACCAACGCCAGGCCAGGCAGGGGACTGAGGACAGTGGGCGTGGTGCCACCGCCACAGACCCTGGGCACACTCTGGGACAAACAGCCAGCCTCTGCAAAACACAAACTGCACAGGGGAAAAGACCGGCAGAGGCGCAACCCTGTAGAAACAGACACAGGACACCGGGGAGATGTGAACGGTAGCTAAGTATGCAATGATGTGAAGACGTTGTTTTTCATTGTTAGGTATAACCACACTGTGGCTACTTTTCAAGGCGGCCTTATTGTTTAGCGATATTTACAGATACATGAATCCAACCCTGGGGATTTGCTCCAAACCCCCCAGGTGTGGACATGCAGATGCTGGAGAGGAGAGAGGAGACTGCGGGTCGGCACTGGGAGGCTGGCGGAGGGAAACGGAGTCCACAGCACTGTCCCCTCCCCGTGGTGTGCTTGGAATTCTCCACAACCACCTTTTGAGGAAGGAGCTCACATAGAGACCCGCAGAGGGGCCTGGCCACTCTGGGGTGTCAGGGGCAACAGGGCCCCACTGCCCAACCCATCCACTCTGGGAAGGGGCCCTTCCTCTGTGCAGCCCCTCCAGTCCTCAGCCTGGGACCCCCCCCCCACCATTGTGAGCCAAACACTCCCTGAGGCACAAGGATCCAGGCCTCTCGAGTGGAGGGCGGGAGCCGAGCAGGGAAAGCCAAGGCCGCCTGGGGTGAGGAGACAGGAGGGCAGGAGGGGGCTGGAGCTGACTGGAGGTCCCAAGTTCAGAGGTGGGGCACCCCATGGCCGCTGTCTGTCCACAGCTCTGTGGCACCTGTGGATTTGGCCAACACCCCCTCCGCAGTGAGGGGGGACCCCCAAGAGGAGGGGCCACCTCTGTCCTGCTGTTCCCTAAGCCCCAGCACTCACACACATCCCTGAATCCCTCGCTGTGCCACCATCAGCCTTGCAGCCACCATCGGGCGGCGTCCTGCCTTCCTCCCTCTGAAAGGCCTACTTTGGGAGGTCAGCCCGACTCAGAGGCGAGGCTGCAGAGCTGGACCTTCGGGAACCTTCACAACCCAGCCACAACGGCCCCCAGCACCCGCAGCCTGCCGAAGGCATGCTTCTATCCTCAGCCTCGCTGCCCTCCTGCAGGCCGGGGCCTCCCTCCTGCAATGCTGGCTGTGGGTGGCTGCCAGCGAACGTCCAGCTGTCACCCCAGCCCCCGCGGCATCTCCTGTCCCCACACAACAAGCCAGGCAGGGCTCGGGCTGGGAGGAAGGGGCCCTGGGCTCCCCTTCGTCTGCCTGGACTGTGAGGGCCTGGGGCAGTGTGCCAGCTTCATCGAATGATGTCAGAGAAGCTCATTCCGCTGGAGCTCGGAGCCTCAACGGCCACCCAGGAAGCCCTCAGAGTGGCTGCGGCCCCTTTCAAGGGGAGAGAAGGGCAGGAGCCATGCTAGGCCTCGGAGGGGTGGGGGTATGCCTACCTTGGAAGGCAAAGACCCCCGGACTCTGCTCCCCGCCCTCCCCTCAGCACCGCTGTGACTCCTCTGTGCAGGGGGCAAACTGCACCTCAGAAGAGTCCCATGGCCCATGGTCATGGCAGCTGGACTCAAGCCTGAGTCTGCATGGGGTGACACCAGGAGCAGCAGAGCCAGGACTTCTGGTGGCCCTGAGCTCCTCTGCACCAGACCCCTGAGCCCATCCCAGGCCCAGGGAGCCCAGGCTGGGAGGGGGAGGCAGGCTGCCACTGAGCCATGGAGACCAGTTTCCCCCAGCTGCCCAGGGCACGGGGCAGCCCCAGCATCGCTTTGCCATGTTCCTAACCCACACCGCCAGGCCCCGTGCTCCAGAGTGAGCCTGTCTCCGATCCAATACGCTCTCCTTCCTGGCTAATCCAGTTGGAGACTTTTCAACCTCACTATAATTTACAAGGCAGCTGGAGCACAGGATATTTTTAATAAAAATTAGGTACAAGCAGATACAGGGGATTAATAGTTGTATTATGATTTTATAGTTCTCCATATACAGCGGCACGGAAAAGACAATCAGAGAGCAGGGCCATTTCAGGCAGATAAAATGGGGCATTTATTTTTAATGGAAAGATAATTTCAGGATGCATCCAGCCATGGAGAAAGCTGCTGAGGCACTGCGCTGGGCAGAACAAAGAGGAGGCTGGAGGCTCGGCGGCCTCACTGAAAAGCCCTGTGGAGAGATTCTGGGCTTGCGGGACCAGGGGCAGGCTCCCCACCTAGTGGGTCTCCAGGTGGGGATCAGCAGTCCAAAATCAGAGCCATGTGAGCCCTGCCAGAAAGAAGGACCCAGGAGGGGTCCAGCCCCTCACCTGCCTGCTGTGCAGCTGTGGGCGAGTCTCTCTGAGCCTCAGTTTCCCTACCTGTACAGCAAGGACTGGATGAGCTCCTAGAAAAGCGGCTGCTCTGCAGAGCTGGGGAGGGGGTTGTGGAGATGGCCATCCACAGTCATCTCTGCTCCTTTCCCAGGAGCAAACACCCAACTGAGCATCTGCCATCTGCCCTGGGGTCACAGCTTCCCTTCCCTCAAGTTCAATCTCAGTGGCTTGAGGCCACCAGCGCTGTCCCTGGGGACACAGCTCTTCTTCCCCCATCTCCCATCCCCACCCCACCCCAGTCATATCCAGCAGGGGCTGAGCCTCTCCAGGAGCTACGAGGCTGGCTTTGAAGCCCAGAGCTTGAAAAAGGCACTATAGATGGAAAAGAAGCTGTCGGGGCTGCCATCTTCAAAGCCAGAGGCTGTGGCAGCTGAAGCCCCTGCTTGGGCTTTGCTGGAGCCCCGGCTTGGGCTTTGCTGGAGCACATCGTTCTGAAGACATGCCCAGCCCTGCCCCTCACCCCAGGCTCCCAGCCTCCTGCATGAAGCTCTGCACCCCTGGAGGGACGAGGGACTAGGGGGCCACTCAGGAGCAGGTGGGGCACTCAGGGATAGACAAGAGGGCTGCGGTGACACTGTGCCTGGGCTGGTCCCCCGGGGTCCAGGGCTCTCCTCTGGCCCAGAGGGACACCCGAGCTCCCTGTGCAGCCTTGTCCAACCTGGAGCTCAGAGGAAGTGGCCATCATGGCCCTCAAATCCTGTCCCAGTGGACACTGGCAATGGGCTGGCCCGGCCAGACAGGCTCACGTGGGCCAGAGGGTCACCCCCTCTTCCTGCAGCCCAAGGAGAGGAGCCCAAAAGGAGATCCCCTCAGGGACTTCCAGCCCACACAGACTGAGGATGCCCAAACCAAATTATGGCCAAAGGCCCCGGGGAGCTGAGAGAAGACAGGGAGTCAGGGAAGGCAGCGTCTGCAGGAGCCCCCAGGCCCCCTCACCCACCCAGGGAGTGACGCCCTGAGCCCCCACAGCCAGCCCCCAGCCAGGCCCCCAAGCCCTGCAGGAAATGGTCACTGTGTCCACTCCCGGCTGGCCACCCCTCCCCAGTAAGAGTCTCTAACCTGACCCTTCCCTAGTTGCCCCAGAACCTTCCAGAATCAAAGGAAACCACAGACTTCTCTGCCATGTCTTCTAGTTCCCAGGGAGCAGGAGACCCTCCTCCGCACAGCCCATCTGAGGGCAAGGCTGGAGAGGCTTCTGCTCCCCTGTCTAGATCCCCCTCTGGAGCCAGCAGCAGATGCCTGACAGAGAGAAGCAGTTCCAGTGCTGAGAGGCCTGGCAAAGTCCCTCAGGTGCTCAGGCTCTGACGGGCCACGGCTCGTGGAGAGAGCAGTGTGCCAGATCACCCCTACTCTTCTTCCAGGGACCACCTCCCCACCATTCCAGGACACACCAACAGACCCTGTGTGTCGGGCTCAGGAGCTGCCCAAGGGTCTGATGTCCCAGGCTTGTGAGGAGTGGGCCACCAAGAGGATGGGCATGCTTGGCTGGGGACCCCCAGCCAATCCAGGTGGGATTCACTTAACTCTCTGTGCTTGACACCCAGAAGTCACCAAATGAAGGGACCCACAAAATCACTCATGGTGAACACGGCTCCATAGGGATATAGGCTCAAATCACAAGGGCCCATCTCAGCTGGGAAGGTAGACCCAGGCTCGGCTGGGAGGTGAACTCAGACTTGACTGGGAGGTAGACCCAGGCTCAACAGGGAAATGAACTCAGACTCGGTTGGGATGATGGCCACAGGCTCAGCTCGGAAGTGGACTCAAGCTCAGCTGAGGTGATGGTCCTAGGTTCAGCTGGGAGGTGGACTCAGGCTCAGCTGGGATGATGGACTCAGGCTCAGCTGGGAGGTGGACTCAGGCTCAGCTGGAAGGTGGGCCCAGACTCAGCCAGGAAGTGAACTCAGGCTCAGATGGAAAGTGGCCCCAGGCTCAGCTGGGAGGTGGACCCAGACTTAGCTGGGAGGTGGAATCAGGCTCAGCTAGGAGGAGGAACCAGGCTCAGCTGGGAGGTGAACTTAGGCTCAGCTGGAAGGTGAACTCAGGCTCAGCTGGAAGGTGGCCCCAGGCTCAGCTGTGAGGTAGAGTCAGGCTCAGCTGGGGTGATGGACCCAGGCTCAGCTGGGAGGTGGACTCAGGTTTGGCTAGGGAGGTAAACTGAGGCTCAGTACAGGTTGAAGCACCATCACCAGGGCAGCCGTGACAGGTGATGACGTTGGACTGCTTTTGTATGAAAGAGGCAGCGCTTAGTTCTCACTAGAAGAGACGCTTAATCTGAATATGGACTGGTCTTTCCTGGCCACAAGGCTTCTGCAAATATGACCATCTTTCCCCATCAGCCTGGCCTTCCGCACAACATTGCTGTTAGCCAAGGGTCTCCCTTCGAGCTGCAATGGACTCAACCTCACAGAATCCACTGGTCTGACGTCCCCACTGTCTGGCAGCTGCCAGCCTGAGAGGCTGGCAGACTGGCCTTCGGAGACTCAGGGATGGCGCCAGCTGGGTGGCGATGCCCTGTGGGGCCTGCCAGGGCCCTGAAGGATACAGTGCAGGCTCCCAGTCAGTGACCCACAGCTGGGATTCACGGTCTGGGGATCTGGGGCTGGAAATTGGGGCTTTTCATGTGGTCACCTCTGTGATAGTTAC
Source organism: Homo sapiens (assembly GCF_000001405.40). Classification (NCBI taxonomy): domain Eukaryota; kingdom Metazoa; phylum Chordata; class Mammalia; order Primates; family Hominidae; genus Homo; species Homo sapiens. The sequence continues at coordinate 104,558,609 of NC_000014.9, forward strand.
AACTCACCCTTTGACTCTCACAGCCTGGTCCTTGAACTGCAGATGTGTCAGCCAATCTCAGAGCCAAGCCCAGCAGCTCCAGGCCAGATGGCCTCACCCACCTCCAGCCCAAGAGCATCCTCTTAGGAGGGGGGTTAAACTGAGCCTCCAGAGACCACCTTCCCGTGGCACCTGCTCGTAAACTAACTCATCCGGGAGGTGGGGGACCACTGGGTTCCACATATGGAAACAAGGGTGGTGGGAGAGGCGGGGTGCACAGGGCCGAGCTCCTCAGCAGGGTCCCCATGGATGGGACAATCAACAAATGCAGAGCACACCTAGGAGCCTGCAAGGCCGCCCTGCTGCCCGCGGCCCCTGCAGAACCAAGAGGCTTCCACTTTCTAAATCACACAAATTAATTTAGAAATCAGAGCGGCTCCCACAGCTAGACTGCAGGTTTCAAAATAGCTTAACAAATTACCAAATCCCCTTTAAGAAGACAAATTATTCCAGCTCCTCCACCAGCACCTGGTTAATGATGCATGCACTTTTGTTAGGCGTTAAATATTCACTAGCTGTGGGTTTGCACTTGTGACCCGTTGCCTCATTTCTATGTGGGCTGGCTGTTGTGCCCCATGCTGTCCCAGCACCCGGGGATGCTGGCCTTGGGACCACCGTGCAAGGTGACGGCCCAGCGGTTCCACCTTCCCTGACCATGGCCATGGCTCACCTCTGCCTGCCCAGGGCTGCCCTTGGTGCAGGCAGAGCCCACATCCCCTCACCAGCCTTCCAGGCCGTGCCATAGCCTTGGCATGTGAGGCCTCCTTGCCACCCGGCCTCCCTCCATCCCCATCTCCAGGCACACTCACCCACTGGCATCTCCCCGGGGCTGCTGTGGCCTTTGTCCCTCTTCCTGGTCTGATGCACACCCAGGGACAGACATGGGGTTTTCCTGACCCGAGTTTCAGGCCTCCAGTTCCTGACCAGCTTCTCCACACTGGCCCCACAGGCAGAGTGTGCCTCGCCCGCAGAGACGAGGTTATGTTCCCCGACCATGGGCGTTCAGGGGGTGGGAGACCAGGAGGGCACTCAGGCATCCAGCACTGCCATCCTTCTTGAGGCAGGTCCCCAGGCTGCCAGAGTTGTGGCCCAGACTCCCTGGACAGCAGAGACACCTGGTCAGGACTCAACCCCAGGGCCAACTAGAGGGAGCTGAGCCCTGGGAGGACCTGCAACCCTAGTGGGGCCACCAGAGAAGTCCCTCCCTCCTCTTCCCCAAGACTTGACAGCCGGGCTGTGCCCTGAACCCGCCCCTACTCCCCCTAGGCTGCCTGGGCGCCCCGCATTCACTGTTTCCACTCTTGACAGATGGGGAAGGGGGAGCCAGGCAGGAAGGAATGCCCCACCCAGGGGCCCCCCAGCAACAGTGCCACCCAGCCCAGGACCCCGGCTTCACACAGACAGGCTCCCCAGCTGCAGGGGCTTTCCTCGCCCTCCCTCTCCTCACACTGGGGCTCTTCTGATTTGAGATCAACTTCCAAATGTCTTTCTTGAATGTTCTGCCTAATTAACTTCACATTAAGAGGACTGAAAAGGACATGGCAGCCGTGCCAATCCACAGCCTGCCCCACCGCGACGGGGAGAAGCACATCTCACTCAGCCTCCGACGCCTGCCACTTCATGCGTGCAGGCCTGGCTCCTCCTCGTCCAGGACAGTCAGCCCTGCTCCCCGGTGCACACACACACGCACACACACACTCACACAAATGCACGCACATCCATGCATGCATACATGTATGCGTATGTCCACACCCACATACATGGACACAGATATATACATGCCACACACGCACACACCCATATACACGCACATGCGTGCATTGCACACAGGCACAAGCTTGCATGCTCACACATGCACACAGCCAGGAGCAAGCTCCTGAAGCCACTGAGTGGTGCCACCTTGTGCTTTGTCCTTGGGGACCAGCTGAGGAGCCACTGGCCAACAGGGACCACTCTTAGTGCCCCTTTTTCAGGCACAGAGGAGCTGAGGCCAAGAAAGGGAAGGGGCCTGGTTCAGAGTCCCCCAGTGGCCACTGGCTGGGAAGCTCTGCAAGCTTGGGTGCCTGGCAGTGCCTTCCCCAGCCGCCCTCACCCCCCTGCCCCAGCCTTGTGACTCCCCTTGGCCCCACCAGTGACTGTGTCCACTTCCTCCTGAGCCCACAGCCCTTGACACCTGTCCTTGCCATAGCTGGGCCCAGCCACGCTCTTCAGCAGGCAATGTGGCCCCCTCCACAGGGTCTGAGCTGGGCACCAGCGTTCAGTAGTTAGGAGGTTCCATATCTGTGTCCCCTGTCCAGCCTGGCTGGCAAAGTGGGGACTCAGCCTCTCTGTAGTCTCCACCTGCTTCCCTCCACCAGGCAGGTCTCCCCCTCACCTCCCACCCTCCTCCATCATCAGCTTCCCATCCCAGCCCCCAGAGGCCAGCAGGCTGGGGTGCCCTCCCCAGCCAGGTGGGGATGGGTGAGGGCTGGACTCCTTCCTCCCTGCCCCAGCTGCCTGCCCCACCATGTCTGGCCAGCATCCGCTTACAGAGCAAGAGATGTTCAGCTCAGCTTCCTGGGCCACCCAGCCTGCTGTCACCCTCCTCATCCCAGGAGAAATGGGACCCCGTTCCCTGCCTCGGGCCCCACCAGACACCTGGACTCCAGCGCACCCACCGGGACCCGCCCCTCAGCTCTTGTGAGCCTCACATGCCCAGGCCGAGCCACCGCCCTTCCCCTCGACAGCCCACAGGGCCCGAGGCTCCACAGAACCCCCCCAGCGTCCTCTGTAAGGATCCAGCAGAGACACAGGCAGCTGCCCTGAGCAGCACGGAGGCTGGGGCAGGCGCCAGGTTCATGCTTTCACGCTCACTTTGGAAACTGTTGGTTCAGCAGTCTGGCCGACTACCTGCTCTGCGCACCGGTGACCTTAAAACCGTCCATGCTTATAAATCACCTGGGATTTACATACGGACTGGTGGCAGGTAATCTTTCAGAACTCCCCCCCACTCACACGCAGTCAGTGTGGTTACGCAGGATCAGGATCCTGGGTGGAGTGGAAGAGAGAATGAACTGACACGGGGCTGGGAGCCTGACAGGCAGCATCATCAGGGAAGTTTACGGAGTGGGAGGCAGGGCTGCCTGTGCGTCCAGCTCCAGCTCAGCTCCAGCTCAGCTCCAGCTCAGCCAGGCACCCAGGCTCAGGTTGGAGGGGCCGCAGAGGCTGCTCCTCCTGCCCCGCTGATGTCCTCACCTCTGCTCAGCCCCTGCGTTGATGACCACCCCGTGGCTGGGACCCCACCCAGCCTGCAGCCCTCCAACAAAGAGCCTCCAGGGCCTGCCCAGCGATGGGGAGTTCCTCCCTCTGGGGTTTGCTGGTTAAGAGCAAGTCTTGCTCCATGGAAAAGAAGTTCTAACGGCGGAATCCACACCAAGAGAAACGGCCACGAACAGCCTCTGCCCCACACGTCGCGTGGGCCCCAGAACCACAACGAGGAGGATCAAAAAAAGGAGTCAAATACTTCCTGGAGACATTTTCCAAGACCACTCCCACCCCATAGCAGAAGGAGGTATGCCAGCCCGCCATGTGTCCCCTCCACTTTGATGCTCCTTCAGCCATCACGGACTCTCAGAGCCCTGCCTGGGTCAGACTGTGCGGGCGGCAGTCAGGACTCTGTGTGAGCAGGAATCAAGGCCCAGGGTGGGCCAGGATCAGAGCTGAGTGAGCTAGAATCCGGGTCCAGGGTGGGCTGGGATCAGAGCTCAGAGTGAGCTAGAATCCAGGTCCAGGGTGGGCTGGGATCAGAGCTCAGGATGGGCTAGAATCAGGGTCCAGGGTGGACTGGGATCAGAGCTCAGAGTGGGCTAGAATCCGGGTCCAGGGTGGGCTGAGATCAAGACTCAGGGTGGGCTGGAATCAGGGCTCCATGTGTCTGGAATCAGGACTCAGTGTGAGCTAATGTTAGGCCTCTGTGTGAGGTGGATCAGGGCTCCATGTGGGCTAGGATCCGGGCTCAGTTTGGGGCTGAGTCAAAATGCTCTGGCATGGCCTCACAGAGGTGGCTGGACTTGCTCATGGTCACACAGCAGGCGACAGGTGCTGGTGGAGCTCCTGGGTCCATGCGGCTCAGGCCCCATTGCTCTTCCCCACCTGCAGAAGAAGCCACCCACCCCCCTTGCAGCCCATGTCTGGGCTCTGAGTCCCTCAGAGCTCTACGGACACAGCTGTCTGGCCAATGAAAGGGGTGGCCAGGGTCCCCTGGGATCTGCACAGCACATGGGGTCCAAGCACATGGAAGGATGCTGGGCAGACACCCTGAGGCTCAGACCCACATGCCCCAGCAAGGACGGCTTGGAAACTACCTCACCACTCCCTGGCAGCCAGAGGGAGAGGGTCTCCCTGATGAGCCCAGGCTGCTCCCTGAGGGAGGGAGGGAGGGAGGGAGGGAGGGAGGGAGGGAAGGAGGAAGGGAGGGAGGGAGAGCAAAGGCCGCCTCTGGGCATGTTGTCCCAGCCAGGAGCAGGTGGCTGCACAGAGCAAGGGCCTGTAGGGTGAGCCTTGGGGCTGCCTTCCAAGGAAAGAGTCATCACAGACCCCTCCTCCTGTGCTGCGGGGGAACTGAGGCCCCTGGTCCCTCAGCCCAGCGCAGGCTGCCATCACTATCCCCGAACTCGAGAGCAGGGGCAGAGGACCCTCAGCCATCTTCCTGTCCCATAGAAGAACTCCCAGTGGGAAACCCCACCCCCAGCAGAGGAAACAGCCCTCAGGACACCAACACCCCCACGGCTGCCAGATGCTCTGGGGAGGCCGCACCAACTCACACGGCCTAACAGCCCTGCCGAGGGATCCCAGGTGTTTGGGGACGGACTGCACACCCACCCTGATCCAGGGCTGTGACTGTGAAGAGGAGCTCCGGCCCTTCCCCAGAACACAGCCTGCCTCCTGGCACAACAAAGAAAGCCGGGTGTGGGCATGGCCCACTGCACAACCCCACCCCCAAAGCCAGGGCTGAGCCGGCCAGCCCACAAGCCCTCAAGGGGCACAGGCGTGTGCTGCCTCCCTGAGCACCGAGCACCAGGGCCAATGGCCAGGCCCCCGAGGCTAGGAGCCCCTCCCCAGAACTGTCTGCAGCCCTCTTGCCTGTGGGGACCCCTGACCCATGTGAGGCTGTGTGTGGGGGAGGAGGGGGCCCTGGTGCCCCCAGAGTGGAGTCAGCCCATGCATGAGGATGCCACTGGGGAGCCACGTGGCCCCACTGGGCTGGGATTCCCCCGGGTGTCCCGAGGCCACCGCACACTGCAGGGCCCATGAGTTTGCAGTTTGTCCCAGTAAAAAAGCTGCCCTGAGCCCAGACACCCACGTGGGTCCTTCCTGCCCGAGATTCCGGCCTTGTTGCTCCTGCCCTTAGGAAATGCGTTGCTGTCTCTGGGTTCCTCTGGGTAGCGAGGCTTCTGGGCCTGAGGGAAGTGTGGGACAGCCCTACAGCACAGGCCCCCAGTCCCGCCAATCCCCACCCCCGGGGTCAGGCCCTGCCTCCTGCATCCCTCTTCACTGGCCAGTCCTCCATTGCCACCTGGTGGCCATTGCCCCACGACAGCCGGGACCGCCAACCTGCCCGACCCGAGCTCCTCCAGGCACCGGTGCCTCCTGGGTGGACACTGGGCAGCTGTCCTGGGCCTGAACTCGCCAGACTTTGGCAGAAGGCAGGGTTCAGGGGTCCCCAGCCCCCATCCTAGATGGGGAGGCGCCCCGGTCCGGGCATTGCTGGAACAGCGCCCTTGATCTTGAAAAGGAGCTTCAGTCATCAAAGGGGCTCCATCCCTGGAGGGCAAATGGCAATAAAAAGACACAAACAGGCGGCGTTAGAGTGGCCCGGGGGAGGCGCTTCCTGATTGCGAATCCAATTCTCATTCCTGAAGGTCTTTAAAACCCTTCCTGAGCCATGTGATTGTCTCAAAAGAGCTGTTATTACTCTTATAAAAAAAAACTTATAAAAAAATTCTAATCAACATTGGTCTTAAACCGCAACGTCTCAGCACCCAGCACTGCCTCCGCAGCTTCGTGGGGCTGGCGGGAGGGACATTTACGAGCCATTTCACGCCCCGCGGCTGCCCATCAACCATGGGGCTTTTGTCACCCACCATAGCGATAGCAATGGTTTTGTAACTCAAAAGTTATTTATTAATATCGGTATCTTCCACGTGAGTGTCTCTGGCAGCCAGGGTGGCGCTGAAAGGTTGGGGGTCCTGTCGTGGGCATACATGGTGGTCCCCAGCCCGCCAGACCCGAGAAGCCTCCAAGACGTCACTGCTTTCCGCTGTCTCAACAATGCATGGCGCCTGTCTCACCAGCACCGTGGGAAGCCAGGCTGACCTGCCGGCAGGATGGGGCATCTGAGGTCCCAGGCAGCTGCTTTCAAGGCCACCATCCAGCCCTGCACAGGGCAGCAATGCCTTTGGCCAGGGCCACATCCAGGCATGCACAGAGCTGGAGCACACCGGCCCCGGGCCCGCAGCACCACCACCCTGTGGACCTTATCAGGTCAGCCTCTCAGGGGCGAGTCTCCCCACCTGGTGCTCCAGGATTAGCACCGTCTCAAAGTCAGGTTGGAGTCACTCTCGGCCACGCACCATGAGTGACCCGAGCACCCCTCATCTTCAGAGCCCAGAGGGAGCAGTCCACGGGCTCGGGGAGAGCCTTTGCGGACAGAGCACCCAGTGCCCCACAGCTCCTTAGTCATCATCTGGGGGAGTCAACTCCTCACGAGCTGGGGGCCTCCAGCGGGAGGCTGCCGAGCCAGCTCTGGGCCCCAGGGCTTCCAAGGAGCCTGTCCCCAGGAGGAGCGTGTGAGCTGCGGGAAGCAGGCAGTTTTGTCACCATGAGTGTGCAAGCTGTGGGGGGCCTGGCCCCTCCGTGCTCCTCCCCGGACCCATCTCCAAGGCAGCTTGCCTTTCCCCATTCCCTCCAGTTGCAGGTTCTGGCCAGTGTCCCCATGGAGGTCACACTGGCTGTTGGCTCCTGAACCACCTCCAGCTTTGGCCTAAGGGCAAGAGCCCAGCCCCGAGGACAAGGACAAGCGCCAGGGCCCTGGAGACAGAACCAGCAGGGCAGTCAGTGCTCAGCCCCTCGGGGCCCTCAGGCCTCCACTGCAGCAGCGGCTGCACCCTCTCCTTCCCCAGAGAGGGGCCAAGATGCGATTTGCTGTCCCCCCCACCGCACTGAGAAAGGGGGGGCCCAGGCAGGCACCCCCACCCCACCCAGACACATGTCCCAGCCCACGTGGGTTCCCTGGCTGGCTGGCTCACAACTTCAGAGCACCCCCACCCTCTGCTCTAGGCACCTCCGACCACCCACAGGGGTCTGTGCGAAAGTAACGGTGGGGCTCCAGCCAGCTCCTGCCCAGGGTCCTGTCCCTGCCACCGCCTGACCTTTCTGTTCAGCCTCCACCCGGCCCACCCTCAGGCTGGAGGGCACCATGAAGGGGAAGACAGATGGCAGATGCTCACCCCATGGGCAGAGCCATCTCAGCCTGAGGGCAGCATCCTTGCTGGGCAGAGCTCCCTCTCACAGCCACCCCAGCCTCCTGTCCTCCGCACACATTTGACTCCCTGATGGGGCTCTGCCCTGGCACACTCAGGCTCCCAGGCAGCAGAGCTGGGCAGGATGGATGAGACCAGAAGACAATGTGAAGTCCCTGCTCAACCCGGGGCTGCCGGGGACCGCAGGGTTAGTGCATACTCAATGGAGGCAAGCCTGAGGCTCTCTGGGAAGGAGAGAAGGGGATGCACTTAACACAGGCTCTTTCTAGGGGTGATTCCCGAGCTTCCCAGAGTGCCCCCTGGATGTCAGTTACACGCCCGAGTGGGCTGGAAGGACGGCCTTGCCGGGGTCCAGGGCTCCTGGCCACGCGGCCTTTTCAGTTTGCTGTCTCGGCTCTGCAGAGGCCACAGCTTATCTGTGACAGACAGACCCACCTCCCTGCCTTGGAGACTGCTCCCCAGGGCTTTCTTGCACCCCCATGCCATTTGACTGACCCTGTCAGGAGGGTCTCTGACTCACCACCGGTGTACAAGGTGTGAGCGAGCAGGTGCTCAGACAGTCACAGGTACGGGCTCTGCAGGTGAGCACTGACCAGGTGGCTCGGGGCTCTGGAGACTCTGAATGGAGAGAACCCCAACTTCTCTCCCTTTGAATTGTGTGAACGTGAGCTGAACTCGCTGACCACAGCAGAGAGAAAATTTGTCAAAAATGCCCACCTGTGAGACCCAGGTCTTGCCTCGGGCTTTGGAGAGGCCGGTTTGTGGTTTAAGGACAAGCCGGGGGCAGGGTTCCCCAGGAGTGACCAGTCACTGGAGGCTCGGGCGGCGCAAAAGTCAGAAAGGGCAGAGGACAATCTGGGGGTGACTCCTGGCCCGCCTGACTCGTGAGGGCCTTGGTTTCTCCTGTGCTTGTTGAGGTCTGTGTGGGGGATGGTAGGGAAGCCCCTCGGAAGCGGAGGACCCGGGGCTGGCAGAAGTAATGACAGAGGGAATAGATTGCACCTCACCAGCCTGCCCGCACCCGGCTTCCTTGCCTCCACCCACACTGCAAGATGGGGCCCACGGGAAGGCATTTGCGCATACAACCCCTCAGCACCGCAAACACTGCCACCCCGGTCCTGGGAGCCAGGGCTGCCCTGGCCTGGGGGTACAGATGGGCAGGGGCACACCTGAGACCCATCAAGCAAGACTTGCCAAAGAAGGAGGCTCAGGAGCGAGGTGGGGCAAAAGCTGGCACAGGAGGCCCAGGCCCGCAAGCACCTAAGGAGGCCCCTGGGGTAGGAAGGGCCGGAGGTGGGAGTGCGTATGGCACCCAGCCTAGGACGGGAGGAGCCACAGCCGGCTGTGCAGCAGGGAGGGGCCCTCCGGGGCCTGAGGTGGGAACCAGGAGAGGCCAGCACTTCTAGACAGCAGCTCAGTCGCTCGCTCCACCTCTCAGAGTTCCGTTTCCAATATTCTCCCCCCATTGTCTGGAATCCAAATATTCCCACTTTTAAAAGCAGCTTCCAGATAGTGGTGTGCAGGAGGCCGAGCAACACCGTCTTTGAGGAGGCAGCCGAGATGAAGATAAGACCAGAGAAATCCATCACGCCGGCTTTTAGAGCCACGCACCCTCTCTGGACCCTGCCGGGATTAAAATGCACAGTCCTCTGTTGTGGGGGCCCATGAGGCCGGCGCTCCTCAGCCACAGAAATGGAACTGTAACTCAGCCCAGAAGCAGGGAGATCGCCTCCCAGATAAACACCCAGCAGCTCTAGAGTGCTGGCGGCCCTGGGCATCCTCCCCACTCCCAGCCCCAGGGCAGCCTGGGGAGCAGGGGTTCTGGAGGACCCCGGCCCCCTACACGGGCCCCCCACTCCCTAACGCTTGCTTGGGTCCAGTGGGGGCGGGAGGCTAGACAATGAACTGAGGTGCCCCCTGAGGGGCACCTGCTGCAGCTCGGGGACCCCAGGGACAGGGCCAAATGGCCATGACATGTCTCAAAGGCCTTTGCCAAGCCTGGCATCCTCGTCCATAAAAGGACAGGGCACGCAGCCGGGCACGGTGGCTCACAGCTGTAATCCCAGCACTTTAGGAGGTCAAGACGGGCGGATCACCTGAGGTTGGGAGTTCAAGACCAGCCTGGCCAACATGGAGAAACCCCATCTCTACTAAAAAATACAAAATTAGCCGGGCGTGGTGGCGCATGCCTGTAATCCCAGCTACTCGGGAGGCTGAGGCAGGAGAATTGCTTGAACCCGGGAGGCGGAGGTTGCACTGAGCCGAGATCGTGCCATTGCACTCCAGCCTGGGCAACAAGAGCAAAACTCCGTCTCAAAAAAAAAAAAAAAAAAAAAAAGATGGAGTTTGCCAGGGGCAGGGCTGTTCCACCTTCACCACACCAAGGTGAGGACAGAACCCAGGCTGCGGCCAGGGCAGGAAGAACTGAGGTCGTTTGGGCCTTGTCTGGCCACCCTAAGGAGTCAGCCCCTCTGCCCAGGAGCTCAGCGATGCTGCCTGTGGCCACAGGGTCGCCTGCTCTACCTTCAGCCTCAGTTTCTCCCTTGTAAAGGGGACATACAGCTCCTTGGGAGCCATGAGCTTGGGCCACTACTTGTGAAGCGCAGAGGGAGCTGGAGCACAGAGGCCTCAGTCAGGCACGTGCTGCTGCCGTGGTCCACGTGGGAGGTCACGTGCATCCCCGCAGTGGTGCTGGGTGGGCCCTGCACCTTCAGGGCCTCCCTGGTGCACCCCGGGGTCTGTGAGGCCAGCTCGCTGCCTTTCCAGCTCATCCACCCCATTTCTCTGCTCCAGCCCTTCCCCAGGGCTCCTGCACTCAGCCCCTCCAACCCCAGCTTGGCGAGCTGCCCCTTCTGTCCTGCTCCCACTGCCACCCCCAGCACCAGCCCCTCCCAGCGCCCCTGAGCCCTATGGGACTCCTGCCCTGCCCCTAGCCACACCTCAGCCGCAGGCCCTGCCTGGACATCACTCACGGTTGGTTCTGGGGCCACGGCGCACTGGACACAGGGTTCAAGTGTGCTACATGAATAGTGACAGGATCTGTGCAGCAAAGGGGGGTCCCTGCGTCCCCAGAAAGCCCCTCCTGCCCTCAGCCTCCCCAATACCTTCAGCAGGAAGGTGTGTGCAGGGTCTCTGGAGGCTGCCACCCTCCCATCCACAGCAGCGGTCCTGCCTCGGGGCGGCCAGAGCCAGCACGGGGAAGCTGACGCGTCACAGGGCGGCTTCCAAACAGGATCATAGCGAGAACGCCGCATAAAAGCTCTAAATAAACCCCAAAAAGGAAAATGGGACTGTTTTACCACTGAATCAATTCACCTCTAATTTTAATGCTCTGAAAAGTATTTTCTCTTAATGACTCCATTATTTTATCATATGGTGAGCAATAAACTCCCTCCCCACATTTGCCAGACAGCCTCAGCCTCTCCGGTGTCTGCCAGGCAGGGAATCCTTTATAGGCGGCTCTGCACACACACAGCACTTGGCTTTCGTTTAGTGGTGATTTTATAGAAGATTCCCCCATTTCGTGTAATATAAAGCCTAGAACTTAATTAGCCTCCGTCAGCTCCTCGGGCTGCTATGGAGTGGGTGTGTTCATGCACCCGCAGACCACACACCATGACAAAGTCGCCGACCGTCTCAAGGCAGCATCCCTGTGGCTGGCATGGGCAGCATGCCCCAAACATGAAGCACTCAGGACCCCAGAGGGCTCCTGGCCTCCCACCTGGCAAGTGGGTGCAGGTTATTAATCCCCAGCTCCCTGATGGCTCTCCCACCGGGACACACACATCCCTCACAAGCAAACGTGATTCCCAGCAGGGAGCTGGCGGTCTCGGGAATGACCTCCATGTGGGCTCCTGGGGAAGCCCAGGCGACTGTGCAAACCCTGCTGGCGAGGGTGCCGCCCTCCACGGTTTTCCAGGCCCCAGGGTGGGCACATGTGCCGGCTCACGGTGGGTCTGCTCCAACTCCAGTGGGAAGAAGAGATGCCGAGGATGCAGCAGCACCATACGTGGGAATGGGGACAGCTGCGGGGGGCTGGGAGCACAAGTGAGGGACAGAGCCAGGGCAGGTGAGGCCAGACGACGGACATGGTGAGCAGGGTCGGACACAGTTCCTCCTACAAGAGCCTGCTTGTGCCCTTTGATCTCCAACATCTCTCCTGGGTGCTCCACATCGAGGCGCCCCCACGGCACATCTGACCCCTCCTCCAGTAAACCTAAATTAGTTCCTTATTGTGCAACCTGGACAACTGTACATGGCCAACATTCAGGGGTCCCAACAAACTGCCTTGTAAATTGGAGGCCAGAGCCTGGCTTCCCTGTGTGGTGCCAGGCAAGGCACTGCAGCTTACACATGACACACACACGGCACACATGCAGCACACACGCAGCACACACGCAGCACACACATGCCCCTGCTGCTCCCGCCTGACGCCGGCCACTTACTCACACGCCTTCTCCCCCAGACAGAAGAGCAAAGGAGGTGGGAGGGTAAGGGGGAGACTTGAGTAACCTCACAGTACCCTAGATGCTAGGAGAACAGGTACCCGTGGGCCAGGCGCGTGTGCACACCTGCCTGGGCATGACACAGCTATGGGGTGTGTACGCAGGGCTCACATGTGGGGCCCAGAAACCTCCCTGCGTACTCAGATACCTCGTTCAATATCTGTAGCATGAGGGGCACTCCTGCAGGGGTCTGGAGCAATTCTTGGCCTAAGTGGCTATTTGCAGACTCCCCTCTCCCCACAGGCCCGGAGGAGTCGCAGAGTGGCTTTGTAACAGTGCGTTCTCCCTGCGTTTACCCCAGTGGGTTCTACAGGCTGGGCCTTGTCAAAGTGACGGGCAGGCGCTGGGCACTGGTGACAAAGGCAGTGGCAGCACTTGGCCACACTCAGCCTCTGGGGGCCCCGGACGTGCATACATCGCGGTCCTCCCCTTATGAGCGAGGAGACACCATGGCTGCTTGCACCTCGCGTGCCGGGGAACTGGGAGAGTGGGGCTCACGTGTGCATCTGCCCACCTCTGCTGAAGCCTGGGGCCACACAAAGCCTCTTGGGGTCAGAGCTTGCTGGGGCCCCGTGGGGGACGTGAGACAGAGAGAGAAGGTGTGTGTGTGCACACGTGTGAGACTCGGTGTGCCTGGTTGTGCACGTGACTGCGTGCATATGAAACACAGACAGGCGTCGGTCCAGCGGAATTTCTGTGGCACACTTGAGCTGCGTGTAGCCCCCTGCTTCTGACTGTACAAAGACCTCACGCTCTCATCCGAGACCGGAAAGCTGTGGACGGGGTTGGTGGCTCCTCTCGGAGCTAAGCTCCACCTCCCACTCCTCAGTCTGACCCTGGCCTCCCTCCCCAGCCCTCCCCAGCCCTCCCTCTCTCGGTTTTTTTTTTTTTTTCCTTATCCCCACACTCCTCTCCTGCAGCCCTGGCTTCAGGCCCCTCCCCAGCAGAGGCTGCAGCAGCCCCGGTGCAGTGGTGGGATGGGCCTGGCCGGACTTTCCAGTGCCCACTGTCCTATGCCCCCTGCCTGGCACCCCAGCCTGGCCCCTCGTGCCCACCCAGTGCTGGGTAGAGAGGCCCCGTCGTGAGCCCATCACTGCTGCCGCCAGAGGCTACTCAGGCCCAGCTCCTCAGAGGGTTTTTCTCGGGCCCTCTTTTAGTGACCTTCTCTGAACTTCTTGTGGCTGGCTTCATCGTGGGATTGCAGAAAGACCCGAGAGCCCCAGGGAAGGTGGCATTAAATCGCAAGCAATGGCACTTCTGGCACATCCAATCGATTTTGTCGTTCGTAAGAAATGGAAACAGGATGTGGCAAGGAAAAGGCAGTTTCAGGAACAAGGCTTCTCCCCTCGGGCTCTGGAAAGGGCAGGGAAAGGCTCTGTTGGCCCATGCAGCGGCCCCTGGAGTCCAGGCCCAAGATCCCAACCCCCGGCCACAGGACACGGTCAGCAGGTCCCTGCCTGGCTGCCCCACCTCTGGGAGCCCTCCTGCCACCCCGGCTGGCCTCCTGCGGGCTCTGAGCAAGGTCAGGCCCTGGGAACGAGGGAGGGGCCGCTCCTGAGTCCCCGAAGCCCTGGGCTGAGTGGGCCCCACCAAGCCTCCTTGGCCCTGCCCAGCTTCCTCCACTCAGAGCTGCTGGTGCATGTGCCCCAGAACGGGGCAAGGGGGAGGCAGGCACTGCCCCGCAGAGGAGTCTCACCCATCCCTTCCCTCTGTGTCCCAAGACAGGGCCTTGGCTGCTGCCCAGGGTGTCTTGCAGCAGCCCCTCCCCCAGCCAGCCTGTCCCTCAATGCTCTCCAGCAGGCACAGGACCAGAGAGCCACAAGCTGTGTGCCCACCCTGCACACCCACCCACAGCCCTCCCCCCATACCTCCTGGTCCTCGAGCCTATGCTTCCCACAGGCTCCTACCTGGTCATCCAGGCCAGCTGCCATGGCCCAGGAGCCTGCATCCATCCTTCCCTCAGCCACAGTGACACCCAAGGCGGTGCTCACAGCTCATCCCTGCCCTCAGGGCCACCCGAGGGGTCACCAGTGCCACAGCCAGTCATGTTATGTTGCACTGACTTCCCCAGCCAAATGCCTGGGGACCGGGGCTAGAGTTTTTCCTCCATTGTCCATTAATCATGGCTACCATTGTTGCATGGGTTCCTGGAGGTCTGGACCACCTGCCATGTGACGTACTAAGCATGACGTCACGAATGTAGCTGATCAGCATCATTTTCCGCAGACCAGGAGTGTCCCAGAGCACTGGATTGCAAGAGTAGCAAGAAAGTGCCAGTGGCTGGAGCACTGCTGTCTCTCACAGGCAGCTGGGTGGGCCCCTCTCTACTGAGGTGGTTGAGAAGGACACACTTGCTAGACACACCGCACACACCCAGGGCCAGAGGATGTGGTGACTCGGTTCAGTCGAGGTATCGCATCCGGCGGCGCATTTTCCATGTGGGCTGACTCTGCGTTGGGTTGGGTTCATCCATCACCATCGGCCATGATGCTGCTGGTTTTTGTGGACCATATGGGTGAACAGAGTGGGAACAGTGGGGACAGTGGGACTGACCATCCCTGTATCTTTTGAGTCTTTGGGGATGGTCCTAATTTCTGCAGATGCTCAGGATGTGTGGAATGACTCTCTTGGCCAGGGTCTTAGAAGCTTCCACTTGTTCGTTTGGGTTTTTTTCCTGCCAAAATGGCTCATAATCATTAGGTCAAGGAACCAATGGGCAGGCTCTGCCAACTGCAGAGTACAGGCAGCCCCTTCCCTTAGGCACGAGAGGCTGAGGGTCCCAGGGTCACTGCAGGGCGGGCTTGCCTCCAGGTCTCCGGGAGCCCTTACTCTACCCACAGCGGGGTTCTGGGTCCCCTGATATCACTGCCAGCTCAGAGCCCGTACCCACAGCTCTCAAAAGATCAGGAGAGTCTCCTGCCCAGCACATAGTTTCTGTGGGCCCTGGACACTGACTTCTGCCCTTTCAGGCCAGCTGCTCCTGACACGGTGGAAAGATCAGGAGAAGCTGCCCTCCCCAGTGGGCCGGAGGGCTCCAGGCGGCAACAGGGAGGGCAGCACCAGTGACGGGCACACCTGGGCTGAGGGAACTTTGGGCACCCAGGCTCTGGGCCACTCAGCCACTGCCAGGTGGGCACCCGCGTGAACCAGAACTGTGTGCCTGCCCGGCCAGCCCAACCTTGCCGCTTTCACAAGGAGGCACACAGTAGCCCCTCAGAACCTGCCACGGCCCTGCAAGGAGAGGATTCCCCTGGGGCAGGAGGTAGTAGCTCTCGGCCAGGCACTGACTGCCCAAGGTGGCAGGCCCAGGACAGGGTGTGGGTGGGGCCCTCCCTCCCCCGGTTCTGGTGCCAAGCTCTTCCCAGTGTCCTGTGCCTGTGCCCCATGTCCCAGCAGCTGTGTGCAGGGGAGTCATGACCAAGGGCGGCACCCAGTCCCCTGGATCTGAGCCCACTCCGTAAGCTGCCGCCTCACAGCCCGGCAAGGAGCTTCCCCCTACAGAGCCCCTGTCCTTATCTGCCAATGAGGCCAGGCCTGGGGCTCAGGAGGCGGTGGGGAGGGAAGAGGAGCTAAGCCCTGTGAGGAGCTAAGCCGTTGCACACAAGTATGCATTCTGCCCATCTAGCGCTTGGAGAGCATGGTTAATGGAAAGACCCAACTCCGTAGAACACGGAGCTTTCTTCTGAGCCAATATGAGTGACCGCGGCCCAGGAAAAAGTGCACACACCCAGGGAGCCCTGAGTGGGGGGTCCTGAGGCAGCCAGACACCAGCTCTGCTTCCCACCCACCTTAGTGTGACGGAATTGCAGGCAGTCATAGTTCAAGGAGCTTCTACATCGGTTCAGCCCAGAAAGGCAGGGTGTCTTGAAGCAGGGGGCTGACAGGTCGTCAGCGGGGCCAGAGATTATTTCATTTGCAATTAGTTAAAGAAGTAAAGCTTTGTCTATAAATGTGCAGTCATCAGAAAGGAATGTTTTCGGTGAAGATTAAGAAGTCTTTTAACCGATACACCAGGTCACAGTGGCGTGTGGGGTGCATGACTTGACCCTGGGCTGGCGGCCTTCGGTCCTGTTTATAATTCGAGTCTTAGGGTCACAGTCCTCTGATCACTAGGTTAACGTCACTACTGGTCAGCCCTGCCTGAACTCCCGCAGGGAAGGGGGAGAGCGAGGCACGTCTGCCCTCCTGTCCCATCATGACTGGGAACTCAGTTGTTCCGGTTTCTCTGGAGTCCCTTTGGCCAAGAGGAGCCTGTTCAGTCGGTTGGGGCCTTAGGGTTTTATTTTTATTTTACAGCACGTAGCACTTTTGCACACGGACAGCGTGGCCCTCACAGTTCGGCGCACATGTCCACAGATGTGTGGCTTGCCTGCGCCACAGAGAATGCACGCTTCTGGTGTGAGAATGAGGCTGTGTGTGACGTGTGAATGCTCGGCCCCGGCCGGCCGCAGCCAGGTCCCTGCGGTGGGTCCTCAGGCCCGGAGACCAGGGATGGCGCCCACAGTGGGAACCTGGGCTGACCGGCTGCCCCCGGGGCCCACGCCTGCAGTCGCCCCACTGAAGCCCAGACAGACCCCCACACGGCCTCGCCTCAGAGCCCAGAACCTTCAGCAGGTCAGGCGGGGTGGTGGAAGGATCTCCCGGCCCCTCCAGCCAGCCCCTAAGATGCTGCTGGAAAAACAGCTGTGGCAGGCAGCTCGGGGGGCCCCGGCTCGGTTATGGCTTATGTACAGCCCCGACAGCCAACTGGCTTTCAGGGAGGGACCAACTTCATAGATAAAATTTGTCATCGTATCGATGGCTCCTGTAGAGAAAAAAGGACTTTTACAGCCTCTTGGAGGTCATGAATAATAGAGGAGGAGGAAAGGGGCCGCTTTGGTTAGTGTTCCGCGGGGCCCAGAGGCCCCCATTATCTCAGCTGATGGGAGCTGGGGGGGCCCCAGCAGCCTATGGTTCTCACTCGTGGAAACCAGTGTGGTCATCACCCAGGGCCCCCACCACACTCAGGGCTGGGGGCAGTGCCCATGCGTCCTGTATTCTTAATAAGGGCTCTGACTTGGCGACGGGGTGACCATACATGGCCCTGTCAAAGGGCCCTGCCTCAGTCTGAGAATGACAAGCTGCAGGCTCCATGGTAGGGGCCTGGACCTCCCACTCCGGGCCGTGACCTGGGGCAGGACTCTAGCTGTATCTGCAAGCCGGAAGAGCAGCATCTCTCCAGGCAGCCGTATGTCAGGGGCCAGTGAGCAGACACAGGGGCCAGAGCGTCACAGGTCACCCCCATATGCCCAGAGTCTGCTCCCCCGTCCTCCCACCTCCCTCCCCACCCGTGGTCTATGGGGCCCTGAAGAGTCCCCAAAGGCAAAAATCCTCCTTTGCTTGCCTCCAGTGATGGGGAACTCACTACCTTACTGTCGGCTGTTCCTCCCATGGACAGCTCTGCCTGGTGGGAAGTCCCCCCACCAGCCCCTGTGCAGAGCAGCCTGTGCCTGTGGAGCCCCAGCCCAGGTTCCGGCTCTCACCCAGAGCATGCGTCAGCCCCTCTAACCCCAAACCCACACTCCTCCCTCATTTCCCTCATTTCCTCTCCTCTTCTCCTGGACCCCACCCTCAGGCTTCACTCCCACCAACCCCCAGGGTGCCTGGGCCAAGCCCACCTGTGACCACCACGTGGCAAGTCCTGTGAGGACTTCACTCCTTGTCCCTCCTGACCTAGCACTGGCTCTGAGTGTGCCAGTGGCAAAGACCTGCTCATGCGGCCTCCACCGGCCCTGGACTCACCCACCACCGCCACCCCTGCCTGCCCTCTCCCGTAGTCCTCTCCAGGGCCTTCTCACCGTGGTCATGGTTTATGGGGCCTCTCATGACCCCATCAGCCACCGTCCCCACCCAGCTGGAGACCCTCAACCAAGCCCTCTCAGGGGGTTTCCTGTGGTCATGAAGCAGCTGACGACCCACTGCAGAGACGAGAGCTACAAAGATGCATTCCCACTGTAGCAGAGGGAGCTGGGATCAGGACAGCCTCAGCTGCATTTTCACTGCCCCAGAGGGAGCTGGGCTCAGGACGGCCTTAGCTGGGCGTTCCCACGACAGCAGAGGGAGCTGGGCTCAAGACAGCCTCAGCTGGGCGTTCCCCCTACGGCAGAGGGAGCTGGGATCAGGACAGCCTCAGCCCGGCGTTCCTCCTGCTACAGAGGGAGCTGGGCTCAGGACAGCCTCAGCTGGGTGTTCCCACTACAGCAGAGAGAGCTGGGCTCAGGACAGCCTCAGCTGGGTGTTTTCACTGCCACAGAGGGAGCTGGGCTCAGGACAGCCTCAGCTGGGCATTCCCACTGCAGCAGAGAGAGCTGGGCTCAGGACAGCCTCAGCTGGGCGTTTTCACTACCACAGAGGGAGCTGGGCTCAGGACAGCCTCAGCTGACAGGGGTGCAGCCCTGAGCCCCGGAGACGCCTGGAGAACCTTTGGACCCATTTCCACCACAAGCCCTGGTGCTGCAGTCGGCCAGCCTGCACGAATTTCCCCCCGGGCTGTATGCCAGACAGGGGAAGGGCCAGCCTCCAGGCCTCTGCGCAAGAGGGCCACGGCCAACTCCCACCCCCTGGGCCAACGCTGGCCTCTCTTGTGCCTGGGGTCCTTCTGCTTCAACCAGCTGTGGACCCCACCCCCATCTCCCCCACCCACCGGCCCTTTCTTCTCTGGCCCAGGTCAGCCTAGGGCCTCCACACCCTCCAGCCCCACCCCCGACCCTGCCTGGAGCCATGTATGAGGCCATGCTGAGGCCCAGGGCTCTCCGCACTCCAGCCAGACCATGGTCCAGGGAGAGCTGGGAGTCTAGGCCAGCACCACGTGGCCATGACCAGAGTAGCCACAATCTCCAGCCCCTGCAGCCTCCACTCCCACGTGCCGCCCTACTCCACCCCGGCCACCTTCCAGGACCACCCCAAGGAAACAGCCCAGCCCAGCCAGCTCGCTGGACTTTCCCAGCGCTCAGGAGTGCCCAGCCACTGGACATGCTCCGCCCTCCCGCTGAATGACAGCTGGCCTTAGTTGCTGTGTTCCCGGGGCACTGCTCAGGGTGGGTGCACCACAAAGATCTGGGGAGGGTGGGGCATCCGATCATTCCCAGCTCCCGGGGAGAGATGAGGGTGTGGCGGAGGTCACCTGGCTGAACAGTGACAGAGCTGGGCCCAAACCTGGGCACCACGTCATTGGCACCACTGCCCGTGGGCACATGTGCCCACCTGCCGGCTGCAGGCAGGCCTGACACAACTGGGCTCTTCCCTGGCACTGCCTGGCACAGGCACTGGGGACCCTCCGCGGACCCGGCAGCTCAGCACTCCCCTGGGCCAGCCTTATCTTGCCCTGCAGAGCCCAGGCTGGAGTGAGGCGCAATGGACGGAGGCGAGGAGGGTGCAGCCGAGCCCTATCAGATACGGCCGGAAATATGACCCCGCTGGGACCTGAGCCCTGAGCCGAGCCATCAGCTCACTAATAAATTACCCAGAGCGAATGTCCACAGGGTCAGCCCGCATCGCCTTTCCAGGGAGCACAGAGAGGGGGCGGCACCCAAGGTCTGTGGGCTGACCGTTCCCTCCCCTCTGTCAATGAGAAGGGTCAGGAAGGAGTTGTCCCGGAGCCCCCCGACCTCGGGCAGTGCAGCCTGACCTCTGAAATCTGGGAGGAGCAGCTCCAGCCCTGGGAAGCCAAGGATAAGCGCCCAGATTGGGCACAGGCGGGAGAGGGTCTTGTCTGGCTACAGGACCTCACTCTTCCCAGGAAGCCAGACTGCCAGCAGGACCACCCAGCCTTCCTCAGTGCTCTCCCTGGAACAAGCGTCAGCGAGCCAAGGCCCTCCTGCCAATCTGGCCCACCCCGTTTGTGTAGACACAGAGCGCACTGTGTGCCATATGGCCCTGTAAGAGAAAAGTTTGCTCCCCCATGCCCTGTACTGAAGACGGCAGTGAGGGGAGGGCCGGTCTGCTGAACCCCATCCCAGTGGCTGCGTTGCTCATGCTCTGACGGTGGGTTCCAGGACTCTGTGTCCATGCAGCCCCACGGCTGGCCCTGAGCAGTCACCCTCTGTGCACACTGTCCCCCAGCCTGGCACACCCTGGGCTCCCAGGGGTCCTGTAGCTTTACCCAAGGGAGATGCACCCCCATTCCTAATGGAGAAACACGGGTCTCTCCACACCTCCTCCAGCAGTCCCCTGAAACAGGTCAAAGCCCCACAAACCAGGCAGGGGTCTGCCCACATGTGGTGGTGCCCTGCGCCAGTGATGCCCTCACCAGCCTCTTTCAGACCTGCCTTTACATGCACCAGCAGACGGGGGGGCTGGCGAGGACGGGCCACCAAGCCTGAGCCAGGCTACCACCTCCGGGCTGTGTGACTCTGGACAGGGTGCCTCAACTCTCTGAGCTGCACTTTCACCTACAAATGAGGGGCAGACTCAGCAGCGCCAGGCAGGGCAGTTGGACGCCCACCCAGGACAGACCCTGAGAAAGGCTGATCCCTCACCCCTGCCATCGCTCACTGACCCATACATTGCCCCTTCCTGCCAGGGCAATATCGAGGGTCGGCCAGTGTGCCCCAAAACGGCAGCTTGGGACCCATTCTTTGCCTCTCCCTCTGGCAACCCCAGGTCAGGACTCACAGGGGCACAGGGGCCTGGGGCAGGGCGGGCACTCTCGCCACCACGGAGGCCCCATGCTGGGTCAGGGTCTTATTGGAGGCTGGACTCTGTGATCACCTCACCTCCCGCAGCCCCACAGTGCCCTCCCTCTCCCACTCTGCCCCGAATTCCAATCCATAGGTTTTTCCAAGAGCTGCACAGCTCTGGAATTGACCTGGGAGGGGGCACATTTGGGCCGGGAGGGGTAGGAACAGCAGCAAACTCTGGTCTTATCTGAAATCATGGTCTGTTGTCCACCGGGGGCCTGGGAAACAGCCACCCCCTTCTGCTCCGGGGCCAGCGGCCTGTCCTCGGGTTCACTGCTATTTCTGCCAAAGGGGAGAGGTAATTATAGCCTGGCCGCTGCCAGCTGGCCCAGCTTTGCGATCCAGCAGAGAGGGCTGGAGACGGGACGAAGGCCACAACAGACCCGGCCCTGCCAGCGGGCGGTGGCGCCTCCAGATCAGAGCCCTCGGGAAGGAGGCCTGGGCGGGCCTGGCCCGTTCACCTGTGTGCCCTGCAGTTCTGCCCGAGGCTCAACTCTCAAGGGCCTGGGAGGGGTGCTGCCGGCCAAGAGGGTCCAGGACCTCACTGGACTGTGCCCCACAGGGAGATCCCGAAGAGCCTGTTTCTGTCCCTCGGGGAGCCAGGAGGGAACCAGGTGAGTTCCAGCCCCAGGGAGAGGGGGCTCACTTCCTGCTTGGGTATGAAGATGCCAGAGCGGAGAGATTGCCAAAGGCAGGTGCAGGTGGGGAACCTGCCCCAGCTGGGCAGCAGGTGTGGGCAGAGACTGGGCAGAGCGGAGAGATTGCCAAAGGCAGGTGCAGGTGGGGAACCTGCCCCAGCTGGGCAGCAGGTGTGGGCAGAGACTGGGCAGAGCACACACTGATGATCCTGAGTGACCTGAACAAGCTCCAGAGTGGCCACCCTTCCCCCTTCTCCTGGGACTGATGGTTTCCCTAAAACGGAGACAGTCCCAGGCCGGCCCTGTGTCCACACTGAGGCCAGGCCGCCTCTGGGGGAAGCAGGGAACACGGCCACTTCAAACTTAGCAGCGGGGGTGCTCCTGGCCACACAGGAGCTTCCAAAGGGCACCTGATGTTGCGCGAAACAGCCTGGGCAGTGGGAGAAGGGGCTGCACTCTCAGGGGAATGCAGGCAGCCGTGCCAGGCATGAACCCAGCCAGCCTTCCCTGAAGGGCCTTGGTGGGGGGCATCCTCCGAGGGCAAGTCTACGCAGGCCCAGCCTAGCAGGAATGGATTCGTTACTCCAGTAACTGAAGCCTAGTTCTCAGTGTTTGGGAATCCCTGAGAACTGGCTCTTTTCTGAGCCGTCAGTCAGAAGGAATCCCTGTCCTGCCCTGTGTGGCCATGGGACCCCCACCCAGCACTGGACGCCACGCCATTTCTTGGGCACTACTGAGCTTTGCAGTGCCCTGGACAGTTGGCAAACAGCCCCCATTCCACATATGGGAGGAAGGGCCTGGGGGGGTCCCCCGCCCTGTCTGTCTGGAGCTCTCGAGGCCTAGGGTGGCCCCTGCACCCAGCAGATGAGCAGCCATCACCCGGTACTGCTGCTACCTCGAGCCCTAACTGCACCTCGGGATGTGAGGGCCCATCTAGGCATGGAGAGGGGCCTCAGGGGGCCACCAGGCAGCTCCTGCTCCTGTTCCTACCTGGTAGGGCCTGCAGGCACCTGAGCAAGCCCAGTGGGCGGTCAGCCCAGCCAGGGGCCTCCCCACAAGTTCTCCCTCTTACTTAAGTCGAGAACGCATGTTGTCTGGGGAGCTGCCAGCGTGGTTCCAGTGGTGAGCGTTGGGCTGGGAGCCAAGGCTTTTCCCAGGAGCCCAGCCACCCCGCCTGGCTGTGTTCTGCCTCCGCCCTGCAGAGGAAAGGCCAGCGAGGCAGTGTCCATGGTCCCAGTCTTCTTCCACCGGAAGAAGGCACAACCTGCATCTGCAGCCCCAGGGCCATTGGGTTAGGCCTGTGGCCAAACTACTAAGGTGCTGGGAGACTGAGGAGGCCCAGCTCCTCCTGGGGCCACCAAGCCCGTGGTTGACGGCCTCCCCATGGACCGGGCTGTCCCGAGAGCAGCAAGTCAGCCGGGGCCCTCAGGGCCGCTGAGGCCACTGCTCAGTGTCGCCGTAATGGAAACTTCTCAGCTGGTTGTGAGCCGCAACAGCTCTGGTTCACACCCTGCGACAGCGAGGCTGTGACCGCCAGTGGATCTCGGGGCTGATCAGGCCTGAGCCACCCCGGAGGTACAGCACCAGCAGGAGCCCAGGTGGGCAGGGGCAGAGAGAGAGAGAGAGAGAGAGAGAGAGTATGTATGTGTGTGTGTGTAAGTGGTGGGGGTGGGGGCTGTGAGTCTCCAGCTTCTCCCAGGGAGGTCTCTGGCTTCCCAGGAGCCTGGCCCCCTGTCTCCAGCTCCCAAGTGAGTTGCCCTGGGGGAGGCTGCACCTGGAACAGGGAAACAGGGAGCCTGGCCCCAGCCTGCACTCGCTCAGGCCCCGGGACCCTCTGCCCCTGGAAGGCTGTGAGGCTGCCGTGTGAATGGGTGCAGTGCCAGGCGAGGGGTGAGCCGGGAGTGTGGGGCCGCACGCTCAGAGCCGAGGAAGGGCAGTGCCAGGCGAGGGGTGAGCCGGGAGTGTGGGGCCGCACGCTCAGAGCCGAGGAAGGACCTCCCATGTGGGGTGGGTGGGATGTCAGGATTTCTCACGAGCCAGCTGCTGCATGGGGGGCACTGCCCGCCCCGAGGAACCCTCAGGGAGGACAGAGAAACATCAGGAGGTGGGCTGTGGGCAAAAGGGCGGGCGGCACGGGCCAGGCAGAGGCAGCAGCCTGGGAGGAGGCGGGAAGCCAGCGGGCGGCGTCCTGGAGGACGGGGCAGGAGTGGGAGGGAGCAGCAGTGGCTGGGCCCCAGAGCTTGGCGTTATCCAAGCCACAGAACCAGGCAAGAACCACTGGCCCGCCCCCACGCCCCACTGCAGGCTGGTCTCGAGGGGGAGGGACTCGGCACTGCCACGGCCGCTGGGCTCCATCAGTGCCCTCACGTCTCTCAGCAGCTTCAAGATGAGGTGGGGTCTTTGGGGTACTGGGCTAGACCCCCAAAGACTGTTGGAGGGTCACACCCCAGACCAAGGTCCTGGGCCTCAGCCCTCATGGCCCCACCTCCCACCAGCAGTACGGGCTGGTCATGCCCACAACTGGGAGCTCCGGGCCCTGACTCCCGCCTCTGTCCCAACCCAGGCTCTGAAACCTGGCAGGCTGTTCTCCCTCTCTGGGCCTCAGTTTCCCCTCCGCCAGGGAGCTCGGTGCCCCCTCTCAGTAGAGGAGCTGGTAAGAACCCCCCAGCCCCCCAGCACCAAGGGAGGCGCCATGGGGTTCCTGTTCCCAGAGTGGGGGTAGAGTCCCCTCGGGTGGACGCGCCCTCCCCAGCAGCGGGCCTAGCGGGACACTTACAGGTCCAGGCTCTGAAGCTATTTTCCGCCCTTTATCTCCCATCTGTCACGAGGCCTCCAGTTACACACTGTCCCTGCCAGAGGCCCCAGGCCTCCCCGCCCCCACCTGCCGAGCATGCCAGAGCCACTCCTTCCCTGCTTCCACTGGGGAAAATGAGGCCCAGGGAGGTCACACCACTTACCCGAGGTCACAGAGCCAAAGAAGGACAGAGCCCAGGACTTGAGCCAGACCTCTCTTCCAGAAGGGGAAGCGTGAAGCCCAGTTAGGGAGGGGATGGCAGGGCTCAGGGAGGCTGTCTGGGAGCAGAGCATGGCCCACGTGAAGGTGCATCTCTGGAGAGGGGACCGCGGAGCTCAGGGAGGCTGCCTGGGAGCAGAGCGTGGCCCACGTGAAGGTGCATCTCTGGAGAGGGGACCTCAGGGCTCAGGGAGGCTGCCTGGGAGCAGAGCGTGGCCCAGGGGAAGGTGCATCTCTGGAGAGGGCCCCAGGGCTCCCGGAGGGGAGGTGTCATCCCATAGGATGTCCTGACTGTCCAGACACAGCCAGAGCCACCTGAGCTCTGTTCCTGGGCACATTCCCTCCCCGAGTGATGCCAACAGTGGCTGATGGCACAGAGCACAGGCTTGGTGCGGACTCGGGTCTGTGCACTGACTCCCACCCTCACGCGAGCCCGCAGAGGCTGCTGCTCTCCTCACCCCCATTTCACAGCTGAGCAGACCAACGCCCAGGCAGATTAGGAGACTTGCCTAAGGTCACACGTGGTCACACAAGGTGCTCTGGAGCCCACACCTGAAGAGGGGGAGGTGCTGTCCCGTAGGAAGTCCTGACTGTCCACATTCCGGCAGAACTCTGTGCCCCAGAAGGCGAAGTCGCGTCCTCCCCAAGTTATGCTGCTCAGCAACAGATGGTTAATGCCACAGCCAGGCACCCTCACAAACACACTGCCTACGCCTGCACATTCACATACACTCTACACAAACACACACACATTCACCCACACATACGCAGATACACTCACACACACACACGGGCACATGCATGGACACACACACACATGCATATTCACATGCACGCACAGAAATACAAGTACACATATGCACACATAGCCACACCTCCATGCACACATTCACACACACAGACACCCCACACGTGCACACTCATGCCCTCTGACACACGTGCCCACTCTCACACTTGCACACTCAGGGGAATACTCACACATGTGTGCACTCACACACGTGCACACACACACTGTTTTCCCACCATCCCTTGGACAGACCCCAGGCCAAGGAGGGGTGAATAGCGAGAGCTGCTGGCAGGAGCTGGGGGAGACTGCGTCCAGCCCTGCATCCCTGCGTGACTCCGTCGGCCCAAGCCTCTCCAGGCCTGTTTCCCCATGAGGAGTGAACCTGGCTGGGCCCCCTGGAATGCTGCTGCAGGGTCGCCTGGCAAGGGGCTGTGGCCCTGGGCACGCCAGCCAGCCCCAGGCCGTGCAGCCCCAGGAAATGACCCCGAATGCACAAGCCTCCTTCCGCCGGGCAGTGGGAGAGCCCGGGCTCTGGGTCCAAGAGGTCACTGGGGGGCTCTGCTCCACCCCCAACCCCACCCTGGGCTTTAGCAGAGTTTCTATCCCACCCAGGGTGGAAACTGAGTCAATGGCATCCAGAGAGCCCTTCCAGCCCCAGCCCTGCTACGGACAGGCAGTCAAGGTTGCCCTGCCAGGCAGCATCCCCAAAACACCAGGACAGGCCTGGCACTCTGTGGCTTCCCTAACCCTGGGGATCACGCAGAGCCCACATTCCAGGTGACCTGGCCCCAGGAGACGGGGCCCCAGCTCAGCTGGGCCTGCAAGCACAACCTCTCCCACAGCCACTCTCTGAGAGCAGGTCCTGAAGATAAGCCGCCCCTCCCCGCCACCCCCCTGGATGGCCGGCTCCTGCCACAACCCTATTTGCAATAAAAACCTGATCCGGCGATAGCAGAAAATTGCTCTCTTTTGAAATAATTGAACCCGTCCAGACAGTGTCCTCCCAGACATCATTAACAGGGCACTCTGCTTGTCTGCAGTATTTATGCCCACTTGGGGAGGTGGTCATGGCCACCCTGTTATCTCCTGTAGAGGACGGCACACGGCTGCTGGAGTCACTGCAGTATCCACCCAAACCACTCCTCCCACAGGCCTGCCCTGAACCTCTGAGGCACCCATCCCTTTGGGGGACCCTGGAGGAGTTATCCTTGAGGACCATGTAGGCCCCTCACTCTCACCCTCCCCCTTCTCAGCCCTTGGGGGCAGGGTCCTTGGAGGACCACGGGGAGCCAGGGAAGCATCTCAGGAAATGCAAACACCTGCCCTGTGAGGGGCAGGGGCGGCAGTACCCTCCAAGGACCCCAGGGCAGGGGAGAACCTGAAGGGCAGCAGGAGGTCCCCACACTGCCCCCTATCCAGCTGGGAGCAGGGCAGGGAGGACCTGGCCTGGCATCAGCTCCCAGGGAAGCCCCAGCCCCCTCTGGCCTCAGTTTCCCGACCTGAAGCAAGAGAGGCAGGCTCATCACCCCCAGAGCCCTTGAAAGGCAGACACCTGCACCTGCACAGATGCCTGGTAGGCACTGCACCCCTCTGTAGGGAGGAGTGCCCAAAAGTCAAGAACCCTGCCAAGGCTGTGAGAGAAAATTCACACTTGGGGGGCTCCACCGGTGAGCACGAATGAGGAGAGCACAGCCTCTGCCGCCAAAGACACGGGGGTGGAGGCGAGGAGGCGCCATTCACAGCCAGGAAGCAACCAGCGCAACAGAGGAGGGGACAGAGAGACAGAGATAGAGGTAGAGAGATAGAGAGAGAATCAGAGAGAGGAAGGGGGACAGAGACAGAAACAGGGAGATAGAGACAGAATTAGAGAGAGGCAGGGAGACAGAGATGGAGACAGAGAGAGAGACATAGAAAGATAGAGACAGAATCAGAGAGAGGCAGGGGGACAGAGAGATGGAGACAGAGAGATAGAGACACAGAATCGGCGGGGGCGCGGTGCAGAGAGAGACACAGAGAGAGAGTGTGAGCCGTGCTGAGGGGTGGGCCCCCAGGAGCCCAGGGGCGCCCCACCAGCACCAGCCCAAAAAGGTGGGCATGACCCTCTGGGAAGCCTTTCTGTGGACCCGGTCTCAGAGCCCTGACAATTCCCAGTCCCCAGCCCCAGGGCTTCCCGCTACCGAAAGGAGACAAAGCAAAGATGTTTCTTGCAGCCTTATCCATGACCTCCAAACATTGCAAATGACAATACTAAAATGCAACCCTCATGAATACCCAATCATCGAGGGTGACTTTCAGTGACGGGACCTCGGCCCAGTGGAATATTATGCAGCCATTAAAGATGATAATTATGAAGACCGTGGCAGCAAAGGAAATTGCTTGCGATGGCATTTCTGAACGAGCAGGGAACAGGATTTACCTGCACTGGGGACACCACAGAGGAAAAGTGGTGTCTGCTCAACAGCGTGGCCGGTCGCAAGCCCGGGAAGCCAGCCTGGCTTCCAGGAAAGAATTTTCTCCTCCTCTTATTTTCATTCCTCTGAGTGCCACTTGTGCAGTAAATAATAAATAACGTCTCTGCTTATCTTAGGACCATGTTCCAGTAAATGAGGACTGCAGCAGGAGCCGTGAGCCCTGACTCCCGGCCAGAGACACGACGTCAGACCAGAAAGAATGAGGAGGCCGCGTGGGGCCCGCGGGTGTGCAGGGCAGAGAGGGTAAGGCGGGCCGCTGGGACACAGCTTCTGCAAGCTGGCCTTCCACTGGGGGCTGGAGGGGGCAGGGAGCAACAGACGTGGAAAGGCCATCCTCCACCCCAGGAATCAGGGGGTGATAGGAGGAGGGCAGGGGGATCACTGAGGGCTGGGGGGAGCAGCGGGGGGCAATGGGTGCCTTGAAGGATTTGGTCTGGCAGAGGAGATTGGAGGCCCCCAGGTGGGGCACAGCTTGGCAGAGGAAGTGGGAGCCATGGAGGGCTGTGGAAGAGGCAGCTCAGGGAGGAGGGTGTTGGAGGAGGGAAGAGGGTGGAGAGAGGACAGGTCAAGACTGTCACCAAGGGTCAGTGTTAGGGTTAGGGGCCCAGACCTCAGACCCTGAGGCTCCATCCAGCCTCTGAGGCACTGCCAGGCTGGGGCATGCCACAGGCACAGCAGGAGCTGGGCCAGACTCAGCATGGGCAGGCCTCACGCCCTCGCGGGGCAGCCTCGCCAGATGCCGAGCAGCAGGCTGTGTACAGCGAGCAATGCCCCAGCCAGGAACAACCTCAGAGCTGGCCCGGCTCCCAGGGTGCCTCAGCCCCAGTTGTCACCATGTCACAGACAAGGATGCTGAGGTTCACAGCAGCCCGAAACTCCCACTCCATCTTCCAGACTCAGGCTGGGCCCATACACGTGAGCAGACCAGCAGAGAAAGGGCCCAGGTAGGCAAATGTGTAGGAGCTGCCCCCGCCTGCAGCCTGGGAGGCTCGGCCCCAGGGAAAAGGAGGCCGAGGCCACCAACCAGCCCTCCTCACGGCCCTGGCCCGGCCCCTGCCCCATAGAGCTTGCAAACTCTGGCCCCTTAGCCAGAGCCCCTCTGCCATTGCAGCCCCCTCCCCCTGTCCACATGTCCTGGGGACCCTGTCCAGCAGCCTGCATCCGAGACAGCGGGCAGACGAAGAGAGGTTCAGTGGGGACTTGCGTGAAGAGACGGGGTCAGGAGGGGCTCCTGTCTTGCCTGGGCCCCTGAGGCTGAGTCTGGCTGCCCTGCAGTCCCTGTCCAGGAGCTGCCCCTCACCCTACAGGAAGTGACAGGCCCAGCATAGCGCACCAGCCAGGACAGGGTACAGGTTCCAGGACGGTGCTGCTGGGCCCCACATGGCTCAGACCTGGGTACCAGCGGCCTCCCGCCGGGGACTCACCAGTCTGCTTCCCGCCCCCACACCAGGAGGACAACAGGAAGTGCCCCCCCTCCATCCTGAAACGGAGCCGGCCGGAGCACCACCGCCCAGAGGCCAAGCCCCAGAGGACCTCGAGGCGCGTGTGGTTCCGAGAACCCCCAGCGGTGACCGTCCACTGTAAGAGGGCACCCGCAGCAAGCAGCTGGGAGAGGGTGGAGTCAAGCAGAGGGAGGCGGGGACACCGGCCACACCCACACAGCTCTGGCAGGGCCCAGGACATGGGGGGGCCGTGGCCACCTGCCTTCAGTGCCACAACCCCTGTAAGACCTGGGCCCCTGGGGTCATCTGGACACACAGTCCCGGTCCATGAAACAGCAACTGGAGGAGAACATGAGGGCGGATTCTCAAATCATGACTGTCCCTTTGAGGAAGTGTCAGGACCGGCTGGGCCTGGGTCTCTCACTGATGAATAGTCTCAGGGTCCTTCGGGGGTGCAGGGTGAGACGAGAGGGCGGGGGCGCCCGATGGACTGAGGCAGGTGCCCCCAGCTGACTCTCCATTCTCTTTCGCAGACATTGCTGACAAGAACGCCACAGCCACTGTCAGGGGTGAGTTCTGAGCCCACATCCCTGTGCCCCACTGCCCCCTCCGTGGGTGCACCCACCCTCACTCCCTCCCCGAGGGAGGTGTCACAGGGCCAGGGCCTCTAAGGAGTCCCCAGTTGGGGAGCTCTTGTTGCAAGGAGACCCCAAGAGGCTAGGGAGGGGCCATGGGCATGGACAGGGTGGAATCTCCCCATCCCTTCCCCACCAGCCCCAGTCCTCCAGGGAAGGGTCGCGCTGGCTGGCGCTGACCCTGCCTGCCCTCTGGCCGCAGTGCCCGGCCGGCCCAGGCCACACGGCGGCTCCCTGCTCCTGCAGCTGTGTGTGTGCGTCCTGCTCGTGCTGGCCCTGGGCCTATACTGCGGCCGGGCCAAGCCCGTGGCAACGGCACTGGAGGACCTGCGGGCCCGGCTCCTCGGCCTTGTCCTGCACCTGCGGCACGTGGCCCTCACCTGCTGGCGCGGCCTCCTGCGGCTCTGACGGGCAGGACGGGCAGGACGGGCAGGGCTTCCAGGAGAGCTCAAGCACTCCGGGGGCTCCGAGACAGCCTGAGCCCTGGCCCTGCTGCTTGGTGAATCATGGGGGCCAAAAGGGGCTGCTGCCTGAGGGCTAACTAGGAAAAGGGGGACCCCGTGGCGTGAGATCGGACATGGGGGGCACAGCAGGCGGCCCCGCCACACTAGTCAGCACAGCCCTCCTGTCTCCTGTGTTGGGTCCATGTGAGATTTTATTAGAAAGAGGATTCGACTGCTAACAGTTGAGGCTCCCCAGGCTCACCCAAAGACCCCTCCCTCGTCCCAGCAGGAACTCCTGCTGCTGCTAGGGCCTGGCCCGGCCATCACCGTGTGCACCCTCTTGAGGAGGGGGACACACTGCCCGTGTTCAAGGGGCTGCTCGGAGGAGGCAAACCCAGCCTTTTGCGATTATGGCTTGTGGGGAATCCAGACCTCGAAACCCCACGGGGAGGGAAGGGTCTGGTTGTCAAGGTGGGTCCCTTTGATGTGAGGTGCCATCCTCTGAGCCCAGGTCTGACCCCCCTACCCAGCCCCGTGAGTCTGGAGAGGCCCCAGGGAAGGACCCCTCATCAGGGGCGGCTTCAGGTGTAGAAGCCGAGGGGACAGCAAGGGGCCCAGACACCCCCGACCTTCAGAACAGCCATCTGTGCCCAGCTCTGCAGGCCAGGCACACCCAGCTGAGCCCGGGGCCAGCCAGCACCACCCACCAGCTGGGGCCTGTGGGTCCCGGAGACCGTCTGTGGTTGTGGCTTTGTCGCCGGATTGCAGAGCTGAAGGGAGCCCTGTGGATGACAAACACCAGGGGCCTCTCCAGACCCTACGTGGGGGGAGGGCTGAACAAAGCAGGGAGGCCCACGGTTAGACACCAGGCAGAACTGCCCAGGAGAGACACAGGGACAATCAGACCAGCGTCCTCGAGGTTAGCCTGAGGCGGGTGGGCACGGCCGACCATCCACCCGGTGGTTCCTGTTTGTCCCACCACTTAACTGGGAGACACTGTTTTATTAAAACACACCGTGGCTTCCTTCAGTCTTGGTGTTTTTATAGAAATGAGAGAAACCAGAACCGATTTGCTAAGGAATCGGCCTCAGTGGCCAAAGCGGATGTCCTGGGCGCCTGGAACCTCCCCATCTCCTGCAGGCCTGGGAGTGGATGTGTCCACTCGGGCAGGGGCTGACCAAGCCCCTGGGTCTTGAGGGATGCCCGGCCGGCTCCCTTTGCCCTGCAGTCAGGGTGTGTCCCTGCAACTCCAGGTGCCAGGGAACAGGTGAAGTGGTCTCCAGGGTCACTTCCAGCTTTGGAATCCAGGGAGCCCAGAGTTGCGGGTGGAGGTAACAAAAGGGGCTGTTTCCAGAAGTGGCCCAGAAGGGACCATGGTGGGGGCTCCCCCGGGGACCCTCCAGCATCTCTCCCCAGGCCCAGCCCATCCCACCCCACCCCAGGAAGGAGGATGGGCAGGTTCCTGCCCCATATTCTGGATGCAGAAGCAGCGGCTCCCAGAGGTTGGGTCTCTCAGAGCAGTCACAGGCCCAGGCTCAGCCCTGTGTGCTTGGGACACCCCTCCAGCCCCGGTTCTGACGGGGGACACCGCACAGGCCGATCTCCCCCAGCCGCTGCTGTCTGTCCACTGCAAAGGCAACGCAAGGACGTGCCTGGCTTTGCGGGGTCCCACGCTACGACCTCAGGTGTTTTCGAATAAACATTGCTCAAAGAT
This sequence comes from Homo sapiens, assembly GCF_000001405.40. Taxonomy (NCBI): domain Eukaryota; kingdom Metazoa; phylum Chordata; class Mammalia; order Primates; family Hominidae; genus Homo; species Homo sapiens. Next base: position 104,590,533 of record NC_000014.9, read on the forward strand.
GGGCACCACACCCCCAAGAGATCCTTCGAAATGGATCCTCCCACCTGGGGAAGCTGCATGGGAAGCAGTGAGACTCGAAGCCACTAGAAAATGTACAGAGAGGAAGGCAGAACCTCGGGAAGGCCAACTTCTAATTCCTAAAAGCTTCGGACACGAAAGGCTCAAAGCCTGAGCAAACTGTGTGTGACCCACAAATTACAGACAGTTAGAACCACGAGCCAGGCCAGCCAACAGCGGAGAGGGCAGACAGAAGCCCCACACGCTCCTCCTCATCCCTGTTGGAGACTCGGGTGCTTTTGTTTTTATTTTGATTTTGAGGAATAGACACATGTAAGCTTAAGGATCTTTACTTTCAGTTTAGCCAGAGTGGAATTAGAACAGGGATATCATTAACAGCCAGCCAGGACAGAAGCGAAGGCGTCTCAGAAGCAACTTGGTGGACCAGCCTCAGGAACCCCGGGTCATGCCTGCACTTCCCACCTTCCTGCCTGGGGAGAGGCCCAATCCCCTGAGGGACCCTGGAGAGCCCACGACCAGGGCCGCCAGCCCCTGCCCAGCACACTGCAGGCCCAGCTGCCCCTTCCCAGGGCGATGTGTCTGGGCTCCGGAGACAGCCCAGTCCAGGGTGGGTCTATGTCTGCATGCAGCCGAGGATTTCCATCACCCTGGCCATGGGGCTGTTCCACACCTGCTCCTGGGATCCAGCAGTGCAGCCCCCAAGAACAGACCCAACCGGGGCCAAGCCTCAGGTTCCAGAAGCCACCCCTGCCTCCTGCCCCTCCTTCAGGGCCCTAGATGGCTGTGGCCTGGATCAGGGCTGGGCAGAGGGTGAGGCAGGAGCCACCCCACCTTCTGCTGGGGACACAGACAAGGAGCTCTCCGGACTGGAAAGAGTCCCCATGTCCAGTGGGTCAGGGCTGGAAGGGGAGACAGGGGACCCCATCAGCTTAGGGGGCCTCGGATTCTGTCCAAACCCCTTCCCTCGAGGACCTGGCTGCCAGCTGGAAACTCAGCTGGTCCCCAAGGCCAGAGCCCCCTTGAGCTTCCAGAGCCTCGATCCCCCTGGACTTGACACCCCCGATGGGCACCTGCCAGCCTCACTCCCGGGACCCAGGATGATGCCCCCACCAGGACCCTCCATGTGGACCCAGGCACGTGGCCTCCAGGAGGCTGGTGCCCAGCCACCCAGAGACACAAGCCAGCTGCTGATGGTGGACAGGGTGGGTCATGAACTCAGGGAGCCAGGGGCTCGCCTCTCCCCGGGAAGGTGGGCGCAGCAGCAGGGAGCACTTGGCAGCACTCGAGCCAAGAAACGGACAGCCCCTCATCGAGCCCCGGGTGGGGAGGCCCCCCGCCTCCGCCCCCGCCCCAGAACGAGTCCTCTGGAGGTGGACCCTGGGCTTTCCTGAGGGGCAGGGTCCACAGCCAAGCAGCCCCCTACGCCGGGGTCCCAGGTTCACATCCCAGCTCCTCCACTTGCTTCTGCGGGGCCTCAGCACACAGACTCTGCAGAATGGGAAGGCAGCTCCCTCCTCTCTCAGGTGGATGCTGGGCGTGGGAGCCCATGGGAGGGGCAGAGGGGCTGTCCACACAGCACCCACGGCTCCCATCACGCACACAATGCTCACACGCACAGGCGTGCACATGCTCACATGCAACACACGCACATTCACATGCACTTACGCACATGCTGCACACACTGCAGACACACCTGCCTAGACACTCACACCTACACACTCTTCCTCACACTCACATGCATGCACACTCATGTCACAGGGAGTCACACCCTCACACTCACATCCTCCCAGGCACACTCACAATCAAGCCTTCACACGCACAACAGTCACACCCTCACATGCAGTCACACCCACATGCACACTCATGCACAATCACATCCTCCCAGGCAGTCACTCGCACATGCAGTCACACATTCACTCACAGGCAGTCACACTCTCATGCACTCAGTCACACCCTCACATGCACACTCATGCACACTCATATCCTCCCATGCAGTCACACACTCTCACATGCAGTCACACCCTCTCGTGCACACTCAGTGACACCTTCACATGCAGTCACACCTGCACTGTCACACCCACACATGCACACTCAGTCACATCCTCTCATGCACTCATATACACAATCACACCCTCCCATGCACAAAGGCACTCACAATCACATCCTCCCATACTCACCCACACACAGACCCCTGCCATGGCTCCTGGCCCAGTCCTCTATGTGGTACGTGTGCCCCCGAAATCCCCAACCAGATGATGCCCCCGATTCTGTGGAGCCCAGATTACCACTTCCCTGACCCTCAGCCAAGCACAGACAGGACCCACACACAGTGAGGTGAACTCACAGGCCTCAGAAGCCTCCCTGAGCCCGGCCACAGGGTCTCCCAGGCCTATGGCACCCACCCAGGAGGGGGACTCAGCTGGGGAGGGGGCCAACCTGGGGCCAGAGGCTGGAAGGTGCCGTGAGCTCCTCCCCACACGCAGCCTCTGCCTGGATGGCAGAATTCATGCAGAATTCGTTCAGGGCTAAGTGACATCTGGCCACCCCTGGGCCAGCTGGCATGGAGACAGCATCCGGCCAGGGTTGGGGGAGACAAGCTGGACGCCCTCCACATAGGCTGGCCAGTCAGGTCCTACTGGGACAGCCAAGGGGCCCTGTGCGAGGCCTGGAGGTGCCCCCCGCCCCCGCCCCACACCCATAGTCTCTCTGCACCATCCTCATCAGGGAGCCGGCACCCACCCAGTCCACTGCCAGGCTCACAGGTGGGCACTGGGGCGCTCACCTCACTACACGTGGCGTCGAGGGGACACACGCAGGGCTGCATGTGGCCAGGGCCCAGGCAGAGCCCCCCAGCTGCTTCCCCAGGCAGGCCCGTGCCCCCGAGCGCAGCAGGGAGGTCGGGGCCAGCTCCCCCTGCCTGCACTGTGCCTAAATGACAGCGCTCTTCTCCTCTTGGAAGGAGGTGCGTGGGGACGGCCGGGCCAGCAGCAGCTCCTTCTCGTGGATCAGGCTGTCCAGCAGGTCCTCCTGACGGTAGTTGTGGTAGACCTTCAGGAAGGCCAGCGTGGTGATGGCCAGCCAGGCCAGCCATGAGGCCCAGAGGCCAAACTGCACAGAGGGCAGGGTCAGGGTCAGAAGCCGTTGGGGGTCCGCTGTCAGTGCAACCCCCTCCCACCAGCCCCCAGGCTCTGCTCTGCAGGGAAAGGACAGGACTCAGAGGAAGGAGGAGGCCGGGGACATGGGGCAGGGCCAGCTCCTGAAGACCCTGCCCAAGATCAAGCTTCTGAGTTCCTTCCTGCAGCCAGCATCGTTTTCCAGCACCTGTGGCCCTCCCGGAACCCACTCTGGTGCAAAAGCCCTGGGCACTCAGACCAACCCTCACTCCAGGCCGGCCAGAGGCCCCGAGGAGGGGCAGTGGCCAGTGGCGAGTGCTTTCTCCTCCAGCAGCTCCGGCCTGTCGGCTCTAAGGAGGGCGGGTAAACAGCGGAGGCTCCTCCAACCACCGGAATAAATTGACCTTTAGCCGCTGTTTCCAAACAGTTGAAGGAGAAACAATTTAATCAGAACCAGGCCTGAGCTACATTAAGCTGATTCTCATTTGAGCGTATTTGCCATCAGACTGCACTCACACCTTAATCCAACTGGCACAAATTAGGCCTGAGGCCTCTTCCACTCACTAAATTTGCATGAAGGTGTCTTTGACAGGTCCAGTTCATCTCGGCAAAGAGCATTCAGGCCCACCCATGTCCAGCACCCTTGGAGGGCTCCTGGCCAGGAGAAGCGTCCTCAGGCCAGCCACGGCCAGCAAGAGCCTTCAGAGGCCAGCCTGGGGTCCGGAATTGGACCTGAAGCCAGCGGGCCCTGATCAGTGCTGGCAGGAGCCAGGTGTCTGGTCTCAGCCACCCCCACCCGGCACCCCTCATCTGCCTCATCTCCGTCTGGGGCACATCTGCAGATTTCAAGGGGCAAACCCAATTCCAGGGTTCCCCCTCCGGCCCTCACGGGCCACTGATGTGTCCCCACATGCCTGCATTTCAGCAAATAGCGTCCCTCAGAGTGGGGGCCACCATCGCCCTCCACCAAGTCTCCTAGGGGGCGGGGGACGCAGCTTATACAAGGGCAGGGTGGCAAATCTGAATTCACAAGTGGGATCCCCTGCCTCCTTCCTTGGACTCTGTATCAGCTTCCCCCTGGCTAGGGGACTCCTCTAAGCCTCCAGCTCTGATCTGAACAGGCCCACCCAGCGCCAGCACCAAAGTCCAAAGCCCTTGTCCCTACACTGGACCCCCAGGATCTGATGCCTGGTTTCGTTTCTGGCACCACCTCCCCCCACACCCCCACACTTCCCACCCCAGACCCCAGGGCCTTGCCACTTCCTGATTCTAACTCACTGTGGCCATCTCCTCCCCAAACCCACCTACAAAAGCCCAGCTCTCCCCCACCTCCTGCAGGAAGCCTTCCCGACTGCTCCCACTGCCTGGTCCCATTGCTAACTACCTTATCCACACAGGAGCCTGCCTCCTCCTCTGGATGGGGGAGAGCTCAGCAAATGTCCAGCAGTAAATGGCCCCCTCCCAGCATTGCAAGCCTCCCTTCTTGCCCAGAGCCCCCTACCTGGGCAATTGCAAACTGATCGTAGAAGGCGGAGTTGTCCACGCCCAGCTCCAAGTCGATGTCCTGGAGCTCTTCACAGCTAAAACAGCAGGACATAGGGTGGAGGGTGACCACCAGGACAGCCAGTGCGGGACATGGCTGAGCCGCTGGCCAGAGAGCCAGGAGCTTTGCCCTACAATTGTTGGGCGAGGGGGTGGGCAGCAGGGAGTCTCTGGGGACATCACGGAGGGTTAGCCTCGATGCCTCCTCCATGGAGCAGGACAGCCTTTGGGGAAGGAAACCTCCAGGCCCCTCCCTGTCCTGGCCCTGGACAGCCAGAAGACGCCAGCTCTGCCTCTGCCCTCCTGGACCCTCTGCCCCCCATGCCCCACACTCTGAGGATCACGGGGTCTCAGAGGCCAGGCCCCTCCCTGTCCTGACCCAGGACGGCCGGAAGACGCCAGCTCAGCCTCTGCTTTTCTGGACCCTCTGCCCCCCATGCCCCACACTCTGAGGGTCACAGGGTCTCAGAGGCAGGAGATGCAGGGCTGCCTCAGCCAGACAGAGATGGAGGTGGCATCCCCACCAACGCTGCCCAGAAGCTCTGCCCCCATCACGGAGGCATCTGTGGAAGCAGTGGGCATCAGAGGGCCCAGGAGTGAGCCAGGCCTGGGCTCCCGGTAGGTGTCCTGCACCCCCAACATAAAACGTGAAGCCAGGACACATTGACAGGAGCAGGGTGCCAGAAAGAGGGGGCCCAGCGGCCCCAAATCCCTGGAGGGGCTGAAGGGCTGGAAACAGTGTCTGTGAGGCCAAGGAAACTTTGCGTGTGTACCAGAGGTTGCCCACACTCTTGGGAAGCAGGTGGCCCGAGCCAGCAGGCAGAGCTGGGACAGTGCACGATGAGGCACAGGGCACAGCTCAGCACAGGAGGCCCTGCAGGGCCACACACCCAGGTGCTCCTGCTTTCCTCTGGTTTGTGCCCCAGCTACCCCAGGGTGGAGGCACGGAACAGACAGGCAGGGAGCCCCTTCAGCTCTGCTGCATCTGTTGCAGATGCTGGGGTTTCAGGTCTGGGTTTGCTTAAAGGAAGAATGTGGAAACTCTGGAGGGTTCCTGTCTTCCAGGGTTTTGGCCTGGGGCACTGCATGGTGCCCCTCAGGGCGGGGCATCCCACTGTGGGGGGCAGGCAGTCACTGTGCTCCACTCTGGGGCCCCCCACAAGCCAGATGATGCCCCTGCTAAGATCCCAGAGGGACCACCATGGCTCAAAGGCCTCCATCCCCAACCCGCCTGGGAGCTGACCCTCACCCTGCCAGAAGCTTCCTCTGCTCCTGTTCTTCACCATCCCCGTCCCTTCCACCATCTTCCAAACTCCTCACCATGAGGACCAAAGCCCTGAGCCTAATGCTCCCTGGGCTCTCCCATGCAGCCAGCACAGGACAGAAGCCCCACAGTCTCCGGCTGTGTGGCCACACCGAGCCTCCCAGGACCCGGGGCCATGCTGCACGGGATCTGTCATCTAAGCCCTGGTGGCAAGAACAGGGCAGCCAGAGTCCCTGACCACCTGGAGCCACCCCCAGCTGTATCCAGCCCTAGGGATGATCGCTCTTGTGTGACGTGTGATGCTGCCGGCTCCTAGGGCGGGAAGGTGTCTGACATTGCAGGGTGGGTCTCAGGGAAGGGGCTGCACAGGTATGCACAGGCAGGGGCACAGTGCACAGTGGGACCAGGGACCGCAGACTCAGGATGGGCTTCGTGAGGGAAGATCACCCACAGCAGGGCAGGGTGTCAAGGGATCTTCCGGGGAGGTGGGCGGAGGCCGAGGCGGGTGGGGCGGGCGCACCTGTGGGGTACGGTGCCCTTCTCGGTGATGGTGTCGCACCACATGGTGAAGCCCACGCTCACGATGGTGCTGGCAATGAAGACCAGGAAGACCACGAAGGCGCTGACCAGGAGGTTCAGGAAGGCGGAGAAGAAGGAGCTGCAGCCAGAAACAGGAGGGGCAGGCTCACTGGACACCACCTCCCAGGCGACCCCCGCCCCCAGGCTGCAGCCAGAAACAGGAGGGGCAGGCTCACTGGACGCCATCTCCTGGGCAACCCCCACCAGCAGCACCCCCCGGACCCTCAGGATTCCTGGGTTGGGCCCTGTGGGGCCTCAAGGAGTTGTTCCCCCTGCCTGCGGTCCCTCGGGCAGCTCCGTGTGCCCACCCTGGGCTGCAGGTCACACCTTCCCAAAGACCCAGGACCTGGAACCCTGGTCCCCACCATTTCATAAAAGAGGCTGCACCCAGGGTGGAAGTGAATGACACCCTTCCAAAGCCGTCCAGCCACAGTCACCAGCAACTCTGGCCCAGGTGCTTGTGTCCCCCCAAATCCATATGTTCCAGTCCACTGAGGGGTTAGAAAGTGGGGCCTTTGGGAAGAGAGGAGGTCATGAGGGTGAAGCCTCATGAATGAAATGAGTGCCCTCCTAGGAGAGACCCCACCAAGCGAGCTCCCAGCAGATAACGACACAGCAAGAGGAACGGGCCCTCAGCAGGCATCGAACCTGGATCCCAGCCTGGATCGCAGACCTCTAGCCTCCGGAAGTGTGAGCAGTAAATGCCTGTTGTTTACAAGACCCCAGCCTGTGATGCCGAGAGCTTCCATTCACCCGCAGGTCATCAGCGCGTGGCCTGGACCCCTGGTAGGACTTGCTTGATGGGCCAGCTCTGATTTATCCATTTAAACTTAAAAGGCCAGGCTGTGATTGGGCCCATCTGACCAGGGCCAGAGCATGGGGAGCGCAGGAGGCAGGGCCATGAGGAAGGAGCTCACTTAGGGCTGGGCCACACTGCCCCAGGGGTCTGAGGCCTCTGCCAGGGCGCACACGGCCATGGCTTTCAGAGGATGCTCGTGTTTCCTCTTCTGAGGATACCGGGCAGGTGGTCGGGACACCCACCCCACCCGGCCCTCCTGCCTGGCCTGCAAACGTCCATCATCTCTGAATTGCTCCATCAAGATTCAAAGTCCCTCGAATGGGCCTGGGGTGGGCTCAGCCTGGAATGCACACGGAGGCTCCGGGGGGTAGGGAGAGGGGGTAGGGATAGGGACTGTCCCTCCAGTGGGAGCCCTGAGGGGGACTTCCTCACGGGCGGACACCAGCACTAGCAGCATGGCTGAGAAGGGGCTGCTCCCGCCTCTCACCTGCCAGCAGGCTCGATGTTAGCCTGCATGCTGTCAGCACACTGGATCTAAGGGAGGTGACCCACAGAAACAGCTTCACAGCGATCATTTAATAAACAAGGTCTCCCTGGAATCTCAGCCAAGAAAACATCAACGCTACCGTCATCCGAACTCGGCAGCTGCTGATGAGGCAAAGTGGAGGCCAGCGCATTGTCTGTTCATTCATTCAGCAGGCACTTTCTGAGCACCTGCTCGCCCTGTGCTGGACACAGAGGGCAGAGTGATACAAAAGACGAAGTCCTGGCCCCGGGAGGTGCCCCAGCCAACGTGCTGAGGATAAACCCAGGCCACAGCGCCCAACTCAGAGCAGGCGACACCAGGCTGCTTTGTAACATCTGGTGCCTCCAAGGAGCCCGTCCACTGGCCCCAGTCCCGGACACACTGTTTTGGTGACTGCTGGGCTGACAGCAGAACCACCCCCCAGGAACGGGAGGGTTTGAGCCACCCCAGGGAGTCCCAGACAAGGGGAGAGGACACAGGGACACTCTTAAAGCCATGGGCTGTGATCCAACAACCACACCAACGAGGGCAGGACCAGCAGGACTCACACACGTACGCGTGGGGGGTGACCGAGCCTCTGCCCAGGCCTCATGGCTGAAGATGGCTGGAGAGTGGGTACCGTGTGCCAGTAGACAAGCCACAACCCCCATCACAGCGCCACATCCAAAGCTCTCTGAAGACAGAAAGAGCAGCGGCAAAAGTTCGCCAGGATGGGTGTGGGGCCATTCTCGGTCCCTCTCCAGCCCAGTGTGCTGTGAGTCTCAGAGCTGTCACACATGGGACTGGCTCCATCCGCCCTGCCCAAGCCTGAATCACCATGTGCCAGTGTCTCCCGCCTGCTCTTCAGAGTGCGTCTCCTTCTCCATTCTCTGTCTGGAGGCTGAAAGGTGTGGACCATGGCAATGGCCCCGTGCCCTCTGGCTTCCGGCTGGGTTTGGGCAATGGGGTGGGAGGGCGGGAGAGCAAGGTGGGAATTTGCTACCAGGTCCCTCCACTGAAAGTCACTGCTCCTCTCCAGGTGACCCACCCATCCAGGTCCCGTTAGCCAGGGATGGGGACAGCACCACCTCCACTGACCCCATGAACCCCACCACTTCATCTCTTGTCAACCAGCCCTCCTTCAATGACCTTTCCTTGGGTGAGCCATCTGCTGCTGCTGGGACCCTGAGGACACAGTTCTGAACCCCAAAATCCATCTGGCCTGGGGGTGCAAATGAGGGGCTAGGGGCCTATAGTCACAGAGCGGAACGCAGTAAGCCCGCCCCACCTCTGCAGTCTTGGACCAGCTGCTCCGCCCCAGCCAAGGAGAAGGTGGTGGCGAGGCACGGCCAGGGTCAGCTCCACAGCCAGAGGCAAGGAAGGGGCCACTGCCATGGTCCACACCTTTCAGCCTCCAGAGAGAGAATGGAGAAGGAGACGCACTCTGAAGAGCAGGGTCTTTCAGACCCTGAAAGACCCTGGTGCCTGCAAATACCTGGCCCAGTGCACCTGAGATACGGCAGAGGCTCTGGGCCCAGGCGACCCACTGTCCCCTTCCCACCACTGAGCATGGGCCACAACACAACCTCCAACAGACAGAAAAGCCAATTATCTGGAGACTTCAAACATCCAGCCTCACCCCTATGAAATGGCCCGATTTTGGAGTCTTCTCCCATGACCAGATCGAGGAGTTCCCCATGAGATAGGGAAGGGACCCCAGGCTGGGGCCGCTGCCAGCTGACAGCCTCGGTCTGTTCCTCTCATTCCTTTCTGGTCGGTTTCCAGGGATCCTGCCCAGGCTGTCCAGGTCGTTGAAGAATTGGATGTGTCCAGAGCATCCCCGGATCCAGCTCCCCAGAGGTCACAGGGCCACCCAGCCCCTCCCTCACCAAGGCCAGGCCAGGACAGTGGTCAGGAACAGGAGCCCGGCACATGCAGGGTTAACCCTGTCTCTCTTCACTGCCGCTCAGGGTGCCCTGCCAGGATGTGCCATCTCCATGGTGACCGCTGTCCTGGAAAGCCCAGCAATGTGAAGGCTCAGCGCCGGCACGGGCAGGCAGATGAGTTTAACGCAGCATCCCTCCGGCCCGCCAACCACAAACTGCTGCCAGCCCACGTGCTCAATCCTCCCTCAGCACAGCTGCCCCAGGCCCACGGCTGCCTCAGCAAACCCTTCTGCCCCGAAATGGCAAGCCTCTCTGAAGCACAGGTGCCATTCCATTCATTCATCCATTCATTCATTCATTCATTCATTCATTTACTCATTCATTCATTCATTCATTCATTCACTCATTCACTCAGCAGCCAATAATGGAGCATCAAGATGACACTCCTCTGCAAAAAGCTACCCCCAGACTAATTTTCACACTTCTGGGCACGAGCTCTCAGGGCCCAGACTCTGCATGAAAGACACCCCCATAGGAAGAGGAAGCTGGCACCTGAGACATGGCCTCTGCTCCACAAGCTCTGGACGTGCCATGTGCCCCTCAAACAGACCTCACACAGGCCTTGCCCTCACACTGGCAGGAGGGCAGCCGGGTGGCCCCTGGAGGTGGAGTCCCCTTTAGAGGGTTAGAGCATGTGCTGTCCTAAACAGGCCCAGACCTCTAGCAGCCAGAGTCTGATGGGGTCAGTGGGCTCCTCCCTGGGCTGGACGTCCAGTGGCCGTCGATGGCCCTGAGAGCCCTTGTCCACCACATGAGCTCCCTGTAAAGGCCCGTCTCAGCTCCGTGGCTGGTCCTGAGTCCCCTTTACCTACCTGGCACTTGCTCACCTAGTCTATGCAGCTGGACCAACAATTGAGTTGGAATTGGCTGCTCTGTCGCTGGACCCTGCAGACCCCATCTTCCCAGGGGTCCAGAACTTCCTGACATGGCAAGTCTGAAGGGTGGACCTGTTGGCCAGATAACTGAGTCTGCACAGGTATCGGGGCCAGGTGAGTGACCACAAGGCAGCAGGCCTCAGGACCCAGGCATCTTTCTGTCAGTCATTCAACAAACATTATCTGGGGACTCCTACGCACCATCCCCTGTGCTCAGCCCTAAGGACACAGAGATGAATAAGGTGCATGTCTGCCTTGGCTTCACCCAGCTGTGGGTCCCCTAGGGTGGGGTCCCCTGGGGGGGGACCCATGGCCTGAGATGGCTCTTGAGAGCGTTAACCTTCGCCTACAACCAGAACTCAATGGAGTGCTGACACGTTTGACAGATGTCACCCCACAAGCCGTCTGCCAATGGACTGTGCAGTGCATGAGGTGGGGGACAGGTGGCCACATGACCACGTGAACTGAGCCACTAATTCCTGATGGTCAAGAAGGACACAGGCACCAGATGTCCCTGGAAAAGAGCAGGCTGGGCGGAGGTCAGTGGTGGGAGGATTGGTGAACCCCTGAACTGAAGCAAAGGAGCTGAACCTGAAATGCTCCGCCACAGGCCCCTTCCTGACAGCAGGAGCTGCCCGGACCTGACCTCCAGTGGGGTCAAGGCCATGGTGAGCCTCCACAATGTAGCCCCCCTCGACAACCCTAACCCTCACCCTAACCCCCACAGGCCTGAGCATACCAGGCCGTCTAAGGCTTCCTAAATCCCATATGGGCCGGTCAGCAGGGCTGCAGCAGAGGCCACACAGCTGGCCTGCATCCCAGCCGGCTCCACCCCTTGGGAGGATGGAACACCACAAAGAGTGCTGGGAAGGCCTGCAGACTCCCCAGGAATCTGTTTTCTGCCTTTGGAAGGAGATGGTGCTGGCAGTTTGCCACGGCTGACAGACAGTCACCTTCCGTGAGATGGCAAGAGGCAGAGCTGCTGTTACGGCATCCCTGGGCCTGCCGCCCAGTGTGTGCGAAATAGACCATACCCTGTGCGACCTGGACTCCTGTCTTGCAAGCTCTGGGGCTCTTTTCTCCCCTCTCCCTGTCCCCCAGCTTCTGGTGGAACCCCCTATAAAATCTCCCATCACTCTGACCACATAGCTGGGTCCTATCTAGAGAGCCACCCTCTGTCAGCCCCAGCTGGACCACAGGCACCCTGAGGGACACCCAGGAGGTGAAGAAGTGCGTGAGCGATGAACCAACTGTGGCCCCACCTGGCCTGCACCCTCCACCCTCAGCTTCCCAGACTAAAGGGACCTCAAGCGTTGGGAGGCTGACCCTACTCGCTGGCTGTCCCACTCCCTCTTCACACCTGTCTCATTCAGGGAGGCTTCCACCTGCCTGCCCTGCATGCACAGCATGGACTGGGCAACTCTTGGGTTTGGCAACATGGGTGCAGATGACGTCTCAAGCCTCTTCTTGGGACACCAGCCCTGGAGTGGGCTGAGGGAAGGAGGACGGCTGCAAATGGGCAGGACACCACCCTGCGCCCGGCCTGACCCCACCTTGAGCAGGGCTCCAGCCACACAATTTGGGCCCATGGCCCCACAGTACCTGGGTCCTCCCAGGCTGACAGCCAGCTTTCTACTGACCCCCATCCAGAACCTTAGTGTCGTGGGTTGAATGGTGTCCCCCGAAAGATATGCCCAAGTCCCACCCCTGGTACCCGTGACTGTGACTTTGTTTGGAAATAGCATCTTTGCAGGTGTAATTAAGCTCTGGATCTCAGGATATCTCCCTGAGTTTAGAGTGGGCCCTGAATCCAGTGACTGGTGTCCCTGTAAAAAGAGGGAGGACAGAGCAGAGCAAAGGCGCCCTGTGAGGACAGCGGCAGAGGGTGGTGGGACAAGTGGGTTTCAGTCCAGTTGGTGCAACTGTGCTGCAGCAGCCCCAGGGCGCTCCTACCCACAGGCGCTGGGATTCTCATTCCTCCTCCAGAGTTTGCAGCCCCACTCAGCATAGCCCTGGCTCCCTCCCTTCTCCCTGAAGCCCCTCTTCTTCCCCTCTCTGGCCCCTCTCTCAGCCAAAACCAAGCGGTGGGCTCACAGCGGGGGCAACAGGAGGGCTTCCCCACTCCTGCCGCCCACACCCCTCTGAGCCCTTCTCATCTCCCACCTGCGTGCAGGAAGTGAAAACCTACAACAAAGGATGGGGGTGAGGGCAGAGTTTGGGAGGAGCCTGGGTTTCATGAGTGCTCTCCCGGAACCTCTACAGGATCTCGGGCTGCTCCTGGGCACAGCAGGCCTCAGCCAGGGGAGTGGGAGGGCCCACAGAGGGCACCCACAGAGGGAGTGGGTGGGTTCACAGAGGGAGTGGGTGGGCTCACAGAGGGGGTGGGTGGGCTCACAGAGGGGGTGGGTGGGTTCACAGAGGGGGTGGGTGGATTCACAGAGGTGGTAGATGGGCTCACAGAGGGCACCCACAGAGGGAGAGGGTGGGTTCACAGAGGGAGTGGGTGGGCTCACAGAGGGAGTGGGAGGGTTCACAGAGAGCACCTGCAGAGGGAGTGGGTGGGCCCCCAGAGGGCCCCCAGGGTGCCACTGGCTAAGGGTGTCACCGCACCCCAGGTGAACCAGGTTGTATGGGCTCCAGTATCTAGCCGGAGCAGGAAAGAGAAAGAGGAAAATGCAGGCCAGGAGGAGGAAGGCGCTGAGCCCACAAGGCACAGCCCTCGCCCTGCAGTCTCTCTCCAGCTCCCCATCCAAGGCCTGAGCTCGAGGTGGGCCTGGGTGGCTCCCCTCCAGACAGCCATCTGCCGTCCCTTTCCCGGGGCGATGGTGCCGGGTGGGGCTCCCCAGTTCGCCTTGTCACTGGGACCTGGAGAGCTCAGTGCAAGCCCTAGACCGGGCTGGGAGTTGTCGCCGGTCCTGGCGAGTGTGGCCCGGCTGAGCCCGCCCAGGAAGGTCCAGGCCTGCTGGGTGATGACAGTGCAACATCTGCAACCCAAGGGAGCAGATGCCCGGAAGCGGGAGGTGATGCGCAGCTGGGGAGGGGAGGCACTGGCCTTGTACGCAGGACCGGTGGTCGTCATGGTCCCTGGATGTGTGTGTAGACAAAGGGCGGTCTGAGTGGAGGGGGTGAGGGCGGATTGTTGACATTTGCGGGCCTCGGAGCTGCCTGAGAGACGGAGGGACTCGCGCGCCTCCCCGGGGAGGTGGGTCTGGGGGCGCTGGGGGCATGGAAGGGGCGCCGCGCCGGGAGCGGCCCCCACTTACCCCTCGTGTCCCTTGCAGAGGAAGAAGAGCGTGCGCCAGGCGTGCGCGGCGGCCAGCAGCAGAGACAGGAGGCTGGCGAGCAGGCTGAAGCGGCAGGCGGCCGGCGGGCCCCACTCCTGCACCGTGAAGCGCTCGCGCTCCTGCACCGTGAGGTTGGCGCTCAGCCACATGCCCTCGGTGAAGAGCAGGCAGCGGCCGCGGAAGTCGTGGCCGTTCTCGGACAGCGGGACCACCACCACGAAGCTGAACAGGAAGGCCAAGAAGTAGCAGGCGCACTGAGCGAAAAGGAAATTGTTGAGCGCCATGGCCGGCCCGGGCGAGAGCGGCGGCGGGAAGGCCGCGGGAGGCTGCGCCGGGCGGGGAGGCCGCGGGAGGCTGCGCAGTGGCGGCGCCGGCAGGTCCCGCGCGCCCCTCCCGGGACGCGTGCGCATCGGCCGAGCGCGGGAAGCGCCTGCGGTCAGCACCGCGGACAGCTCCTGGTGCGCGCGGGCCAGGAGCCCGGGGTCCAGGGGCCAGAGAAGGGCGGCCTGCGGGAGATGCGGGAATTTTACCAGGTCGGCCTGGAGGGACCGACCCTGTGCCGCTAAAGACTTCGGGAGCCACCTGTACGGGCCTCACACAGGCCGACTCTGGGTCGTCAGTTCCTCATCAGCTCGAACGAAAGGAGACCAGGAGAGAGAGGGCGGGGCGGGGGGTGTTGGAGGACACCCCCAAGGTGCTCATAGTGAGGTGTAGGAGTGCGGTTTGCAGTCCAGGCTGAAGTGATTCCTTTGCGGGGGTCCCGAAATGCAATGTATGAGGGGAGGGGCCAGATCGTGGAGGAGTCGGGGTCCAAGGGACTGGGACAGAGGTCATCCTCGAAGAGATGGGGAGGGTGAGGCCAGGTGTGGGCAGGAGGGGGTGGACCGGGAGCTTCTGCAGCGCCAGCCCTCCGCGGGGACGTGTGTTACACTGCCTGACATGGGCAGGACCCTGGAGCTGCATTTGTAAGATAAATAATGGGTGTCCCGAGCGCCTCATTAAGACATCTTTGCTGAGATGGAAATCGCTGAGGCATTAATTAATAGAATTAATGCCTTTTCTAGTTGCCTTTAAGACTAAGTCACCTTTAGTCCAATTCCCAGAGTGAGGAAGCCTTAACATTGCTCCTCCTGGTTTAAAATTCCATCAGCATTTTTGTTGCAAGCATTAAAAAATATTTTTGTTTTATTGACTAAGTAATATATGCTCATTTCTTAAGTCAAGTAATAGAGATATGTATACAATAAAATAGAAAGCCTTCTCCTCATCCCCCTCCCCTACCCCATCACACTACCAGGGGTGACCACTTCAATAGCCTGGCATCTATTTTTCTAGACATTTTGCTAAGCACATAAGCACACACACAGAATTAACAAAAATGCTTCATACCATACATAGTTTTCTGAAGGCTGATTCTTTTATTCAACAAAATGTCAAGGAGATTATTCCCTGCCTACACATACACCTATTTTGTTCTTTTTAATAACTGCATAAGACTCCATTATAATGATGATTCCACAATCTGCATAACTATTCCTCTTAAGGTGGATGTTTTGTGTCTCCAGTTTTTGCTGTCTCAAATGCTGTCATGTGAACATTCTTGTACACATATGTTTGCGTTCTTGCACAGGCATTTTTATAAGAGAAATTCTTAGAAGAGGAATTGCTGGGTCATGGGGTATGCACATTTAAAATGTTGACAGAAATTGCCAAACCGGCTTTAAAAATGTTGTTCAGCCGGGCGCGGTGGCTCACGCCTGTAATCTCAGCACTTTGGGAGGGCGAGGCGGGTGGATCACGAGGTCAGGAGATCGAGACCATCCTGGCTAACATGGTGAAACCCCGTCTCTACTAAAAATACAAAAAAATCAGCCGGGTGTGGTGGCGGGTGCCTGTAGTCCCAGCTACTCGGGAGGGCGAGACATGAGAATCGCTTGAACCTGGGAGGCAGAGGTTGCAGTGAGCCGAGATCACGCCACTACACTCCAGCTTGGGCGACAGAGCGAGACTTGGTCTCAAAAAAAATAAAAATAAAAATAAAAAAATTAAAATGTTGTTCAAATTTACCCTCACATCTGGGTTGTAGACCCCTCCCCTCGCTGGCTGAGAAACAGCAGTTGTAGGCAAATCCTGCCAGTTTCCACAGAATGCGCTCATTGCTGTGTGAACTTGGACTTGCTTTGGCATCATGAGGCTGAGCATATCTTCTTACGCTTGCCACCATTTGCAACTTCTTCTCTTCTGTGGATTGCATTTCATTTTGCAGTCACTTTAAAGTCGGGCCTTGAAGGCCAGCCACGAGGTCAGCAACGGCCACTCTTCTCTTGGAGAATCCACTCAGGGTTTTTACCACTCTTGGAGTATCCCCAATTCTCCCCAAAGGGAGCTCACTCAGGAAATTCACCCCCTCCCCTAACTTGGGCAAGAGTGGAAGTTCCATCCACTCATTATCCAGCAGTTGGACCAATTTGAACACATCTGGGGGTGTTACACTTCCAGACTCTGGCCAACATGAAGGAGACCATGACAACTGACAGGGAACCGCCAGCACTGGAAACCGCAGACTAGGCTGGAAAGATGATTAAATATCTGCCATTTTCAAAGGTCAAAGGTGCGAGACTCTGGCATGTCTGTGATTAGTTCCACTTACCTTCAAAAATCAAAGACTTATCTTGTTTGTATTAGTCAGGGTTCTCCAGAGAAACAGAACCAATAAGATGGAGAAAGAGAGAAAGAGAGAGATTTATTTTAAAGAACTGGCTCATGTGATTTTGGAGACTGGTAAGTCTCGAATCTGCAGGGTGGGCCAGCAGGCTGGAGACCCAGGAAAAGTCAATGTTGTGGTTCAATGTCGTGGCTGCAGAACTCCCTCTTACTGGTGGGGGGAGGGGGATTGGGAGGTGGGGTCAGTCTTTGGTTCTATTCAGGCCTTCAACTGGTTGGATGAGGTCACTGCTATAGTTTGAATGTTTGTCTCTTCTGAAATTCATGTAGAAACTTAATCCCCAATGTGACAGTGGGGCCTTTAGTAGGTGATTTGGTCCTGTCCTTATGAATAGATGAATTCTTTTCATGGATTAGTGGTCTCATGGATTAATGGGTTGCCCCAGGACTGGGACTGATGGCTTTATAACAAGAGGAAGAGAGATGAGCCGGCACACTCAGCCTCCCCACCATGGATGCCCTGCACCACCTTGGGACTCTGCAGGGAGTTTCCACCAGCAAGAAGGCCCTCACCAGATGCAGCACCTCAACCTTGGACTTCCCAGCCTCGAGCACCATGAGAAATAAACGTCTTTCCTTTATAGATTACCCAGTCTCTAGTATTCAGTTTTAGCAACAGAAAACCGACTAAGACACTCATCCACATTATGGAGGATCTGCTTTACTCAAAGTTCACCATTTAAATGTTAACCTTGTCCAAAAATACCCCCACAGAAACATCCAGAATAATGTTTGACCACATACCTGGCACCTTGGCCCAGCCAAGTTGACACATAAAATTAACCATCTCTTTATTGAAGAAATTCCAATCTACGGAAAATGTGGAAAACTCCAAAATTCACTTTTAAAAGCCAACATTACATTAATACCAAAATCTTACCAAAATTGCGGGAGAAAGAAAGAAATAGGAAATTACATATACAAATATGGATGCAGAACACTTTCAAATAAAATATTGGCACACTGAACACAACCCAATGTATTAAGAAAGTAAGAAAACATGAATGGGTAGACTTTAGTCTACAAATGAGAGAATAGCTTTGCTTTAGGAAATCTATCAATGATATGCTACATCAACAAATAAAGGAGGCAAACTCACCTTTTCGTATCAAGGAATATCAAAATGCACTTCCTATCATTGAATATCCACTCCTGATAAAAAAAAAAAAAACCTCTATGTAAAATAAAACTACCTAAATGTGGTCAAGACTACCTTAAACCACATTATAAATCCGCACCCGTTCAAATCAGGAACAACACAGGAATGCTCACTGTTGCAACTATTATTGACCATTTTGGGGGCAATTCTACCTAATGAACCAAGACAAGAAGATAAAAGAAGCAGTATAACTATGGAAACAAAGAGGCAAAACTATCTTTATTGGAGGATAATATGATTCTATACCTAGAAATCTCAAGATACTCTATAAAAATATGATAATTTGCAAATTAATTTTGTTCTGGATCTAAAACCTGGCTTAGGTCCAGAAACTGGGCCGGGTGTCATGACGTCTCCTGTCAGGCTGCCCTTGGGATGGTTCCCCTTCATGCCCTATGATGGTGTCAAGTGCACCAGAGTGAGAGATGCCTCTGCCTTTCCTCCAGGGATGCCCAGTCCTGTTGTCCATCTCCTCCACTTTCTGTTGGTCAGGACACGCTGGCTCCTTCTTTGACTTTGCTGCTCGTTAGGACCTGAGCTCACCTTGCTCCCGACGATTAGCTGGCACCACCTGGTCTGTCTTATCTGGGGATCCCACCAGCCGCATTGTTCTCAGGGCACCCAGTCCTGTGACAGCAGCTCCAACCATCATCCCGCTGAGCTTCTCAGTGATTCTGCCCCCTCCCCAGTGCAACTTTCTTGCTCTGGTAAATGGAGACTCTTCTGCAGCCACCCTTTCTCCACCCAGGAATGCAACCTCGGTGGGTGCTGCAGCCTTTGTAGCACGGACACTCGAGCACGCCCCTGTCCCTGAGTCCTTGCCCCCTCTCCCACCATCTGTCCTGGCTGTTCTATTTTACAGGGTTGAGTATCCACTTTCCAAACTTCTTAGAGCCACTTAGACGAGTTTTCTGTCACTGCTGCAACAAAATGCCACAACGGCACAAATGGATTGTCAGACAGTTCTGGGAGGTGAGAACATCCCAGGGTCAGAAGTCTAAAATCAAGGCATCTGCAGGGCTTTGTTCTCTCTGGAGTCTTCAGGGGAGAATCTGTTTCCTCGCCTTTTCAGTTTCTAGAGGGTTCTGCGTTCCTTGGCTACTGGCCTCCTTGCTCCATCTTCAAAGCCAGTAACACCAGTCCAGCCCTTCTCATGCTCCACTCCTCTGGTCTCTGCAGCTAGAAGACTCTCTATGTTGACATTAGACCCATCTGGAAAATCCAGGATGCCCCGCAACCTGAGGTCCTCAACCTTAATCACATGCACGGAGTCTCTTTTTCCATAAAAGGTAACATACTCATGGGTTGCAGGAATTGGGATGTGGACATCTTTGGGGCATTATTCTGTCTGCTCCACCATCCTAGGAACAAGTTAACCCTGCCTCCCAGGGCTCTTGCCTGGTGTTAAACCTTTGTATTCCAGGACACCTCTACCTTTTGGATAAATTCTTTCTTACCCAACATTTATGTTCTACTCCCCTGCCCCAATCCAGCACACTGTGGTCCAGGCGCACACATATCCCTGCCGCCTGTTGGTACGTGGTCTTCAGATCCTGCAGAGCCATCGGGGCACGCTGGCCTCCCTCTCTCAGCAGAACTCATTCTTTGACGTTGGTCACCAGCAGGAGAGATGGAGTAGCCCCTCCTTAGAGGCCATGCATTCTCCTTGCAAAGCAAACCTGTGAATCATCTTCCAACAGGTGTTATGGGTTGACTGTGACCGCAGCAAAGACATGTTGAAGTCCAGACCCTCAGCAGGTTAGAATGTGGTCTTATTTGGAGATGGGGTCTTTACAGAGGTAATCAAGTTAAAAGAAGGTCATTAGGGTGGGCCCTCAGCCAATGTAATTGATGTCCTTGTAAAAAATTTGGTGATAGATATGCATAGAAGTAGAACACCATGAGAAGATGCAGGCAGAGATTGGGATGATGCTTCCAGCTAGGGTTTTAATGTGTCCCCCAAAATTCATATGTTGGAAATTCAATCCCCAGTGTGACAGTGCTGAGAGGTGGGGCCCTCAAGAGGTGACTAGGTCAGGAGGGCTCATGAATGGATTATTGCCATTACTGGGAAAGTGGGTTATTTACCTTGGAAATGGATTCCTTATAAAGAAAGAATTGAACCCCTCTTTCTCTTGCATGTGTGGGCTCTCCTGCCCTTCTGCCTCCACCATGAGATGACATAGCAAGAAGGCCCTCAGCAGATGCTGGCACCTGGATATTGGACTCCCAGCCTCCAGAACTGTGAGAAAATAAATGTTGTTTAAGCTGCCCCATCTATGGTACTTAGACTCAGCCGTCCCAGAAAACTCATACACAAGGAAGTGCCTGTCTCTGACAGGAAGGAGCAAGCCCCTTCTGTAGGCCCAGAGGCTTCCAGAAGGCATGGGAGAGCCCCAACCTCTGAGCATGTCATCACAGGTGGGGTTCCCTAGAAAGCAGGCTCTAAGGTGGAGAAGTACCCAGTGAGGTTTGTTGGAAGGATTCTGTGAGCACAGATGGGGAAGAAAAGAAAAACAGGAGAGGGCAGAGGGGCTCCTGGCCGAGACACAGTCTCAGTGGTGGCTCAGCTGACCCCAGGGTCAAGGGCCTGGGCCTTTGTAAGCACATGTTGATCAGTCACTGGAAGCAGCTGGCCTGGGACAGGGAGTGACCTGGGATGAGGCAGCATCAGAAGAGGCTGGCAGCCAGGAGCCATCGAGGGCAGCTCATATGGCAGTTTGGGGAATAAGTTCTATCCTAAAGGGGCCCACCATGGAGGCCTGAGGCCAGCATGGCAGCCTTGCCAAGGCTGAGGGTCCCATCACCTCAGGAGCTATGTTGCTCTTAGAATTTAAGCCCTGGACTGGACCCCCACCTGTCCCTGCCTCCAACCGTAGGGGATGAGACTCTCTGGACAGGCTGCCAAGCAGGCCCACTGCCCCCACACCCAGCCTTGAGTGGAGATGAGTCAAGCTCGGCTCCCATCATCTTTCTCCAGGAATTTGTAGCACCCAGCAACAGCCATCTGATCCATGGCTCTGTGATTCCTACATTGCCTCTGCCTCTCGTGCTTCTGAGATAAGGCACCAACCAGTGCAGTTCCTCCCCTACCCAATACAGCACCTGGGGCACCACGGTGAGAGGGTCCCTGACACGGCAGGGCTATCACTTCTGCACCAGCCACAGCAACAGGGACCGCAGCCAGTGACTGGCAGTGGTTAGTCTAGCCCCAAATCCCATGTGTGTCTGCCTCCTAGGACCACCCCTAGTTTAGGAGAACTGACGCTGGACCTCGAGGTTTGTAGACAGGAGGACTGAGTGTGCGGGTTCCTCTCAGGAGCAACACCTGTGAGCCACCAAGAGCAGCAGGACTGGGCCAAGGGAGAAATGCTCGGTGACACAGAAGCAATCCCCTGGGAACAGCCCCTTCAGAGCGACCCCACAGAGGAGCAGGAGCTGGACCTTTGTACCTCCACACTGACCCATCACTGGACGCAGGCTGCCTCCAAAATTAAATCCCAAAGCTTTAAAAGGCTGATAATGCCCACTCCTGGCCTGCCAAAGCTGGGGACCCCAGGGAGGAGGGAGCCCCGTGGTCTTCTGGCGGGAACTGGCACAGTCAGTAGAAGCTAAGATCGCCGCACATGCTTTGACCCAGATCCACCACTTCTGAAACACGGGGGCTCAACAGAAAAGCCTCATTTCATAAGGACATGTGTACATGAATGTTTATTACAACGGTTTGTACCAGCCAAAAATGGAAAACAACCAGAATGTTTATAAACCAGGGAGCAATTTAATACATTCTGGCACCTCCTTATAATGGAAAGTTTTGAGCTGTTAAACGGGAGTCGTTTCTGTGAGTATTGGCTTGAAGGATTATCTGTCTAGTGCTATATTTAAAAAAGCAAATTGTCAAGTCATGTGTTTGTATTACCCCATTTTATTTTTTATAGTCTTTAAAAATTTAATACTTTTGCTATTTACAAAATCTCTTTTAAAGCTTAAATAACTTTCAATTCAATGTTTTGGATATTGTGAAAGGTGATCAACCTTTTCCCCTTATATGGGTGGCAATTGTATATTGAACTTCTTTTACTTTTTAAAAATTTTAACTTTAAAATATTTTAAATTCACATATAAGTGGATTTGCTTCTGGAACTGCTCTTCCTTTTGTCTTTGGTGTATTATACAAATAGCACATTTTTTCATATGGACATTGGCGATTTATTTCATCTTTTTTGATATAATTATTTTTATTATTTTACTTTCAGTTCTGGGATACATGTGCAGAATGTGCTGGTTTGTTGCATAGGTATACATGTGCCATGGTAGTTTGCTGCACCTATCAACCTGTCATCTAGGCTTTAAGCCCCTCATGCATTAGGTATTTGTCCTAATGCTCTCCCTCCCCTTACCCCCCACCCCTCAACAGGCCCCAGTGTGTGATGTTCCCCTCCCTGTGTCCATGTGTTCTCACTGTTCAACTCCCACTTATGAGTGAGAACAGCTGGTGTTCGGTTTTGGACATGAACTCATTCTTCTTTATGGCTGCATGGTATTCCATGGTGTATATGTGCCACATTTTCTTAATCCAGTCTATCACTGATGGGCATTTGAGTTGGTTCCAAGTCTTTGCTATTGTAAATAGTGTTGCAATAAACATACGTGTGCATGTGTCTTTATAGTAGAATGATTTACAATCCTTTGGGTATACACCCAGTAATGGGATTGCTGGGTCCAATGGTATTTCTGGTTCTAGATCCCTGAGGAATCACCACACTGTCTTCCCAATGGTTGAACTAATTTACACTCCCACCAACAGTGTAAAAGTGTTCCTATTTCTCCACAGCCTCACCAGCTTGTGACTACCATCTGCACACATGAGTGAGGGGAGAGAGACCCTGTGCTCCAGCCGCTGTCACTGGGGCTAGGGGAGGACACTCCCAGCTCCCTCTGTGGAGGAGATGTCCACCTGGAACTTCAGGGGTGGTATGGCTCCCCCCACTGACCCCCAGGCTGCAGAGCTCCCTCCTATCCTTGTCCTCTGCTGCAGTACCGCCCCTACCTCAGGGATGCTTTGCTTTTCTCCTTCCTGCCAGCTCCCAGTCAGGGCCTGTCTGTCCTGTTGCCTGAGGCCTGGAAGGATCCAGGACAGCTGGCTTTGGCCAGGTGTGGGAAAGAGTCCAGAAATACATAGTACAGGGCCCAGGTGCACCTGGAACTTCTCTAAAGCAGGAGGTTATAAATAGAACACTCCAGAAAGAGTCTCCTCAGCAGGCACTTCCTCACCCCCACCACATCCCATGTGAGGGAAGCTGTGGATTGTGTAGAAGAGCCAGGCCAGCAGGCAGTGCCCTAGGACTCGAGGCAGGGCCCATGGATGGCGCTGCAAGGCCTCTGGTCGAAGGGGAAGAAGGGCATGGCTGGAGGAAGAAGCAAGGCTGAAAAAGATCGGGGCTGGGAAGGGGTCAGTGGAGATTGAGATAGCAAACCACAAAAGATCTAATGTCTTCATGTTTCACCCCATTTTCTTGGCTCCTACTGAGGGCAAACATAAGATCATATAAAGAAGACTGCTCTCCATCTGAAAGATGACTGAGGGGCACTGTTCACCATCTCACTTGCTGCACTCCACCTGAGCATGACACAACGGAGTCCTCCGTGCATGGGAGAGAAATGAGTGGTGCCAACCACTCCAGAAGAACTGCCAAATGAAGGCCCCTGCAGAGGGGTGAATGGATGGAGGGTGGTTGGGTGCATGGGGGATAAGAGGATGAATAAATGAATTCATACATCAGTAGGAGAGTGATAAATGGATGAGAGGGTGGATAGGTGACTGGTTGGATGAATGGATGAATGGATGGGTGGATGGACGAGTGGGTGGGTAGATGGATGCATGGATGGATGTATGGATGAATAAGTGGGTGGGTGGATGGAGGGGTGGATAGATAGATGGGTGGATGGATGGATAGATGGATGGATGCATGCATGGATGGATACATGGATGGATGGATGTTTGGGTGGGTGGATGAATGGATGGATGGATGTTCGGGTGGATGGATGGGTGGTTGGATGTTTGGGTGGATGGAGAGATGGATGGGTGGATGGATGGATGGTTGTGTGGATGAACATTTGGGTGGATAAATGGATGAGTTGATGGGTAGATGGATGTGTAGTTAGATGAATGGATGAATGAGTGAGTGGGTGGATGAAGGGGTGGGTGGATGGACGGATGGATAGATGGATGGATGGATGGATGGATGGATGGTTGGGTGGATGGATGGATGTGTGGGTGGGTAGATGGATGGGTAGGTGGATGAACGGATGAATGAGTGAGTGAGTGGGTGGGTGGATGGATGAATGGATGGGTGGGTGGGTGGATGTTTGAGTGGATGGATGGATGGATGGATGGGAGGGTGGCAGGGAGGAAGGAGGAGGAAGGATAAATAAATGTATTGATTACTCACACATTGATGACTGTGTGAGTGGGTGGGTAGGTGGATTGATCAGTGGAGAGATGAGGGGTGAAGAATGATTAACAAATCCTTACAGCCATATTTTGGAGAATACCAGCAGCCTGATTTTGGCAAGGTGATCACTGATATGGGAAATCAGAATGTTGATGTGCTGATTTACCCTGAGAAGTTACCATTTACAAGACTAGGACACTAACATCCCTACTCAAACTGCATTTGCTGTCAGCAGTGTTATCTGGGAAGGCACCATTAGAAGTCATCTTGGAGAGCATGGAATCAGATGGGGAATAAGATTATTTCATGATAACAAGCTCAAGCTAAGAGGAGCTGCCTTGCATCTCCCAATAACATACACCTGTCCAGGTGACTACAAGCACTTGATGTCTAAAACAGTGGCTCCCTCTCCCTGGACAGTGCTGGGAAGGGCATGGTCAACAGTGTCTCCCTTTTTCTGTGATCCCATGGCTGTCTTTATGATTATCATGCTCCTTTATGATTAACACATTATTTCTCTGAGTTTATTCTGTTGCTTTTCCAGCTTCTTCAGTTTAAAATCTTAACCTATTCATATTCTATTTTAATGAATCAATTTAAGTCTATACATTTTCCTCTTGATAACACTTTGGCCATATCCCATAGGTTTTGACATGAAATGTTCTTATAGCCATTTGGCTACAGATAGTTAACAGTTTCTATTTTTACTTTAACACCTGCTAAAATAATTAGCAGTGTATTTCCAGCTATACTCATTTTGATGGACTTTCTTTTTGCCATTGATTTCTAATTTTATTGCTTTGTGGTTACTGAAGTTAGCCTTAGATGTTAATTTTTAAATTGTCAAAATTCTCTTAGTCATCTAGTACACTTTTTTTAATGTTCTTGCTGTGCTAAAAAAAAGTTTATTATTTGTTGAATATGTATTTCTATGTGTCTATTAGATTAAGCTTTAATTGCTTATATTTATTTATAGTCTATTAAATTCTTCAGTTTCTGGGGTAGGTCTCCCACCATGACTATGGATTCATAATTTTCTTTTTTTACTTAATGTATTTTTTCATTATATATTTCAGTTTATGACTCTTATGGAGTCTTCTTCTTTTCTTTTTTTTTTTTTTATTTGAGACAGAGTCTCACTGTGTCACCCAGGCTAGTATGCAAGTGGCACGATCTTGGCTCACTGCAGCCTCCGCTTCCCAGGTTCAAGCAATTCTCCTGCCTCAGCCTCCCACGTAGCTGGTACTACAGGTGTGTACCACCATGCTGGCTAATTTTTGTATTTTTAGTAGAGACAGTGTTTCACCATGTTGGCCAAGCTGGTCTCGAACTCCTGACCTCAGGGGATCTGCCCGCCTTGCCCTCCCAAAGTGCTGGGATTACAGGCATGAGCCACTGCATCTGGCCTCATGTATTCTTTATGAGTTGTTCCATTTGTCAACATGAAATATCCCCTTTTGTCTCTTTTAAACATTTTGCCTTAAATTTTATCTTCTATTATATAAATATTGCTAGGACTGCTTGCATTTTTTGGCATTTTTGATAGACTTTTTTATGCCTTTAATTTTTAACTTTCTAGGCAACTTTAAGTATGTCTTTTGTAAGCAACATTTCAGCTAGAATTTGTTATTTGTTTCTGTTCAATCTGAGCGTCTCTGTCTTTCAACACGTGTGTTTAGCCCACTGACATTTATTATGATTTCTGATCAAATAAAATCTTACTTTGTATTTCCTGGGGTTTGTTTCCCCCCTTTCTCATCTTATTTTAGAAATTAGGTTTATTTTATTCCATTTTTCCTCACCTGTCTTTGAAATAGTTACATTCTATTTCCAATTCCTTTTGATTACCTATAGATTTAGAAAATACACACTTAAGCATCTGTTTTTCCGACAGTGTCAAGAATTTGTCAGAGTCGAGATACTCTCCGAACAAGATGAGACCCATCACATAATGTCGCTTTTGTCCACTCTCCACATCTCCCTCAAATCCCCCATGTTGATCCCACATGGAATTTTAGTGCTAGATTGTTATCATTTTTAGCAATCAATACCTATTTGAACTTAACAATACGCTAACATTATTGTACTTCTACTTCCTCGCCTGTGAAATGTGACTGGCAGCACCAGGCTCGTGGCATCATGAGGATTCAGTGAGATAATTCCCGTGCAGCACTTAGCACCTGAGCAACAGCAGGAATGAGAACCGTCAGTCAGCATCAGCTCCCGGGCGCCCTTTTCCTCTTGCTACAGCACATCTTCTGGCACTTCTTTCAGAAAGTCGGGGGACTACGGGAGCTAAATGGTTGTTTGTTTGTTTGTTTTTTGAATCAGAGTCTCGCTCTGTCACCCAGGCTGGAGTGCAGTGGTATGAACTTGGCTCACAGCAACTTCCACCTGCTGGGTTCAAGCGATTCTCCTGCCTCAGCCTCCCTAGTAGCTAGGATTACAGGCGTGCAACACCACGCCCATCTGATTTTTGTATTTTTAGTAGAGACAGGGTTTCACCATGTCAGCCAGGCTGGTCTGGAATTGCTGATCTCGAACTCCTGACCTGATCTCGGGTGATCCACCCGCCTCAGCCTCCCCAAGTGCTGGGATTACAGGCTTGGGCCTCCCTGCCCGGCTGGTTTTATTTTCTATCTGCATATAAATAGTGGATTGTCCAAGGATTTCACCTCACAACTGGGGAGATTTTGCAGTCTTAACCTGTTCCCCCAATGCTGCGGATGAGAAGGCAGGTGTCAATCTGATCCTTGTTCCTCTTAGATAATTGGGGTTTCCCCTCCCCCTACCCACCCAGCTTTAGCTTTATCACTGACGATCCACATTGCACTTTGATGTAGCAAGGAATGAATTTGGGGGTTTTGGTTATTTGTGTTTATCCTGCTAGGCACTTGGTGGGCTCTTTCAGTGAGGCCAGCACCTGCCTTTAGCTCTGAAAAGGTAGAGATGAAAACATGCCCTGGCTGTTGTCCCACCCCCAGCACCTCCCCTTTATTCTCTCCCCCTGAAATCCTAGGAGAGGGATGCTATGGCCTCTAGATCGTCCTCCACATCTCAGCTTGCCTATTGTGCTTCCCAACTCCATCCCTTTGTGTCACATTCCAGTAAACTCCCTCAGCATCCTCGCCCAGCTCCCTGCTTCTCCCACAGATGCCCACTCTGCCTCCCATCACTGGAGCCATTCTTGCTTTTGTTCTTGATGACTTTTTTTCATTGCAAGACCTCTCATGGGTTCTCTGCAATACCCACTGGTCTCATTCCTCTCTGAGGACACCAGTTATACTTGCTCTAGGTCCTCTCTGGTGGCTGTATTTGTTCTGCTTCTCTTTCTCCTTGTACATGTTCACACCTGTACAAGTGTACATGGTATGGGCTTTCCTCGGAAGTTGAGCAAGACTTGACTGCGAGGTCACCATTGCGGTGAAGCCTCCGCACAGGTCCTCTGCTGGATTTGTCTGCCACAGCCCTTGCAGGAAAGGCTGAAGCTTCAGCTGAGACGTGAACAGCACTGACATCAGTGAGAGTGCGGGCCGGACCAGGCCTAGCTGGGGTCACTTGGTAGGGGCTGGGCACGGATGCTCCCACTCCTCCCAGGACCACCAGATACCAGACCATGATCCTGTCTCTTTGAACTGAGACCCATAGTCACTGATCCTGCCCAAGGCAGAGCCTTCTTCACTGCAGCTTGACCCAAGGTAGGGGAGGAGGGCAGTGCGTGCTGGTGTGGCCAATCATTGCCCAACTGAGAAAGCTTCACTTAAAGGTACGTAAAGGTACTTCACTTAAAGTAGGAGGCCAAGAAAATGGTCTGCACAGGTACTCAGGGAGATGCAGAAGCTTGGACACAGTCAGAAAAGGCGTAAGTGTTCACCAGGAATGCTAGCTTGGAGAACTTTCGCCCTTAATGTGGCACTCTCTTTTTTTAAAGGAAAAATTCCATACCTCAGGAAAGCAAGATAGGAACCAAACATGAAAAATTGTAAACCCTTACTATCACAGGCCAATTGCAAAGCATCAAATATGTGCACGTTGGCAAAGAAATTGTTCCTGAAAAAAGTGCAAATTGCTACTTCACTGCATGTAAATGAACCACTAATTGCTTCTTGCAAACAATATTTATGCAAATGGCCCCGCACTCTGCAAAGCTGCACAGATTATCCATTTGCATGTACATTCGTCTCTGCCCTTCCTTTCATCTCTCAGCGAGCGGAAGAACTGCAGACACCAGCTAGCTGGCGAGCCCCCACCACACACACACACACACACACACACACACACACACACACACACACACGCTGCCTTTCTCTGTGTTCCTGCAGGTCCCTCTCTGCTACCTCCTTCCCTGCTCTTTCCCCATCATCTCTGCCCCACAGCTCCACAGGAAGAGAGTTAAGTGTCCCCCAGTCCTGCCTTGCATATATAATGGTCCTGTTCTCAAAGCCTCTCTGCCTGCACATGAACGTAAAGGCCTAAGCCCTCCGCCATGCTGCCGGAGCTAACAGCATCAGGCTCCTTCAGCAAAGCCCACAGACAACCTAGGAACTTAGAGAAACCTTTTGCAAGGCACAACACCATTGTTCTAATATGTAAAGACTTTCTAGAAATCAATAAGAGCAGGGCCTACATGTTAATAGAAGAATATAATCAAGTAAGATAAACAGGTGCAGAAAATAAAATCAACTAATTCTTAAACATGTGAAGAGTCTTAAAATCATTCACAATCAATAAATGCACTCTAACACTCTCTAAGAGGACTTCTGAGCAACCAAAGAGAATGGAACCTGCCTAGGTCTGCATCACCCCCAAAATCCTCCAGAATCAGTGCAGGTCAACAGGAAGGTCAAGTGAAACCACACAAAGACAGGAATGCCCCAACTTCAAGTCAACCGCAGGGGAAAAAAGGGAAAAAGAAAAACATCCCAGCAAGCGATTTCTCACATTCTTTGCAGTAGGTAGGAGCAGTCCAAGAATAAGACAGGAAAGAGAGAAGAGGAAAGCTAGAGAGGGGTGTAGGAGTGCTCTAAAACCGGCAGAAATAGCACCGTTCCGCACGTGTGAAAACACGGAACAAGTGCCCTTTAGGTCCGCCTGCTAACTGCAGAGATGGGCCCGAAAAGCACACACAACCTGAAGTGGCACCTGTGAAATGCAGAACTTCAGGAGAAGCAAACGAGGAAAAGAAGGGAGATGTGCTCTTTAGGCATCCAGCAGCCAAGCCAAAAAGGAGGAAAGGGGAGAAGTCCCAGGTCCTGTAGGAAAAGGTGAACCAGAAAATGCAGAGGGCACACATCCCCCACTCCCAGCACACACTCACACACAGATTCATGCGAGAAACTAGACTTCGCCACGCCGACAGAACAGACTGTGCTGAAGCAGGAACCTTGTAAACCACCCAAACTCACAAAATGATCAGAAGAGTATTGTCTATTTAAAGCTACTACAAAAATCAACACACCTCATTTGATAAAAATCCCCACTCCTGGAAAAAAAGAAGTAGGAAAAAAACAGCAAGGCCACACTCTAAAGTGAATGAAATATACTCACAGAAGCACCTGGGGAATAGGAAAACCCACCCTGAGTCAGAAATTCAAACTCTTGGAATATAAGTAGACAAAAGCAGAAAGAAATAAAAAGGGTTGGCTGAAACCAGAAAAGAAAGGAAAGAAACGGACAAAATTGTCTCAGAAATGAAGGCTGAATTATGAGATGCCCAAGAAATAATAGACTTAAATAAAGAAAGGCAATAAAGTAGAAAAGTAACTAAGAGAATGAAAATGAGACCATAAAAGAAATAAAAAGGGCCACAGAGAAGTGGGGAACATGGGAAACAAGCAAAGAAGGAATCATACATGCATAACTGGAGCCCCAGAAGATGCGAAACAAAGCAACGGGACAGGCATCATACGTAAGACCTTAGTCCAAGAAGATGCCTCAAAATTAAAAGACGAGTGTATGTATTGAAAGGCCCACCCCCATAGATGCCGAGATAATTAATCAGACATGACCAACTCTGAGAAAATATCTAATGAAATTATTATGTTTCAAAAACAAATTAAAAATAGCTTACAAGAGCAAAGGAGCCCGCCTGGCATCAGATTTCTCAAAAGTAATAGCAAAGCAGGGCAAAGTGGAGCAACATTTTCCAAACATTGGTGAAAGAAACTCTGCACCAAGGATTTTTTATTATAGAGAAAATATGTTGGTATTTCTGCAAGGTCATGGCTTTCTGAGAAAAAATTACTGGTAACCTGGGTTAACGGATGCCTGGAAGGGAAACCAGCCTAGAAAGACTCAGATAATGAAACACCCAGGGGAAGGCCCAGTGGCTCCCACCTGTAGTCTCAGCACTTTGGGCGGAGGTGGGAGGATCACTTGACCCCAGAAGTTTGAGGCTGCAGTGAGCTATGATGCACCACTGCACTCCAGTCAAGGCAACAGTGTGACATATCAACTCAAAAGAGAGAGAGAGAAAAGAAAGAAAGAGAGAGGGAAGGAAGGAAGGAACGAAGGGAAACAGAGAGGAAGGAGGGAAGGAAGGAAGGGAAACAGAGAGGAAAGAGAGAAGGAAGGAAGGAAAAGAGAGGAAGGAAGGAGGGACGGAAGGAAGGAAGGGAGGGAGGGAGGGAGGGAAGGAGTGAGGGGAGGGGAGAGGAAGGGAAGGGAAGGAGAAAGAGAGCAAGAAAGCAAGAAAGCAAGAGGCCAGGCGCGGTGGCTCACACCTGTAATCCCAGCACTTTGGGAGGCTGGGAGCAGGTGGATCATGAGGTCAAGAGATCTAGACCAGCCAGGGCAACATGGTGAAACCCGATCTCTACTAAAAATAAAAAAATTAGCTGGGTGTGGTGGCAGGCGCCTGTAGTCTCAGCTACTCGGGAGGCTGAAGCAGGAGAATCTCTTGAACCCGGGTGGCTGAGGTTGCAGTGAGCCGAGATCGCACCATTGCACTCTAGCCTGGAGACAGGGTGAGACTCTGTCTCAAAAAAAAAAAAAAGAGAAAGAAAAAAGAAAGGAGAGAGAGAAAGGAAGAGAAAGAAGGGAGGGAGGGAAAGAGAGAGAGGAAGGAAGGGAGGGAGGGAGGGAAAGAGAGAGAGAGGGAGGGAGGGAGGGAGGGAGGGAAAGAGAGAGAGAGGGAGGGACGGGGGAGAAAGAAAGAAAGAAAGAACCCAGGGAAAAGGTTGACAGGTTTATCTCCCTTTTGGTATGTGTTTAGATTTCCAAGCCAGATGAAAATCAGGACCGTTACTTTACATCCCAAAGAACTGTAAATCTGGGACCTTTCCCTTCTCTTCTCAGAGAGGATCTGTTGACATTAGAAAATAAGGTTTATCTTACACTCTCCCATGGGTGTAACAGTTCCTACATCAGCTCTAAGACTCATAATCTTCAGGTTTCCCTCCTGTAGAGCAAAACCCCCTTTTGCACAGGCAGCCTCCTCTCGCTATCACCACATTGTCCCAGGTGGGCAGCAGTCACGAGGAACCAATGCCAATATGTTCTGTAAATAAAAAGTGGGTCTCCCTCTAATCCAGAAATGTTATGCTCACTCGTAGGATTGTCAGTGGTGTTGGAAGCAGAGCGACTCCATCTTGAGTGAGGGCTGGAAAATGATGTGCTCGCCCGTAGGATTGTCAGAGGCGTTCGAACCAGAGCGACTTCATCTTCAGTGAGGGCTGGAAAATGAGACGGGGATTTGCTGAGCTGCATCCTCAGAAAGTGAGGCATTCCAAGCCTCTAGATGTTTACAGTTAAGGGAACAAATGAATAATGTTTACTAAACAGACCCAGACTTGGGAGTGTTCGGCTATCCCAATATCTAGAGAACAACGGCATTCCTAATTTTGCTTTAAAGGTAATAATATCAATCCTTGCAAAATATAGCAATTAAGAAAATTAATTCTTTATCACAAACCCTTGTAGCAGAGCGCATCTCCCCATATATACCAGCATTGTACCTAGGGTGGACGCGTTCCTCCTCTTACTTTCGGGAACGCTCTACTCTGTCTACGAAGTAGCTGTCCTTTTACCACTTTACTTCCTTAATAAGCTCGCTTTTACTTTGCACTGTGGGCTCGCCCTGAATTCTTTCTTGTGTGAGATCCACGAACCCTCTCTTCGAGTCTGGATCAGGACCCCTTGTCCTATAACAGGATGAAATAGATAAGCATAGATATACAAATATATCAATATCTAGTGAAGCTTCCCTTCAAATATCAAAACTATGGAAAACAGTTTTAACAATACAAGAACTTAGAACATTCTGAACCAGGAGCCCTTGTCTTATTTTTTTATTTATTTATTTTTTTTTTGAGATAGAGTCTCTCACTGGGACGCCCAGGCTGGAGTGCAGCAGGAGTGCAATGGGGCAATCTTGACTCACTGCAACTTCTGCCTCCTGGGTCCAAGTGATTCTCCTGCCCCAGCCTCCCTAGTACCTGGGATTACAGGTGTGCGTCACCACACTTGGCTAATTTTTGTATTTTTAGTAGTGATGGGGTTTCACTATGTTGGCCTGGCTGGTCTCAAACTCCTGACCTCAAGTGATCCGCCCACCTCAGCCTCCCAAAGTGCTGGGATTACAGGTGTGAGCCACCGCACCCGGCCCAAGAGCCCTTCTTGAAGAATCTACTAGAATATTAACTTCATCCAACCCAAAAGATGACTGTGCTCCTTCAGCACAAGGAGCATCATAAGGGCAGAGGGTGAAAGGTTCATAACTAATGTTGTGTGCAGTGACAAGGTAGGAATATCGCAACTTTGAAACGCTGGAGAAGAGAGAGGGAAGGAGGAAAATAGCATCAGCTCACTTACGGTGACACAGGCAATCAGGGGGACAGTTAGTTACTGCCCAAAACTAACAAACCCACGGTGAAAGTTTAGGTGAGAAAACAGGAAACTAAGGGCACTTAAAAAGGATAAGCAATCCTTAGAATAAAAATACAAACCCCTGAGAAAAATAACAGGAAAGAAAGAGCAAAGCTTACACATCACATGGCGAATGTCACGATATACACATATTAGAAAATATTATAACAGCTGACGCTGAATGCATGAATCTGTCTTGGTCCTGTTAGGCTGCTCTAACAAATACCTACAACTGGGAAGTTCACAGGCAACACAGTTCTTGGGGCTGAGAACTCCAAGGTCAATGTGCCAGCAGATTCGATGCCTGTGAGGGTGCTTTCCACGTGTCCTCACAAGGCGAAGCGGCAAGCGGTTCCCTCGGGCCTTAACAAGGGCCTTAACAGGGCACTAATCCTGTTCCAAATGGGCAGCCCTTCTCACATCCTAGTACAACACCTTGGGAGCTGGGTTTCAACATAGGAATTTTGGGGGGACGTGAACACTTAGACCATCACAAAGTCATGGGCTTGATTCACTTACCACAGGAAAAAAAATCACTTTGGCTCACAAGTGACATCCAACTACATGCTGTATTCAAGACACAGCTGAAGTAAAGTGATCCAAAATGCTGGAATTGAAGGGATGAACGAAGGTACATGAGTCATATAAATGCAGCAAGAAAAGAAATGGGGACCACGCTAGCAGGCAAGGTAAAATTCAAGACAAAAAAGCCTTAGGCAGCACGAAGAAGGACTTTTTAATGCAAAAAGACAAGATTCACGCAAAGATCAGTTATGCAACAAGTAACTCAGGGCCAGATGTGGTGGCTCATGCCTGTAACCCCAGCACTTTGGGAAGCTGAGGCAGGCAGATTGCTTGAGCCTCAGGAGTTCAAGACCAGCCTGGGCAACATGGCGAAACCCAGTCTCTACGAAAATTAGCTGGGCATGGTGGGCATGCCTTGGTCCCAGCTACTAGGAAGGCTGAGGTGGGAGGATTGCTTGAGTCCAGGAGGTTGAGGCTACAGTGAGCCGAGATCATGCCACTGCACTCCAGCCTGGGTGACAGAGCGAGACCCTGTCTCAAAAGTAAATAAATAAAAATAACTCAGCAACCACCTTCAAGGAGCAAAAACACAGAAACTGTAAGGAGTCATAGCAGCAAACTAGCAATAGGAAACGTTAGCATATCACTCCCGGAGCAAGGCGGCTCAAGGGAACAAAAAAATAAGTAAAGTGGGTCGGCTTGTGTCCGCCAGGAAGCAGGCAGGCGCTGAAGTCAGGATGTAAGAGGTGCATTAGGGGCAGCACCTACGGAAGGTGAAGGTGAAGCAGGCACAGGATTGGACAGGCAGAGCCGGGGGCTGAGACGTATGTCTCACAAAGTCTCAACAACCCTGGGGGAGGTTTAAGGCAAAGACTGCATGAAAGGCCCAGGTGAACAAAACTGGCCAGGTCCTCATCCCATGCCTGCCCCTGCCATTGCCTGAGGCTGCCCAGGAAGAACAAGGCCTGCTGCAAGCATTGTGGCAGCCCCGGAAGGGGCTACAGCTGCAGGCCATTGGCTAACTGCTCCTCTCCAGCAGAGAGACAAATGCTTCTGGAAAGGAGATCTGAGCAGCTCACCTCCCTGGCTGCCACATAGAACACAGAAGATCTAAACAACACAGCGGCTCCAGTAGAGCCAGTGGGTGCATTTTATATTCACACACACACACACACACAGACACACACACACACACAATTTACAGTTTTAGCCTGGAGATGGATGGTGGTGATGGTTGCTGAGCGATATGAATGTAGTTAACGCCACTGAACTGTTCACTTACAATGGTTAAAATGGTAAGCTTTATGTTATTATATTTCACACTTAAAAACCTACACTAAGATACCTTCTCATATGGATAGAAATTACAAAGCATGACAATATACTCTGTTGGCAAGGCTGTGGGAAACAGTAACTCTTATACATTACTAGTGGGAGTGTAAACTGCTACAAGCCTTTAGGAGGTGAATTTGGAGTTGTTTTTTTTTTTTTTTTTTGAGACAGAGTCTCGCTCTGTCGCCCAGGCTGGAGGGCAATGGCGCCATCTCAGCTCACTGCAACCTCCGCCTCCCAGGTTGAAGCGATTCTCCTGCCTCAGCCTCCCGAATAGCTGGGATTATAGGTGCGTACCACTGCACCTAGCTAATTTTTTTTTTTATTTTTAGTAGAGAGGGGTCTCACCATGTTGGCCAGGTTGGTCTCAAACTCCTGGCCTCAGGTGATCCTCCGGCCTCGGCCTCCCAAAATGCTGGAATTACAGACGTGAGCCACCAGGCCCAGCCGGAATTTGGAGTATCTTACCAAACTGTGGCCTGTAGTCACATTTCCACCCGGCTATCCCACCTCTGGGGAGCCACACGGAAACTGCGTAAGCCCAGAGTTATTCATTGCAGCCTATATGGGGAAACCCTGTATATCAGGCAACTGGAGAGTAGTGGATAAACCATAATACATTCATGCAATGAAGTTCTATGCAGCTTTGAAAAAGAGTGATAAAGACTCCTAAGAACTCAACTCTGTGAGTGGCTTCCAGATGAACTTTTTACATTATAAAAGCAAAGAGCAGAACAGCATCTATAGAATGCTCTCTTTGTGTAAGAAGTAAATGGAAACAGGAAATTAAACATGCAGCTACTCTTTTGTGCAAAAAGAAACACAGTGATATGGTTTGGCTCTGTGTCCCCACCCAGATCTCATGTTGAATTGTAATTCCCAGTGTTGAAGGTGGGGTCCTGGGGGCAGGTGACAGGATCATGGGGGTGATTTCTAAAGGTTTAGCAACACCTCACTAGTGCCATCTCCTATAGAGTTCTCACCAGATCTGATGTTTGAAAAGTGTGTAGCACCTCCCACTTTGTTCTCTCTCTCTCCTACAGCCATGTGAAGATGTGCTTGCTTCTCCTTCACCTTCCACCATGATTGTAAGTTTCCTGAGGCCTCCCAGCCATGCTTCCTGTATAGCCTACAGAACTGTCAGTCAATTAAACCTCTTTTCTTTATATTAACAAATTACCCATTCTCAGATAGTTCCTTATAGCAGTGTACGAATGGACTAATACAAGAATAATAAACGAGAAACATATAAGGTTGTTTGGCTATAGAGGCTTGGATAAACCAAAGGAGTGGAAAAGATGGGGGAATGGGAACAGGGTAGCAAGTGGGGGAGAGACACTGTGGGCACTTTTATTTTCTATTGTTCTGACTTTTAGAACCATGTTAATGCTTCACATGCTCAAACATAAATAAGTAACTAAAATTTATTAAAAGAACCAGAGCTGCTTGGAGAAATAACTGGAGAAGGGAAAAATCATAATCTTGAACTACAGAAGTAATCAAAAAAATGAGAGGGATGTGTCAAAAGAACACAGGGGTGGCCAAAAGTAGCTCCCAATGGCATCGGCTGGGAAATCTGTACAACAACATAAATAATAATCACATTGAACTAAAATAGCTAAAATCAGAATTCATGGGTCTATACTGCTATAAATAATTGAAGGAATAATGAATAAATATATAAATTATAAAAACATTCAAAAGAAAACTATGGTCATTAGAATTTTTAAAATCAGTGAATAGATTCATAGAAGTTAAGACACAGCTGTAGAGAAAATTACTATCTGTAAAGGTCTGAAGAAATCATCCAGCAGGCAGAGCAAAGAAATGAAAAGAGGGAAGATATGAAAGAGCGTCAAGAAGGAAAGAATGAAGTTTACCTTATCTCTAATTGGAGCTCCAAGAGAGAATAGAACTGAGACCATGTTTGAGAGACCGTGTGCCGGTCCCCAAAACCACCCCCAAACATGAGATTTGCTAAAAGGATTCACAAGACCCAGCACATTGTCATACTCATGGCTAAGATTTATCACGGCAAAAGAATCCACAGAAAAATCAGCAAAGGGA
This sequence comes from Homo sapiens, assembly GCF_000001405.40. NCBI lineage: Eukaryota > Metazoa > Chordata > Mammalia > Primates > Hominidae > Homo > Homo sapiens. Next base: position 104,627,585 of record NC_000014.9, read on the forward strand.
AAAGTCTCATGGGGTGAAATCTGGAGGAAACAAGGCACAAGTTTCCAGGAGCCCTGATATGGTTTAGATCTGTGTCCCCACCCAAATCTCATGTCAAATTGTGATCCCCAATGTTGGAGGTGCGGCCTGGCAGGAGGTGCTGGAATCATGGGGGTGGATTTCCTATGAATGGTTGAGCACCATCCCCCTTGGCACTGTCCTCATGATGATGAGTGAGTTCTTATGAGATAGAGCTGCTTAAAAGTATGTAGCCCCTCCCCACTCAGTCTCTTCCTCCTGTTCTCCATGTGACGCACCTACTCCCCCTTCTCCTTCCACCATGATTGGAAGCTTCCTGAGGCCACCTCAGAAGCTGAGCAGATGCCAACATCATGCTTTCTGTACAGCCTGCAGATCCATAAGCCAAGTGACCCTCTTTCCTTTATAAATTACCCAGTCTCAGGTATTTTTATAGCAATGCAAAAATGAACTAATATAACTCCTTTCCTAATAATAGTCACATAAGATGAACTTAATTCCCCCAGCAACAAATTGTGATGACACAGGTGAGTTATTGTCTACCAAAGCAGCTCATCAGAGTTGCAGTACCCAGGGATTCCAGCTGGTCACACAGGCACCCCCTGCCTAGCACATACCAAAACTCCAGGCTCCCAGAAGAAAAGCAGGTGTTTAGCATAAACTAACTTTACTATTTGCACAAACTGTTTAGAGACAATGAGCCACTCACTCTTGTCAGTTCTAGAAATGACAAGCACCCTCCTGAAATCCATGTTTGGCCAAGGCCATCCTTGTGAGTAGCCTTTCTAAGGGTGAGCAGTCTCAGGCTTGCCACAGTCATTCTTTTCTTCACAGATACAATGGCTGAGAGGTTTCCAGAATTGATGAAAGACAGGGATTCTCAGATTCACAATTCCTAATAAGTTCTAGGCAGAATAAATAAAATTAATCACATTCCTAATTATATCTCAGTGTATAACTGCAGAACATCATGACAAGGAGAATATATTAAGAGTAAACAGCAGGCCGGGCACGGTGGCTCATGCCTGTAATCCCAGCACTTTGGGAGCCCGAGGCGGGTGGATCACGAGGTCAGGAGATCGAGACCACCCTGGCTAACATGGTGAAACCCCGTCTCTACTAAAAATACAAAAAAAATTAGCCAGGCGTGGTAGCAGGCATCTGTAGTCCCAGCTACTCGGGAGGCTGAGGCAGGACAATGGCGTGAACTCGGGAGGTGGAGGTGGAGGTGGCAGTGAGCCGAGATTGCACCACTGCACTCCAGCCTGGGCAACAGAGTGAGACTCTGTCTAAAGAAAAAAAAAAAAAAAAAAAAAAAACAGAGTAAACAGCAAAAACCAGAAGTATTGGTTTGCTAGGCCTGCCATAACAAAATACCACAGACTGGGAGGCTTAAACAACAGAAATTCCTTTTCTCAGTCCTGGAGGCTGGAAGTCCAAGCTCAAGCTGTCGGTGTTGGCAGGTTTGGTTTGTGCTGAGGCCTCTCTCCTTGCCTGGCGGATAGCCACCTTCCCAGTATGCTCTTCCATGGCCTTTCCTCCGTGTGTCTCTACCTCTTCTTATAAGGACACCAGTCAGATTGGATTAGGATCCCCCTCAGTGGCCTCGTTTTTAACTTAATTACCTTTTATAGACCTTATCCAAACACGATTACATTCTGAGGTACTGGGGATTGGGATGTCATCCTGGGGAGTGGGGCACAATTTAGCCCATATTGGCAGATAACCTACAAGGGAACTATAATTCAGCTGACTTCTTAACAACAACAATAGAAGCCAGAACAGAGTGAGGAAATGTCTTCACCATGCTGAGAGAAAGTATGTGTCAACCTGGAATTTTATACCCAACAACATTGCCAGTCAGGGTGGCAACTATATTTTTTAAAACACTTTCAACAAACAAAAATTAAAAATTGAACAATCACATTCCTTCACTGAAAGAATTCCTAAAGGATATTTTTCAGAGAGAAACAAATTAAATCCAAAGGAAGGAGTGAGAGTCAAGAAGTAGTGGTGGGGTGCTAGGCATGGTGGCTCACACCTGCAATCCCAGCACTTTGGGAGGCCAAGGCCAGTGGATCACCTGAAGTCAAAAGTTCAAGACCGGCCTGGGCACCATGGTGAAACCATGTCTCTACTAAAAATACAAAAATTATCCAGGCATGGTGGTGGGAGCCTGTAATCCCATCTACTCAAGAGGCTGAGGCACGAGAATCGCTTGAACCCAGGAGGCGGAGGTTGAAATGAGCTGAGATCGTGCCATTGCACTTCAGCCTGGGTGACAGAGTGAGACTCTGCCTCAAAAAAGAAAAAAAAAGTAGTGGTGAGGAGAAAATATAAAATATGTAAGTAAATCCAAATGAGATTAATCGTTATTAAATGATGATAAGGACAAATTTTGTGATATGAAAACAAGAAATAAGATGAAACTAAAATAACAGTTCAGAAAAACACATACAGAATAGTATAATTACCATTCAAATATTCCAACGTCCTTTTAATATTCTAGAGGATTGTATAGATTTTGATTGCGTTTAGACTTTAAGCCAAGTATGCATGTATCTACTAAAAATAAAAACAGAATTTGGAAAGAAAAAGGAAGAAGGAAAAAAATGCCTCAGCCCCACAGAAAACAGAAAACGAGGGAGAAAGAAGCCAAGGAAAATCACAAGAAATAAAAATCACAAAATAAAATTGCAGAAGTGAATCCAAATGTGTCAATAAATATGAATAAACTGAACTTGCAAGTTAAAATAGAGCTTCGACAAAACCAAATCCAGCTATACGCTTTCCTAAGAGATGCAAAATACAGAAACACCAACAATTTAGGTTTCAAGAAGAAATTTTAAAAATTAGCAAATACTTTATTCTCTTTAAGTTTATGAAGTTATATTAATACCAAACAAAATAAATGTCAAGTAAAAAAGCATTAGTAAAGATTCAGAGATTACCGTAGAATGACAAACATAGCTCAAATATATAAATAAAAAAGGTTCAGATTACAATGAAAAATTGACAAGTTGACATCAGAGTGGAAGATTTTCCACTTCACAACTGAAAATCATAAAAACTAATAAGGATCAGAAAGAAGAGAAAAGCACAGTGAAGCAGCACAGTCTAAGGAGATGCAGCTGAAGTAATGCTGGGAAGGGAAATATGTAACCTAAAACTGCACATATTGTAATATAATAGATAGTTAAAATTCTTGAGTTAAGAATCTAAATCAAGAAACACGAAACCAGCCACACCACAAACCCAAGAAAGGAATGGAACCATAAATGTATGTGCAGAAATGAATGGAACAGAGAACAAAAATCGCTAAGAATGACTGGCCAAAACTAGATTTTTTTTTCTTTTTTTTCGAGGCAGAGTCTCACTCTGTTGCCCAGGCTGGAGTGCAGTGGCATGATCTCGGCTCACTGCAACCTCCACCTCCCGGGTTCAAGCAATTCTCCCACCTCAGCCTCCCGAGTAGCCGAGACTACAGGTGCGCGCCACTACGCCTGGCTGATTTTTGTATTTTTAGTAGAGACGGGGTTTCACCACGTTGCCCAGGCTGGTCTTGAACTCCTGACCTCAGGTGATCCACTGGCCTCGGCCTCCCAAAGTGCTGGGATTACAGGTGTGAGCCACCGAGCCCAGCCAAATCTAGATTTTTGAGAAGCAAAATGGTAAAATAGACTAACCTGTCTGTAAGTACTGTTTTAGCTGAACCCCACAAGTTTTGATAAGTAGTTATTATGCAAATCTAAACATTTTCTAATTTCTTTTATGATTTTGTCTTTGAAAATGAATTATTTATACGTGTGTTTTTCATTTGACAACTATGGATTTTGTTACTACCTTTTGTTACTGATTTCCAAGTTTACCACAGTTTGATCACAGAATATGGCCCCAACAAACCACTTTTTGGTATTTTTGAAATGTGGCCAACTTTTGAAAATGCCCCATGGGTGCCTAGAAAGCATGTGTGGCCTGGGATTGAGTGCAGTTACCCCAGGTGTCTATTCAAACAAACTTAATTGTGCTTTTCACATCTTCCCTATCCCTGTTCATTTTTATAGTTGTCAGTTATTTGTGACTGCCGAGCACTTGAAATGTGACTGGTACAACTGGCGTGAGAAGCTGAATTTTAAATGTTATTCAGTGTTAGTTCATGGAATTTATTTATTTTTTTATTTTTTTTGAGACAGAGTCTTGCTCTGTCGCATCGGCTGAGTGCAGTGGTGCCATCTCGGCTCACTGTCACCTCCACCTGCCGGCTTCAAGCGATTCTCCTTCCTCAGTCTCCCGAGTGGCTGGGATTACAGGCGCCAACCACCATGCCCGGCTAATTTTTATATTTTTAGTACATGTTGGTCAGGCTGGTCTCGAACTCCTGACCTCAGGTGATCCACCCACCTCGGCCTCCCAAGTGCTGAGATTCCAGGTGTGAGCCACTGCACCCTGCCAGTTCATGGGATTTAAATAGTTCCACGTGCCTAGTGGCTACAGGGCTGCACAGTGCACAGGGCAGGCATCAAAGCTGCTGTTGAACAAGCGGCATGGGGAACTTTGGCTTTCCGCACAGGATGCATTAAATTCAATTCCTGCGGGGCGTGGTGGCTTGCGCCTGTAATCCCAGATACTTAAGAGGCTGAGACACGAGAATCACTTGAATCCAGGAGGCGGAGGTGGCAGTGAGACAAGGCTGTGCCACTGCACTCCATCCTGGTGACAGAGCAAGAGAGTGAGACTCTGTCTCAATTAAATAAATAAATTAATTAAATTCCTATTCTATACCACATACACATTAAATTCCACACGGATCAAAGACTAACAGGTGAAAAGCAAAACTATAAAACTTTTCAAAGAAAGCTTGGGAGAATATGCTTGTGATATTGACGAGCAGGATGATTTCCTAAACAAGTCACAGTGTTAACAAACAATAATGGAACATACTGATAAATTTGTCTGGATTAAAATGTAAAATGTCTGAAAGTCAAAAACAGACTACAAAGCGAAAGGCAAACACAGACTTGGAGAAAATCTGCAATGCACGTGACTAATAAAGAATTGGAATCCAGGATACAGAAAGAACTCCTATGAAAGTCAATTTTAACAAAAAAGACATCCAACCCAGCTGAAAAGTGAGCAGAGGGTATGGTCAAGGTCATTGTGTCCCCAGCTCTTCACACAAGGCACACTGGGCCCCTGCCACCCTCCAGCCCTGCCTGACTCCTCCCGGGAGAGGACTGAGCCACCAGACAGGCAGGTGGCAGGCATGGGTCTCCACCTCTGTGTCATGGAAGAAATCTCTTCAAAGGCCATGCGCTCAGGACCTGGGCTCTTTTCTCCTCTCTCTGCCCTCAACCTTTGCAAAGCAGCAACCCTGGAGAGGCTGCCGGCTGTGCCTCCCGACGCGCCTCCAGGTAGAAGGCCCCGCCACACACCCTGTGCATAACTTGGTCCCCTCCTCCGCCCTTGCTTTGCAGTGTAGAGGGTGATTTCCCAACACCTGTAGACTCTGATGCTCAGGCTTCCCCATCCTACTCAGATGAGGGACGCCAGAGGGTCTTTGCTGATTTCCTGAAACCTCAGCAGGAAGGCGCAGGTTAGTCTCAAGGAGAAGAACCAGGACCGGCCAACGCACCCGTACAGCACTGCTCCAGGTGCACGAAATGCCAACTGGAAAACAGAGAAGCTACTTCCCAGCCACCGGCCTGGGAGCACCCATGGAGCACGGGGGTCAGAAACTCCTACTTCCTCCACGGGTGGGGCAATGGGATGCAGCTGTCATGCTTGATTTATTCCAGAGGGAGCTGTCAACAACAAATAGCGCACAATGTCGGCCTGCGCTCTTGCGTTATTTTCTGCACTTCTGTGGAGGCCAGTCGTGTCGCACCACTGAATAACGTTTCCAGTGGAATATACCACAAACGGCCACAGAGCTCCTCTTGGTCTTGTTTATATGCCTGTTTTCTGAATGTGCTTCTGTGCTTTGTACAGAAAAAGAGTAAGATATTTGGCTGCCACCAGGGCCAATGTTTGCCCCATGGGAGTGACATTGCCACTGGTGAGAACAAAGAGCCCCTTGCAACACAGTCACGTCTGGATGGCCTCCGCCATTGCGCTGGGGCCAGGCAGGCACAGAAATGGCAGCAGACCAGGGCCTTCAGGCCCAGCTGCCCCTGACTTAGCCTGAGGCCCTGCAGTGCCAACAGCAGAGGCCCCCACGGTGCGAGGCAGCCGTGCTGCCAGGGCGGGCTCCAGGGAGCTGAGCCCATGACCACCAGCCCCAATCTACTGTCCTGCTGCCTCCCACAGCTACGCAGGGTTCCCCCAGGAGCCCACCCCTTGCTGCCGTGACCACCATCGCTTCCTAGCTGAGAGCCCACCCTTGCTGGCCTCTGCCTGGTTCTTGATGAATTCAGCCCCATCCATCCTTCCCTCCTGGCAGCCTGTTAGTGGCTCTGGGGAAGCTGGCACTGATTAATGACAGCAACAGACGACACCCATCTGCCCATCAGGTGAAAACTCGCCGCTGTCATCTGTCCTGTCAGAATCTACGAGCAGCATGGGAGCCCGCCTGGCTGGGACCCCGCGTCCCTGGCCGCCCCCTGGCCTGAGGTTCCAAGCAGGGCCTCAGACTGATGTGGGGACAGATGAGACCGGTGGGGCCAGAAGGGCTAGCTCTGAGCCTGCCGGGGGCTGACCAGGAGCCCTGTCCCCACAGGGCAGCTGCCTTTCTCAGACCACTCTGAGGTGAGCAGTGGACCCCGAAGGTGGGCTGGGTCCCCTGCCTTCACCTCCTCCCCTGTCAGGCCCCCCGAATCCGACTGACCTGGGTCAGCTCTGCCACCTGCCCTGTTCTCTCCAGCGCACCCAGGGCCTCGACTGAGCCACTGCCCAGGGTCCTGCTGTGAGTGGACCGGAACCAGCACGGGCTCCCGGCTACCACCTGCCCACCCCGCCAAGCTGTCCCACTGGGACCTGACAGGGAGGAGCCCACACTGGCACGCCTGACAACAGCCATAACCTTTCCTGTGCTGCAGAGAGGGAAACTGAGGCTCAGCAAGGCCAGACAATCTGACCGAGCACTGGCCTGGCCTCCTGACCCCAAAATCTGTGCCCCTGGGGAAAGAGAAGAAAGAGGTAAACGCATTCTACAGCGCAATCCCCACGCCAAGGGGTGTGTTCCCCTGCGGCAGGGCCCTGGGGTGGACATGAACACCCAGGTACCCCATGGCCTGCTGACCTCAAAGGGGAGAGGGCCCAGCTCCAGCAGCCCTGCCCCGCACCACCCCAGAGGGAGCCCAGAGATGGGTTGTCACGGCCAGGACACTACAGGGAGGGCCAACGGGACCAGGGGCTTCAAGCCGACAGCTTAGGGGGTGTTTTCTCTGCAGAAAACCCCTCTGCTCCCCAGCGGAGAAGCTGTGCCTGCACCTGGGATCTGCTTTGCATGTAGAGGGGGCAGTAGCCCCACACAGGAGGGGCTGACAGGGCCAGAGCACAGCCGAGACGCCGCGGCAACCCACAGAAGATTCCAGGACACAAGCCCACAGCCCACGGTGGACTGGGCAGGGGAGCAGTCGTGGGCTCCACACGTCCCAGAACGCCAAGCTGCCTGAATCGGGGAGGGGCTGGGGGTCGGCACACACAGGAGGCAAAGGGCATGGAGGGGCATCCCCAATCCCATCAACCCCGAAAGCCCCCGGGGGCCGGCCTAGGCGCCCCATGGACCTGCAGTTGATGGGGCCTGGTGCACGCCCGGAGGATGGGCCCTCAATAGCAGCATGAACAAGTAGCCCGGAGCCAGGAGATGCACCTGCCGCCCCAGGGAAGTCCCCGCCCTGGGAGGGTTGGGGTGTGGCAGCCAGTGGGGGTAGCTTCAGCTTCATCCACAGTTGAAGGATGTCTGGAAGGTGGGGAAGGAAGGGCCTCGCCCGCAGGACTGGCCGGGCCTGCCAGGAGGTTGGTTCAGTCTCGCCCTGCTGGGGGATGCATCCTGAGTGGAGGGGGCTTTCCAGCCTGCAAGGGTCACACAGGAAGCCTAGGGTCACTGGTGATGAGAGGACAGGGCTCCAAGGGGCTGGGCCATGTGACCCTGGCCCCACATCCCCTCTGAGGGGCTGGGCCGTGTGATCCTGGCCCCACATCCCCTCAAGGGGCTGGGCTGTGATCCTGGCCCCCACATCCCCTCAAGGGGCTGGGCTGTTTGATTCTGGCCCCACATCCCCTCAAGGGGCTGGGCTGTGTGATCCTGGCCCCACATCCCCTCTGAGGTTGAGGTGCGAGGATTCCACGCGTGTCCCCTCTCCTGCCCCGCATCCTCACCCGTGCTCTACCAGCATCCCAGCCCCGGCTCTTGCACCCATCCCTCCATCCTTTCTTCCCTCCCGCCTCCTTCCATTCCAACTGTGTGAGCTAGCTTGGGCACCGTGAGTGCGTACCACCCACCGGGGGTTTAAACCACAGACACCTCACCGTCCTGGGGGTGGAGATCAGGCGCAGTGCTGCACTGGGGCCCCGGGAAGCAGAAGACGGCTCCTGGCACATCTCCTGGGTGCATCTGTGGATTGCTGGGGCCCCCAGCAGCTCTCCCAATCCCCAGAAACCCCTCCTGGATCTGCTGTATCCACCTGGAGCCTCTTGGTGCACAGCGGCACACACAATACCTCCACTCTCCACCCCGAAGGATGCCCACTGCAGCGGGGTCCTCATCCACCCAGCCTCCAGCCACCCCATCCTAGGGCCACCGGGGTCCCCAGCCAGCTTCTAATTGTCACCCACGGCCAGTGCTCTTGGCTCTGGAGGAAGGAGATGGAGGCTTCGCTTGACGTTCATTCCTCATGGGTGTGGAGAGGCCCCCTCCAGGGCCCCTTCCCCTCACCCCACCCGGCAACCAGAACCGCGAATACTTCACACGGTACTTTGAATTTAATGGTTCACATGGGCTCCTCTCTGAGCTACTGCCTTTTATTTTATGACTAAATTAATATTATACATACAAGAGCACATTTAAGACACCCGCCAGAGGAGCAGGAACGGTGGTCGTGTGGGAAAGGATACATTTTTACGCACACGCGTCTCCGGGCCATTAACGGGCCGCGCGTCCATCTGTGTCCACAGCTGACCTTAATCCTGTCCCAGCGCCTGGGGCCTGAAGCTCGTGGAATCACCCGCCTCACGTGTCTTTGCGGCCCACTAATTTGTGCGTGTTCAGGATATATTGGGTTTCATAATTTTTATATGCAAATCAATAAAAAGCCCTTTGCTATCTCATTTAAATCAGCGAATAATTAACCAGGCTGTCCAGCCCACCTCCATTCTCCTCAAATCCCTGGAAGTGAGAGGGGCCAGCACTGACCAGGAGAGCAGGGTCCCAGGGCCCCCTCTGGACAGACTGCCCACACAGTGGGCGCTGGGTCTGCTGGACCCAGGAGGCCTGGGGGGCTGACCACCTCCTCCGGGACATGGTCAGAGCAATGGCCTGAGCCAGCCCTGCGAAGACCCTGGCTCCGAGAGAGCGGGGACAGTGACAGTGCTTCAGACAGTCACCCACTGAGGAACGGGCACCACCCGTCGCCCGAGACCTGTGTCGCCACCCACTGAGGAACGGGCACCACCCGTCGCCCGAGACCTGTGTCGCCACCCACTGAGGAACGGGCACCACCCGTCGCCCGAGACCTGTGTCGCCACCCACTGAGGAACGGGCACCACCCGTCGTCCGAGACCTGTGTCGCCACCCACTGAGGAACGGGCACCACCCGTCGTCCGAGACCTGTGTCGCCACCCACTGAGGAACGGGTACGACCTGTCATCCGAGACGTGTGTCACCACCCACGCACTCTGCACTCCAAGGCTCCACACAGAGAAACAAGGGCGTCGGGGATGCTAAGTCCAAATGCGATTCAGGGGAGCCCAGCTCTGGGAGTGGGGCATCTTAGGGCACCTTCATTCTGTGATTTTGCTTTTTTTCCCTGTTTATGGATGCGTAAGAGTGAGCTATGATAAAATCCTATGAGTAAGTCTGATAGCTCTCCCATGCATGTGAAGTGGAGCTTCTATGTGATAAAGCACTGTGTCATAGTTTTACAGGCAGCATTTTTTCTTTCTTAGAGGTACATAAAACAACAGCGCACCTTATAATCAGCGGCATTCAACAAAATGGTTAAAAAATAATACCCCGCAGTCCAGCAGGGTCTATGCAAGAGGAGGAAGAATGGCTCACATTAGATCAGACCCTCAGGTGACTCACCAGTCTGCTACAAGGACTAAGGGCCAAAAAAACCGCATGAATTATCTCAATAGACACAGAAGACCCATATAAAGTTCAACACCTATTTATAATTTCTAAAAACTCTCACAAGGCTACAAATAAAAGAGAACATCTTTAACCTGAAAAAACCTACTTTCCAGAAACCCCCAGGAAACATCAGACTTCACAGAGAAATCTAAGACACAATCTCTTCCAGACTAGAAATCAAGGGCGACCCTTATCACCACTCAGTTTAACATAATCTCGAAAGTCCCAGGAAACACTGCAAACAAAAAAAAAAAAATAAGAAATGAAGAGGTGTAAGGACTGGAAAGGAAGAGATAAAACTGTCACGACTGGTGGATAACGTGGCCATCTATGTAGAAAATGTCACTGAATCAACAAACTACTGGGACGAACAGTTACAAGATAAACCTACAAAAATCAATAATGTGACTCTATGGCAACAATAATCAGCCAGAAAATAAGATACCATTCAGCAACTGAAGCAATTAAGTGGATAGGAATTAAATTACCAAGGGACGGGCTGGCCGTTCGCTAAGAAAATTCTGGAACTCAGTGAAAGGACCCAGCCAAGCCACTGAAAGGAGAAGGCAGCATGGTCAGCTCGGGAGTGACCAGCAGCACAGCCCACGACGTCGCCAAATTAGCTTCTAGATTAGTGCAACGCAAAGCAAAGTTCCAGCAGGCATTTTAAAGACACCCGACCACAGCCCTATTCTCGGCACGTGATGGAAGAAGGGGCGTCCCTGAATGACAGGCTGATTGAAAAGCCAAGAGAAAGGGCTCACTCCACCAGAATGAAGATAAACTATGAAGCCATGGAAATGAAAGATAAAAATAAAAGCCAGCACGCTGCCGGTGACGGAGCAAGCCCACCCTGAACAGACTCAGGGACGTGTGGGAACTCCTTAGGTAAAAGGTGACTCCTACAAATCAAGGAGAACACAGCGTAGGGGAAAGTGGCTCGTTATACGGAGACAAAAAGTCACGCCGGCCGCAGATGGACTAAAGGGGAAACTGACAAACACAGCAGGGAGGCTAGGCAGGGCTCGGGGAGGAGGCGCACCCTCAGGACCGTGTTCACGCAACCCTAGCACCAAAGACCACCAGTAACCACCCTCCATGTCCGCACCAAAGTCAACAAAAGAAAGATGCCCCCTGACCACAGATGGAGAGTGGGCTGAAGGGAGCCTGGGGACCCCGCTGGGCTGTCCCCTGAAAGTGGCACCAAGCCTGCTGGAAGGCATCATCTGCTGGGCCCGAGGCCCACCCCAGACAACGCCAGCACTCTGGACCCCTCCTGCCAGCACTCAGCCACCCCCTGCCCACTCAGTCTTACCGAGGTGTGCATGGCCGACAGAGTTCAGGCACTGACTTTGCAGCTGGAGACAGGGCCTTGACCTCAGGGACTTTGGAGGTGTTGGGACCGGTCAGTGGGGACCCATTCTGTGGGACTTGGGCATGGAGAGCAGGTGCGGGCCAGGATGTAGCTGGGGCCACGGGCTGCACGGGGGGGGCCTCAGGGGCAAGTCCAGGGATTGTTCCAGCCCCCACTCCCAGGTCCCCCTGGAGACCCCACTTCCCTGATGGCCAACCGCAGTCCCAGCTTCAAACAGGTTCTTTGAGGGGGAGGAGAAGCAATCTCCTTCATATAAATGTTTAATTGGGAATTAATATGGATGAGGCTCTGGAGTGATGAGGCTGTGGGTTTAATAAATATTAACAAGGAATAGGCCTCCCCTTCCTGTGCTCTGTGCTAATCCCTCTGTGTAGCATCCATTATTCACCGTGTTTCTCAACGCCAACCCCGGGGATGGGGGTGGGGTCCTTCCTCCTGGGGCTCCTTCCATGGAGGTACTTTGAATCCCTGGCCTCGGGGGCTGAGGGTTCTACTACAGGATGGATGGATCGGCTTTCTGTGGGTGTGGAACTCTGACCACAAGGACACTCACTGGCCCATCTTCCATTGGCACAGACACACACTCACTGACCAGGAAATCTATATTCCAGCCTTACCTTCAGCCCCACTGGGCTCCTGCCACTGATGCCACCTCCACCAGGAAGCCCACCTGGTCTGCCCACAGGGAGCAGCACCCGTCCCTCAGGGCAGCCACAATCCTCTCTCCTGACCTGGCAGGGGCTCGGAGACCCAGCGACCCCGCCCAGCCCGCTGCAGGTGGGCTGCTGTGAGGGGACCCAGTTCTCTGATTGGACTCCACCAAGGGGTCCAGACCCTGTCCACACTGCTGCCTGGCCGGGCCGCAGGTGGAGCTCCGGCGCCCTCGTGTGGCCCGTGTGTGCAGGACCTCAGCCGTGCTGCCCCATGGGAGGATCCAGGGAGCCGAGCACAAGATCAGCGATTACCCAGGTCACAGTCCCAGGATGCACAGAGCCCGCGTGTGGCACTAGGAGCGAGCCCCACCCTCGGCTTGGGTTTGCACGGTCCCGGCAGTGCACTCGCTTCATAACCTGAGAACGTCCCTGTCCACACAGAGGAACAGCCCTCCTGCCTGAGCTTCCACCCCTACACTGGTCAGGCCCCCTCTGCTGCAGCTGCCCCCGGAATTCCTTGCAGGGATTGAGGGGTGGAGCCCGGGACCTCTGCTGCCCAGGCCCACTGAATATTGGGCAGCCCAAAGCCCTGACCCTACCTCCCCCTTGGCTCCTACACACCCCTGGGCACGTGTGCCTAGGGGCAGCACAGCCCCTCCCATCCATGGGATGCCAACCCCCTCTAGTGATGCCCACCACGTGCGGGGTCTCAAAGGCCCAGTCCTGTGCCCTGCCCACCCTCCTCATCCCTAGTGAGGATGGCCCCCCATCCCTGGTGCGCACGGCCCCCCATCCCCAGCATGGATGGCTTTGTGGCCTTAACGGGACCCTCCATGAATCTCCATGGGAAGTACAAGACCCATCCCCTAGTGCCTGCTCCACCCTCGGAGGGGCAGGACCGATGGGTTTCTGTGCCCACTCCACCCCTTTATCTGTTCCTCCTCCCCTGGGGCCCCACCAAAGCCACGAGGAGGGGAGGCAGGGGAAACAGCCCCCATTGGCTCCTGAGTTGACCCCAGCAAAGCACCCACACAGAGGCAGAAGCGGGGGGTCCTAAGAGGCCAGCTGTATCCAGGGGCTTCAAGATGCCCCCTGCACTCACTCAGCACCACCCTCACCCCACCCAGCCGGGCCGGACAGATAAGGGCCTGGGCCACGGGTCAGGAGCAGAGGGTGCTGGGGGCACAGACCTGTGAGGGTCGTGGGGGTGAAGGACCTCAGGCTGGAAAGACCCCAATGAGTGAGAAAGCCAGATCCCCATCCTTCCCAGCCCCCACCGTCCCCACTGCCCCCACTCACCCCCCGCCCAGGTATCCCCTGAGAAGGCAGGCTGGGGAGACAGGGAGAGGACAGTTAGGGTGAAGGGGACCAGGGCTGTGCTGGGGCTGGGCCGCTCTCACTCCATCCCTTAAGCCCCTTCCTCTCTCCAGCCTGCCCCCTCCACACCCAGCCTGCCCACTCCCGCCACCCCTCCCTGGCATCCCACAGCTGTGACCACAGCTGGGACACCACGGAGCACTCACCACAGCACTCGGAGCAGCCAAACCCTCCCCTTGGCCACAAGGACCTTCCCAGTGGCCCTCTCCAGTCTCACCTGCAAGCACCCCTCTGCTTACGCTCACAGAGGAGTGAATGCGTGAAGGCCCCACGGGGTGAATGAATGCGTGAAGGCCCCACGGGGTGAATGAAGGAGTGAAGGCCCCATCAGGTGAATGAAGTAGTGAAGGCCCCACGGGGTGAATGAATGAGTGAAGGTCCCACGGCGTGAATGAAGGATTGAAGGCCCCATCAGGTGAAGGAATGAATGAAGGCCCCACAGGGTGAATGAATGAGTGAAGGCCCCACGGCGTGAATGAAGGATTGAAGGCCCCATCAGGTGAAGGAATGAGTGAAGGCCCCACAGGGTGAAGGAATGAGTGAAGGCCCCACAGCGTGAATGAAGGAGTGAAGGCCCCATCAGGTGAAGGAACGCGTGAAAGCCTCATCAGGTGAATGAATGAGTGAAGGCCCCATCAGGGTGAATGAATGAGTGCAGGCCCCACAGGGTGAGTGAGGAGTGAAGGTGGCTCTGCAGCCTGCCCGGGGCCTGGTGAGTCTCACAAGCCCCGCATTCGCGCGGCCTGGTCTTTGTCCAGCAGAGTCTGAGCAGAGTCCCCTCCGTCTGCCCTGGCCCTGGGACCCCCTCTCTCCTCGACCCAGGGGAGGAGTCCATGCTCAGCCCAGGGCTGCTGGGAGATGAACCCGACTGCCTGTGGCTGCACCCCTGTGTCAGCCACCACTGCGGGTTTCAAGGCTGAAGCTCCACTTCCTTCCTCCCAGAAAGTCTCAGCACAGGACTCCATCCGGGATCCCTCAAGGTCGGAACGGCCCCGGGCCCACAGGGTGGGCCTTGTGGAGACATTTCTGCCAAGATGGAACTGAGAGCCGTCTCGGTGGTGGGAGAGGACAGCCTGCCTGGGGCTCGGGGGGAGGAAGCTGTTCTCGGGGCCTTTTCTGACCAGCTCTGAGCACTCTCTGGGACCAAGGCCTCTGGAGCACGGAGGCCTGGGGGCTGTGCTGGTCACCCACACACAGGACAGCCCCTGAGCCAGAGACAGCCATGCTCAGAACCCAGAGACCAGAGGCCCCAAGGGGAATGGCACCCTCCCCCACACCCAACCTGGTCAAGTCAGTGGAGCCACCGCCTGGCCTGGGGCTGGGCAGCCCACGGTGGTCCCAGAGGAGGAGAGTTGCCATGTAGTGACAGCCCCACAGAGGGGCACATGGAAGCACCCGGACCGGTCCGACCCCAGAAAGGCTCAGGCACTTGGGTGCTGGAAGAGGTGGGAGAGGCAGGACTGGGCTGCATGGAGGACGCCATCCACGGCCGCCCCTGGGCAGTCACCATGGTCCTGGGCAGTTACACCTACCACAGGGGACCACTGGCTCAGCTTCCTCCCCACAGCGTTCACTCCTCAAAATCCAGCTCTGGCGACCGCTGGTGCTTCCGCAGACTTAAGGGGAATTGTGTTATGAACCGGAAGGGAATTTCTCTGCTTTGGAGGCTGGGTGTGGTGGCTCACGCCTATAATCCCAACACTTTGGGAGGCCAATGCGGGCGGATCACAAGTTCAGGAGTTCAAGACCAGCCTGGCCAACATAGTGAAACCCCATCTCTACTAAAAATACAAAAAAAATTAGCTGGGCATGGTGACGGGTGCCTGTAATTCCAGCTACTCGGGAGGCTGAGGCAGGAGAATCACTTGAACCTGGGAGGCTGGGGTTGCAGTGAGCTGAGATCACACCATTGCAGCACTGCAGCCTGGGAGACAAGAGTGAAACTCCATCTCAAAAAATAAAAGAAAGAAAGGAAAGCCTAAAGGAAGCACAGGAGGCCGTCCGTCAGTCCGGAAGCCCACCCCAGAGCCCCCTTCTGGGATCTTGCATTGTGCAGAGAGGTGGCAAGGCCCCGTGCCCCTCCCCCACCTGCTACCCACCCGCCCCCCAGCCTCGTGTCCTGACAAGCTGGCCTGGAGGGTCAGGGAAGGGTCTTGTGTCAGGTTGCTTTGGGTGCTGGTGCCCCTCCCCAGGACAGGGAAGGGCAACGAACAAAAATGTGGGTGGGACCGGCATCCTGATGCTATCAGGGTGACACGGCCCAGAACATATTCCCCTTTATGGCCTCCCTAGAGAGCCAGGCCCCATCCCTTCCCCTCCACCAGCTCCTCACGCTCTGGAGGGATCACAGACCTAAGGAGAGCCAGGTCCCCACCCCAGGGGGCTCTACCAGGGGAGTTCAAAAAGAAAGAGAAGAAGGAGGTGGCATTGTGGGAATATTACCATCGTACTTCGCCTTGAAGGTAGATTTCAGGGCAAAAGTATTAATGGAACAAAGAGAATATTCTATTTAGGTCAGAAGTGTAATTCACCCTGTCGGCAAGCCCAGGGTTGTGTGTTTCACCCAGACATTGGTCTCCAAGGAGAGAAACCCTCTGCGATCCTTCTAATTGCACTTGTGCAAATGCTACACGCACGTCTCCCTGAGCTGACTCCAACACTCATTCATTCCTCCTGTGCCTGCAGGAAAGCCAGCCCGGGCATCTCAGAATATGAAGTTAATGTAGGAGAGGCCAGTGGTCCAGAATGTGTACCAGGATTCTCCAGAGAAACAGAGCCAATTGGATGTGTGAACGCCTATCTTCGTATGCATATGAGAGAGACTGATTGCAAGGATTGGCTCATGCGATTACAGCACTGAGAAGCCCCCAGATCTGCAGTCAGCCTGCGGGAGACAAAGGGGTCAGTGGTGTCAGTTGTAATCCAAGGCCAGGAGAAGACCCACGTCCCAGCTCAGTCAAGCCAGAAAAGCTCACTCCTACTCAGCCTCTTTGTTCTATTTGGGTCTTCAATTGATTGGATGTGGCACCCACACTGGGAAGGGCAATCTGCTTTGCTCAGATGGCAAATACTGCCCAGTCTGTGAGGCTCCCCGAGGCCCAGCCGAAAGCAGACCTCTCCCCGGGCTGCCCCCACAGCCACCCTGTGCAATTGGGCACCTGCAACCTGGACTTGGCAGCAGTCAGCATTGGAGCCATCGACTCAAAAGTCTCAGCACGTGGATTAGGAACTGAGCACTAGAAATCCACGCTGATTATTTCATGAGACTTGAGCCCTTCTCTCGCTACCAGCCAAGCAGCACCCAGGCAGGCCCAGAGGACAGCAAATCTTGGAGCTAGAGAACGCCCAGCTTGAGCATGACACAGGCGGTCATCACGGTGCTCTATTGGTTCCTGGTCTTCAGGGTTCATTTTACTGGCGTAAGAGGCCAGGATGGTTGCTTTTGTTTTCTAAAACCCTTAAGGAGCAAAATCCCACACAATCTTGGAGGAAATTAAATTTAGAAATTAGATGCTAGGCTTGGCAGAGACCTTGACAGGGCCCCCCACAGGGCCAGACTGACACATCCATTGAGACCACATCACAGTTATTAACCTTTTGCTCCAAAACATATGGAAAAAAGCTGCTAGAAACACAGGGAGAATCTTCCTAAACCACAGTCACAGTGGGAGACTTCAACACACCTCTCTCGGTAATTGTCAGATCAAAGAATGAGTAAAGGAAAAAAGAATATTAATAGAACAATTAACCACCATAAATTACCAGATCTACAGGACTTCACACTCAACAAAGAAAGGAAGTGCATTCCTTTCGAATAACAAACAAGTGAAAAAAACAGCATGTTCAAGATCCCCAAGGAAATCCCAGTAGGTCCCTGAAGGGGAAATTGTGAAACTCTGATCACAGTGCAATAAAACAGGGAACTAACAACAGATCACCTTCTTTAAAGTCCTCACCTCTTGTCAGCTTAGACGTGGGATAGACACTACGTCTGACACGTTTTCTACTTACAGGCTAGATGACTCTGCTTCCTCATCGGCGGAATGAGGACCAGGCTGTTACACGTCTCTGTATTCTGCAAGTTAAAGGCAGTGAAACACTTAATATCCACAGCACACAGAGCGTGACACACACAGACAGCACTCAGCGAATGTTAGCTGCCAATGCTAGCGTAAGACGAGATACACACTCTTCTGAATGACTCTGAGTTAGAGGAAATGAAACATCAAATTAGAGGCTCAACTAATTTGATAACAAGAGCACCACACATCAAAAACCCTGGGACGCAGCCAAAGTGGCTCTCAAAGGACAAAGTATAGCCTTAAGTAATTCTTTTCTTTTTTTGAGACAGAATCTCGTTCTGTCACCCAGGCTGGAGTGCAATGGCGCGATCTCTGCTCACTGCAAGCTCCGCCTCCCGGGTTCACGCCATTCTCCTGCCTCAGCCTCCCGAGTGGCTGGGACTACAGGTGCCTGCCACCATGCCCGGCTAATTTTTTTTTTTTTTTTTGTATTTTTAGTAGAGACAGGGTTTCACCGTGTTAGCCAGGATGGTCTCGATCTCCTGACCTCATGATCTGCCTGCCTCGGCCTCTCAAAGTGCTGGGATTACAGGTGTGAGACACTGTGCCCAGCCTAGCCTTAAGTAATTCTAATAAAAGGTAAGAAAGGATGAAAGTGTGCTTTCATTTAAGAAACTAGAAGAAGAAAGAAAATATGACTCAAAAGAAATTTAGGAGAGCCTGGAATTTAGGAGAGCCTGGAATCACACCCTGATTCCTCCCTCTCTATCTCCTCCCCAGCTGTAGTGATGTCACTTGTTATTGTATTGTTGGGCTGTATTATTGTATTGTTCCTCACAAATAGGGAACACATGTTACTTCCAAACTCTAACAGAAACAGGCTTTACATGCCAGGAGTCAACCCCAGGCCTCCACAGCACAGGTATTCACACTCTTCATGCCCACTCACATGCAGGGCCTCCAGGAGCTCAGCCAGCAACTTCTCAAGATCAGGGACATTGGAGGGGCAGCCAGCTTGGACCAGGCGGAGGGACCACCACGCCAACTCCGCAACCCAAGCCTTCTTCCGCAGGGCTCTTCAAACATCTTCCCTACTATTTTATTCTGAACCTTTGTAAACACACAGCCAAGTTGAAAGAATTGTACAGCAGACACCATCTACCTCCTTCTAGAGTCTCCCATTAACGCATATATGGTCCAAGCTCTGCCCTGGTTGCTCCCTCTCCCCACCAGCTATGCGTCCCTCGGCCGTCTTTTTAAATATGTTTCATTTTATTTTGTTTTATTTTTTGAGACAGGGTCTCACTCTGTCACCCAGGCTGGAGTGCAGTGGCGTGATCTCAGCTCACTCCTGGGCTCAAGGGAGCCTCCCACCTCAGCCTCCCGAGTAGCTGGGCTTGTGTTTACAGGCGCCAACACCAACACACCAGCTAATTTTTGTATTTTTTGTAGAGACGGGGTTTTGCCATGTTGTCCAGGCTGGTATCAAACTCCTGAGCTCAAGTGATCTGCCTACCTTGGCCTCCCAAAGTGCTGGGATTACAGGCATGAGCCACTGTGCCCGGCCTCCTATTTTTTTTTTTCTTTTTTTGAGACACAGTCTCACTCTGTCGCCCAGGCTGGAGTGCAGTGGCATAATCTCAGCTCACTGGAACCTCTGCTTCCTGAGTTCAAGCAATTCTCATGTCTCAACCTTCCTAGTAGCTGGAATTACAGGCACCCGCCGCCACGCCCAGCTAATTTTTTTTATTTTTAGTGGAGACAGGGTTTCCCCATGTTGGCCAGGCTGGTCTTGAACTCCTGACCGCAGGTGATCCATCCATCTTGGCCTCCCAAAGTGCTGGGATTACAGCCATCAGTCACTGTGCCCGGCCCTTAGTACATTTTAAAGTAAATTGCAGTCTACTCCCTCTGAGCCCTTCAGCAGGCAGATTATAGGGTGTTATATGTAAAAATGTTTGTTTAGAAATAGAATGCTCGTTCCCCAGTGCTGCAAAGAAACAGCACTTGAACATAAATTTAATTCTCTCAGTAAGGCCATTTTTACTTTCTGCAGAAAGGGTGCCCATCGCAAATGCAACAATGGCGAGAGCACATCTGAACAAAGGAGGGAAGCAATTTTTATCCTGTACACAGTTTGTCCCTGGTACTGTGTCCTGTCTCCATTGGCTGGAGCCAGGCCTCACAATCTAAACTAAAACCCAACTGGCTAAAAGTTTAAAACTTTTCCAAATAGGTAAAAGTAATGGAAAGACAAAGGAAAAGAAGAAGTTGCTTTTGCCAAATAGGGAAGGGGCATAGGCTGTGAGCTGGGATATGCCTGCGAGCACGTCCGGTACAGATATTTTGGTTAAAGTACAAAGACATGGAATGTATTACGTGCCTGTGAGCATGTTTAACAGCTACATAGGATAGGGCTTCACAAAGAGTTACTAGCACAAAGCAAGGAGTCTTGAAGGAAGTTAGTCTCTAAAAGAAACTATTTTTTTTAACACGATTTATTCTTTAACAAGAAGGGAAACTTTGAAGAGGAAGTTTTACTTCCTACATAGGGAACTGAAGTTCAATATTCATTTATGATTTACTGGGGTCTTACCCTGTCACCCAGGCTGGATGGAGTGCAGTGTGGTGCAATCGTGGGTCACTGCAGCCTCAACCTCCCAGGCTCAAGTGATCCTCCCTCCTCAGCCTCCCAAGTAGCTGAGACTACAGTCATGCACCACCACAACTCGGCTAATTTTTTTTTTATTTTTTGTAGAGCTGGTGTCTCCCTATGTTGCCCAGGCTGGTCTTGAACTCCTGCGCTCAAGTGATCCTCCTGCCTCAGCCTCCCAGAGGGTTGGGATTATAGGCATGAGCCACAGCACCTGGCCCCTTTTCTCTATTTTTTTTTTTTTCTTTGAGATGGAGTCTCACTCTGTCGCCCAGGCTGGAGTGCAATGGCGCAATCTCAGCTCACTGCAACCTCCGCCTACTGGGTTCAAGCAATTCTCCTGCCTCAGCCTCCTGTGTAGCTGGGACTACAGGCGCCCACGACCACAGCCGGCTAAGTTTTTTATTTCATTTTATTTTTTAGGAGAGATGGGGTTTTGCTGTATTGGCCAGGCTAGTCCTGAACTCCTGACCTCAAGTGATCTGCCCACCTTGGCCTCCCAAAGTGCTGGGATTACAGGTGTGAGCCACTGGGCCTGGCCTCCTTTTTTTCTTTAAAGTAAAATTTACATGTAGTAAATAGTATTTGGCCATAAAGGGAATGAATTACTGATACATGCTACAATGTGGATGAACTTTGAAAACAGTAAGCTAAGGGAAAAGAGGTAGACATAAAGGGCCACCCACTACACAACTCCATCCACATGAAAGTCCAGAAGAGAGAAATCCATAGAGACAGAAAGTAAAGGCTGGGCACGGTGGCTCACGCCTGTAATCCCAGCACTTTGGGAGGCCAAGGCGGTGGAAGCCCTGAGGTGAGGAGTTCAAGACCATCCTGGCCAACATAGTGAAACCCCATCTCTACTAAAAATACAAAAATTAGTTAGGTGTGGGGGTGCACGCCTGTAATCTCAGCTACTCGGCTGCTGAGGCAGGAGAATTGCTTGAACCTGGGAGGTGGAGGGTGCAGTGACCACTGCACTCCAGCCTGGGTGACAGAGCAAGACTCCATATCAAAAAAAATAATAATAATAGATTAGTGGTTGCCTAGATGACTTCTAACAAACGCATACACCTACGAAGAGGGAGAACACCACCACCAATCCAGAATGTTCCCTCATGCCCTCTCCTGGCAAAGCCCCACCCCCACCCTACCCCAAAAGACATCCCCTGGTACGATTTCTTGCCTGTTCTAGAACACCACATAAAAGGAATCACAGCAGGTCCTGTTCTGTGGAAGGTCTCTTTTGCTCAGCATCATGTTTATAAAGTCATCCATATTGCTGCACGGATCGCTGGTTCATATTGATATTCATTAGATAACGGTTGGACCAGTCCTCCCACCCTCCCTCCCGCCATCTCTCTCTCTCTCTCTCTCTCTGTCTCCCTCTCTCTTTCTTTCTTTCTTGAGATGGAGTCTCGCTCTGTGGCCCAGGCTGGAGTGCAATGGTGTGATCTCGGCTCACTGCAACCTCCGCTTCCCAGGTTCAAGCAATTCTGCCTCGGCCTCCCGAGCAGCTGGGATTACAGGTGCCCACCACCACGCCCGGCTAATTTTGGTATTTTTAGTAGAGACAGGTTTTCACCATGTTGGCCAGTCTTTTAAATGAATCCAACGAAATCTAAATATCATGGTGATTTAATCATCAATTTTTAAGAGACAATTTTTTAACAGACTTAAATGTTTTCTCCTTTGCCTTGTATTTTCCCTCCACTTTGCCCACAGAATTTTATGCCAACATGACATATCTTCTGCTCCAAGTCCTCCGCTGGCCTCACTGTGCTTTTCCGTAATGGAAATATGTGTATAAATTGAAATGCCACTTTTCATTCTTTACTTCATAAGTCTCTTATCTTTAAATGTTTCTACTGGATTCATTATTTTTCAATTATTAGCCCACAGTTCCTCAAAACCACTGATTGGGATATAAATAATCTATATTATACATTTTGATTAAAAATTGTTACACAGAAAAAGGAAGTTTTCATTGGGGATGCATCTCCCGATGAAGGGGACGGGCTTTTTTCCGTGTAGCCCCTGTTTCCATGGGTGACGACGACTTGTTGAAAAGACTCACTATCCCGCGTGGAATGTCCTCCTGCTTTTTGGGTTTTAGGGGCTAGCACTGAGCGTCTTTGTTCACACGAACAAGTCTACGGGACAAAGGAGGATTGGGGCAGCACTTCCGCAAACCTGAGACGGGCCACCGGGAATCGCTGCTGCGGTCGGGGGCTGCGACGCCACCAGCCCCAGGGTGGAGAGCGGCTTTCTGGGCGTCCGGGCAAGTCCATGCTCCGGGTGGGGAGGCCGAGGGGCCGAGGAAGTCGAGGGTCTGGACATTCGCTGCCCCGGAGCCGCGTGAGCCCGCCCCGCCCTGGAACGTCCTCCCAGGCGTTCTCGCCTTTGCAGCCCCCGCCTGACTGCGGACCCTCCACTCCCCACTCTCTCCTTCCATCCCCGCTTCCCTCTCCCTGCCCCTCCTCCTCCCCCGTCGTCAGCCTTGACAAAGGAGGGCGATGCCACCGCTTACCGCCAGAGGGCGCGCCGCGCCCCCCAAACGGACACTGAAGCGGGCGCCCCCTGGCCGAGCGGGGCGCAGGGGAAGAGGGGGCGGAGGGGGAGAGGAGGTGCAGGGACAGAGGGGGCCCAGGGGGCTTCCAGCCTCCTGCCTGGGTCCTGGTTTGGTTGCCCCCGCACCACCCAGCGCTTGCCCACCCTGCCTCAGTCTCCCCATCTCCCAGCCTCGGGGCTCCTCTGGCTGGCTGGGGCCCACCCTGGGGCAGAGCCGCTGGGTCTGGGGATGGGTAGCATCAAGATGCCTCGAAGTCCTGGCCTGGTCTTCAGGCTCCCTATAATTAGGACTCCACCCCCACCCCTACAGGAGCCTGTCCAGAAGGTCCTGGGCGTGGCTGGGGTGTCGTGGACACCTGCCATCTTTCCTGAACGCTGCAGACACCTGCGTCCCACTCCAGTGCAGGTGGCCTGGGCCCCTTCAAGGAATGGCTGGGAGTGGGAGGGTGGGCCTGGGGTTTCACGGCCCACACCTGAGGCCAGTCACACCCCGACTGGGCCAGGCAGAAGCTGCACAAACTTCACACTGGAAAGGTGGGGCCAAGGGCAGCCCCAGCCCACCTGCCAGCACCTCCCCATCCCCAGCATCTGCCGGGCACAGTGGGGGCACACCTAACCTCCCCACCCCTACCCACTCTTGACATATAAGGCCTCAGCCAGGAAGTCCAGAAGGAGGGCGTGGACGGGGATCTGCACTGGAGGCCTCTACCACCTGTGAAGCCATCGGGCCTGTGGGCCGCAGGGCAGGACTCCCAGGTCTGGAGGGCCCTCAGGCTGGCCTCCATGAGGTGCCGCGAGGCTGGGGTACAGAGCTGAGTCCCCACAGCCCTCACCTCCCTGGCCCCTGCCCATCACAGCCTAGCTCCTCCTGGAGCCACCTCACCTCCCTGGGCCTCTGTTTCCCCCTCCGTAGAGCAGAGGTGTTGACGGCTTTCGCTTGGAAGGCTAAGCCAGTCTGTCTTTGCGGAGTCCACGTGCTGCCAGCACACAGTCCATGCTCCGGAGTCAGCATCCCACCACATGGTGGAGGGGATGTTCTGAAACCCCTCTTTGAAACTCACAGAACCTGGGGACAAAGCGGGGCAGCGTTTTGTCAGTGAGAAGTGGCCGCAGGAGGGGCCCAGTGACCAGCACCAGGTACAGGAGCAGACCCACGGCCCGGCCCACAGGCACCAGACACCCTGGGCACAACCGGGCCTGGGTTCCCTCTGACATGGGGCACCTGGACAGATACTTGAGCACAGCCAGGCCTTCAGATGACAGCCATCCCCGCAAGCATCTGACCACGTGCAAGACCCCGCACCTGAGCTTCCCAAATGAGCCCCTCCTAAATGCCAACTCCAGAAACCATGAAATAATTGTCCACTGTTTACGCATCGGAGCCGCTGGCCATGCAGCAAAGGGACCAAGCTGCTGGCGCGCACAGGTTCATCTCCCAGTGGCTCCTGCTGTCGAGGGCTGCCCCCCTGCTCCCCTCCTGCAGGGCTTGTTCCCAGCAGGTGCATCCTCTAGCTGGGCCTGGAGACCCGGCGCCACGTGGCACAGCGGTGACTCTACAGCGCCCTCGTGTGCGGCTCTAGGTGCTCCCACCCGCCTCTCTCCCGGCTCAGCCTGGGCACCTTTCTCCTGGTCGCTGTGTCCCAGCACTCTCCCCTTAGGAGGCTTGGGCTGGCGGTTGTGAACGTTTCCGACCGGGCTGTCCTGGCTCCCCACCAAGTGTGTGTCCACCCCTCCCACCATGGCTGCTCCCCACGTTGGCTCAGGGAGCCCCTGAGGAGGTCCATGGCGTCCCAAGCCCACCAATGCCCACCACTGC
This sequence comes from Homo sapiens, assembly GCF_000001405.40. Lineage (NCBI taxonomy): Eukaryota > Metazoa > Chordata > Mammalia > Primates > Hominidae > Homo > Homo sapiens. The sequence goes on from NC_000014.9 coordinate 104,652,361, forward strand.
TTTCAGCTTCCTCGTGCTCGCCAGCCACCAGGTTGGTGGTCTCTTCCTGCCCACTCTTATTTTGTGTTCCAGGGGAACATGCTGCCACCAGGCTTTACTGTGGACAGTGTCCTCTGTGTCTCCGGTTGTGCAATCTCGGTGGCTCATGTTTTACAGGGGGGTTGGGGAGAGCCAAGCCCGTGATCACTTCTCCCGCATCCTTCTCCATATGGAGAGGTTACGATATCTAGCCTCAGAACCACAGTCGTCTCATGCTCAAGGCCTGTGGGCCAGGAATCCCGAGCTGGTGGTATTGAGCCAGGAATCCCGAACTGGTGATATGCACTGTTGCTTTTCCAAACAGAAAAAGAACAAAAACTTGTAGTCCAACCCAGTTGACTCCTTAAACTACCTCTTCGAAACTCACAGAACCTGAGGACAAAGCAGGGCAGTGTGTTTATATGAAGTTGATAAACTTAAAAGACAGCTGTGAAGCCATGAAAATCCATGGAAGAACCCTAAATGCATATTACTGAGTGAAAGAAGCCAGTCTGAAGAGGCCACATACTATATGATTCCAACTCTAGGACATCCCAGAGAAGGGGAAATTACGGAGACAGTAAAAGGACCCGTAGTTGCCAGGGTTAGCGGGGGGGAAGGGATGAATCGCAGAGCATGGAGGGTGTTTACGGTAGAGAGGGCAAACCGGTGCAGCCACTGTGGAGACCAGAATGGCGATATTTCAAACAGTATTTCAAAAACTTATATTAGAATTGCCACATCATCCGGACATTTCACTTCTGGGTATTCGCCCAAGAACTGAGTGCAAGGACTTGAACAGATATCTGCACACCCGTGTCCACAGCAGCATCATTCACCAACACACGAAGGTAGAAGCAGCCCAGGTGCTCACGGATGGATGAACCTGGTGTATCCAGGCCTGGCGCGGCGGCTGGGCGAACCTGGTGTATCCAGGCCTGGCGCGGCGGCTGGGCGAACATGGTGTAACCAGGCCGGGCGAGGCGGCTGGGCGAACCTGGTGTATCCAGGCCTGGCGAGGCGGCTGGGCGAACCTGGTGTATCCAGGCCTGGCGAGGCGGCTGGGCGAACCTGGTGTATCCAGGCCGGGCGAGGCGGCTGGGCGAACCTGGTGTATCCAGGCCGGGCGAGGCGGCTGGGCGAACCTGGTGTATCCAGGCCTGGCGAGGCGGCTGGGCGAACCTGGTGTATCCAGGCCGGGCGAGGCGGCTGGGCGAACCTGGTGTATCCAGGCCTGGCGAGGCGGCTGGGCGAACCTGGTGTATCCAGGCCGGGCGAGGCGGCTGGGCGAACCTGGTGTATCCAGGCCGAGCGAGGTGGCTCACGCCTGTAATCCCATCACATGGAAGGCCAAGACGGGTGGACCGCTTGAACTCAGGAGTGCAAGACCAACCTGGCCAACAGGTGAAAATCCATCAATACAAAAAATACGAAAATTAGCTAAACATGCTGGTGTGCGCCTGTAGTCCCAGCTACTCAGGAGGCTGAAGTGGGAGGATTGCTTGAGCCCAGGGAGGTCGAGGCTGCAGTGAGCCATAATGGCGCCACTGCACTCCATCCTGGGCAACAGAGCGAGACCCTGTCTCAAAAAGAAAAAAGTGGCGTATCCATCAAGGGGAATATTATCCAGCCTCAACAACACCAACAACAACAACAAACACAGGAGGTCCTGACACAGGCTGCCACACAGCTCAGGCTTGAAGACATTATGCTGAGGGAAAGAACCGACACAAAAGGGCAAGTGCTGCCTGACTCCATGTTTGTGAGGCTCCCAGAGCAGTCAAAACCGCAGAGACAGAAAGCAGAATGGAGGGTGCCAGGCTGGGGGAAGGAGGGTGTGGGGAGTTTGTGTTTGCTGTTTCAGAGTTTCCGTTTGGGAAGGTCAAAAAGTTCTGGAGATTGGTTGCACAACAATGCGAATGTACTTACTGCCACTGAACTTGAACTGTACCTGGAAACATGGGAAGACGGTGTGGAAACAAGCCCCCAGTCAGCTGGTCTGGCAGCTGATTTGATGCAGATCAAGAGGGAAGTGAGGAATCGATAGGGAAGACTGTGATCACCCCTAATCGGCACAGACAGATAGGAGGTGTTAAGGGGGTTCAGAAGAGGTTAAGACATAGGAGAGATGGATAAGAAGGTTTTCCGTACTTCCGATCGAAATTCCAGAGGGGCTGGGCACAGTGGCTTATGCCTGTAATCCCAGCACTTTGGGAAGCCACGGCAGGTGGATCACTTGAGGCCAGGAGTTCGAACCCAGCCTGGCCAACATGGTGAAAACATATCTCTACTAAAAATACAAAAATTAGCCAGGCATGATGACGGGTGCCTGTAATCCCAGCTACTCGGGAGGCTGAGGCAGGAGAATCCCGGAGAACCTGGGAGGCAGAGGTTGCAGTGCAGCCAAGATTGCGCCACTTCACTCCAGCCTGGGCAGGAAAGCGAGACTCTGAAGAAAGAAAAGAAAAGAAGCCGGGCGCGGTGGCTCACACCTGTAATCCCAGCACTTTGGGAGGCTGAGGCGGGCGGATCATGAGGTCAGGAGATTGAGACCATCCTGGCTAACATAGTGAAACCCTGTCTTTACTAAAAATACAAAAACTTAGCCAGACGTGGTGGTGGGTGCCTGTAGTCCCAGCTACTCGGGAGGCTGAGGCAGGAGAATGGCGTGAACCCAGGAGGCGGAGCTTGCAGTGAGCAGAGATCATGCCACTGCACTCCAGCCTGGGTGACAGAGCGAGACTTGCCTCAAAAAGAAAAGAGAAGGGAAGGGGAGGGAAGGGGAAGGAAGGGGAGGGAAGAGGGAGGAAAGGAGGGAAGGAGGGAAGGAAGGAAGGGAGGGAGGGAGGAAGGGAGGGAGGGAGGGAAGGGAAGGAAGGATGGAAGGAAGGAAGGAAGGAGGGAAGGAGGGAAGGAGGGAAGGTGGGAAGGCGGGAAGGAAGGAAGGAATTCCAAGAGGTGGAAATAAATAAAACGGGGAGAGCCCACCAGCTCCCTGACAATATGGCTGAGAATTTTCCAGAACTGATAAAATATGGAAACTTCAGCCTCAAGAGTGCAGCACTCTCAAGCAGGAAGAATAAAAGCAGCCCATACCTAGCTGTCCCGTGGTACACTCAGAATGCTGAAGGAGAACTTGCTGGAGGCAGACCCCGCGAACGGCAAGAACAGGAGCAGATGACCGTCTCTGAAGTGCCGAGGCAGAGGCAGCAGCCGGACCCACACGCCCTGCTCCACTCCCACTTACGGGTGTGGGAGAAGCATCAGATCAGCAAAATGACTGCGCCACCACCCAGCTCCTTAGCAGAGCAACCTCCACAGAATACAGCTCAGAAAGAGGGGACGCCTGGGCTGCCAGAAAGAGTGGGGTGCAAACATGTGCAAACCTCAACGAGTGCTGGCTGTGTGCAACAAAGCCCTGTGGAAAGTGGAGGGTGATAAAGGCAAGGCAGACCTGAGTATTGGGCAGTCGTAATGATCTGTGAGCCAGGAGGGGCGTGATCAGGAGGAGGATGGAAACACTGGCTATCTTTGAATTCTAAATATACTTGTTAAAATTCTAAGAGTGACTATTTTAAAATAGAAATAGAGCATATAACTTCCACTTAACTCTCCAAGGAAAAAATAGAATGTCAGACTGAGCCAGAGCCATGGAAGAGTGCTCAGGCAGCGGGAGCTACACGTGCAAAGGCCCTGGGGAAGGAGGGAAGAGGCGCATGCCTGGCACTGATGTCAGTGCGGCTGGAGGCAGACGGGCGCAGAAAGGGGTCTGAGACGTGGCTGAAGGCAGCAGGACCAGACAGGATGGGGCCTCAGGGCCGTGGTTCTGAGCTTCATTCCAACAGCAGGAAAAGGGAGGCATGTTTGTAACCTGCAGGGAGGCGGGAGCCATGGACAGGATTGCATCTGTGACTTGCCAGCATCCCGCCGGCTCCCATGGGAGCAGACTGCCCTCAGGCCCCAGCGGAGGGAGGGAGAACAGACAGAACAATTTTGGCCCCTGGACATGGTGGCGGCAGGGGAGGTGGTGAGCAATGCAGGAAGGGAGACTTAGGAAGCAGTGCCTAGCTCCTCGGTGTGGAGGCAGTGAGGGGAGGGAAGAACACGGAGAGAGGCTGGCTCGGGGCTTGACAAAGTGGTGGGGTGTCCCACGGGAGGCAAAAGCAGATGGTGGGGGCGGGCGAGAGAGTCACGGTTCTTTCAGCCTCATCAAGTGTGTGTTTCTGAGGACGTGGAGGGCGGTGGGAGGCTGACGGTGCACAGACAGCGCGGGAGCGGGGGCGGGGGGCAGTCTTCATAGATGAGATGGGGCACGGCCCCTCCGGAGAGGAGGCCTCTCCTCGGGGAGAGGAGGGGATGACAGAGGCAGAGGTGGGGCAGCCAGGGAGGTAGGAGGGTGCTATGGACTGAAGTGTGGCCCCCCCAAATCCTTATGTCAAGCCGCAACCCCCAATGTGACTGATTTGGAAATAGGGTCTTTAGAAGGTAACTACGACCTTTACGAAGTCATAAGGGTGGGCCCTAATCCAACAGGGCTGTGGCCTTCCAAGAAGAGGAGGAGACACCAGAGGTGGGCGCAGCAAGGCCGGGAGAAGGTTTCATGAGAAACCAGCTCTGACACTGGTGGCACCTTGATCTTGGACTTCCAGGCTCCAGAGCTGTGAGAAAATAAAGGTCTATCGTCTAAGCTGCCCAGGCTGAGGTCTTCTGTTACGGTAACTTGGGCTCACTCATCCAGAGGGGAACCAAAAGCATGTGGGGTCCTGGCACCCACAGGCAAGCGCTGTCAAGAAAGAGGAAGCAGAAAGCATGTGCATGGCTGCTCCTTCAGAGCCTGCAGAAAACTGTGCAGACAGGGCACGGGCACAAACCCATGTGAGCAGAGAAGCATCTCTCCGGGTGCACACCCGCACTGCTGAGATGCACCTGCCCCCGCAGGGCTCAGATGTTCCCTGTGAGAGCAGTGCCATCCCCCACGCCTCCTGAGGCTGCCTGGGTCCCATAATGGCCACCGTGCCATCTCCTATCCCACAAGCCCTCCTAACCCTGCCTCTCCCTCGTCAAGAGGCAGGGGCTGTGTCCCCTCCCCTTGAGCCTGGCCAGGCCTTTGGGTCTCTGCTGACAGAGGATAGCAGAAGTGAGCTGGGTTAGCTTGGTGCATTACAGTTGCTCACGCCTGTAATCCCAGCACTTTGGGAGGCCGAGGCAAGACGGTCACTTGAGCGGAGGAGTTCAAGACCAGCCTGGGCAACATAGTGAGACCCCCCTCTCTACAAAAAAAAAAAAAATTGTTTTAATTAGCCAGGCATGGTGACACACATCTGTAGTCCCAGCTACTCACAAGGCTGAAGCAGGAGGATCGCTTGAGCCTAGGAGGTCAAGGCTGTAGTGAGCCATGATTGCACCACTGCACTCCAACCTGGGCAACAGAGCAAGACCCTCTCTCAAAAAAAAAAAAGGGACTGGGTGACTTGCAAGGCTATGTTCTGTCAACTGACAAAAAATAGACCAACACTGTAGATCAGGAAACAAAAGAGAAGGAGGGCCTCAGGAACTGCGGTTCAGGAGACACAGATCTAGCAAGGAGCTCAAACGTGTCTGTGCGGGGGAGGCCGGGCAGGGGCTTACAAAGGTTTGCTGTGAGTCTACACATCCGGAAGCTGTTGGCATGGTCCATGACCGACGGTGGGGGCTTAACAGCTTAGGACAGCTCTGGCTGATGATCAATCTAGTCAGGTGTGCCTGTCTCCAGGAGACCAGTGATCAGGCCCGGTGTGAATGGTTCAAATCAAATGCAGCTGGTTCACGATCCGGCCCAGGTCAACAGATCAATTCTATCTGGCGAGTTGGACGGGGTCCAGCTCCTCTTGCCCTCCCAGTTCCTTTTTAGATAGCCCTGACATAACCATCTCCATTACGGATTTTCTTTTCACAGCTCTGGAGTCCACGCACCTCCATCTTGTTCTCCTGGGAGGCTGACTTGGGCTCCAGCCACCATGCCGAGTGAACCATGACAGAGGTGGCCCTCCAGCCCCCACTCGGGCACCCCGGCTGATGCCACGTGGACAGAGATGAGACAGTCCTGCTGAGCCCTGCCCAAATTGCAGATTTGGGAGCAAAATGCATGGTCTCTGGGATTTACGTCTGAGGGTCATTTGTGACGCAGCAACAAACAGATGCATTTTGCCGGTGGCGCATCCGCCCACGACGGAGCCTGGCTCAGCTCTGCAGGTGCGCTGCACCACCCCTGGTGTCCTGGCGTCACTGGTACCTGTTTCTCTCTCAAAGCTGTCCTGGTTTGGAAGATGAGTGGTACAGCCATCCCATCAATGCGAAACCAAAGGCCCCCTGAGGCAGCCCCCACAATTGAAGAGCAGGCTGCCCTCAGAAGGGGCCCAAACCCCTGCCATTGGACCAAACTGGCTGATTTAGTTTCCTGCCCTCTAAAGTGGAAATTAAGAAACTGACAATGAAAATGTCCCCTTTAGGCTGGGAGCGGTGGCTCATGCAGATAATCCCAGCACTTTGGGAGGCTGAGGCAGGAGAATCACTTGAGCCCAGGAGATGGAGGTTGCAGTGAGCTGAGATCGCACCACCGCACTCCAGCCTGGGTGGCAAAGCGAGACCCTGTCTCAAAAAAAGTCATAGCTTGACTTCCAGAGTCTTCCTGTCTGCCCGGTGCTGGTCGGTGGTCTCTGGAAGCCCTCCAGCTGCCACCTTCCTTTCTGTCCCTCCCCGGGAGGGATATGCAGGCCCAGAGGAGGTGACTCCAGGCGGGTGGTCCCAGAGGAAGGGGGCTCCACCCTTCCCCTGAGTAGTGGGGAATGTGGCTTCACCCTTCCCCTGCATAGTGGGGAATGTTTGGGATCTGCTGGGAGGGGTCTGCCATGGGGGCAGTGTGGGAAGGTACTCAGAAACCACCAGCACCCCCCACCCTGGTGGCCCTGGATTCTGGTGGGGCCACTGGAAGCCCGGACCCATGCAGGTCTCAGCAACATCACCCCCTCCACAGTGAGATCCGTGTCAGAGTGACCCGCCCCAACCAGTCCCAGGGCTCCCTGCTTCTCAGACCCTCCCTCCTTCCCAGCCCAGAGCCCCTCCCTCCGAAGCTTCCCTTCTCCTACTCCACCCCTGCTGTGGGGAGAAAAGACCTGCAGAGTACCCCAACAAGCCCTCTGCACTGGGGGAGGGGTGCACGTCCACTCACCCAGAAGGGGATTGGGAACCAGAAGCCAGGTGAGCCTCCCTGAGATCACAGGGCCTGATTCCGGGACCCCAGTGTCCAACACCTGCCCCCCCAGGGTGCTCCACAGCCCCTGCCTACACCTCAACCCCCCTCCACCTCCACATCTGTTCAGGTGATGTCCAACACCACCCGAATCTTACTGACCACTGGTGAGAAAGGGAGGGGCGAGGTTGGCCTCTGCATGGTAAAGCTGGGTAAACTGAGGCAGCACGTTCTGGGCAGCCCAGGACGCCCAGGTTCCCGCCAGCCCACGGCCTCTCCCGCCTTGCACGGGCTTCACAGTTTGCCAGCGAGGGCACAAACGGGGGCTCCGCGGGCCGGCGACTCACCGCGCCTTCCCTACCCCGCCCCAGTTTCTCCCATGGAGCTGGTCTGCAGGCCCGGCATCCACAAGCCCCACCGCACTGCACCGCTCTGCAGGTCGCTGGCGCCTGTTCTGGCCTCGCTGGGACCCCCACCCAGACGCACCCCACAGCCAACTCCACCGGACCCACGCTGCCCGAGTATTTTTAGCAGAGGGTCAGATGCCTCTTAAACCTCAGCTGAGACGTGAATTTCCTCCCTGACAGCTGCGGCCAGGAGCCGCACGTCCTGCCTGGCGGGCGTGGGCGGTTCTGACCTCGGAGGCACAGCTGCAGGGTCTGCAGTCCTCTGGGAACTTCCTCCTCCCAGGTGCCCCGATTTGGGCTCCCTGGGTGCCTCCGCCCCAGGCCGCCCACCAGGCGCTCACTTGCCCGGTCCTCCGTCTGGAGCCCCTCCCGATGGCCGTCGCCACCCACTCTCCTTCTCTGTCTGGAAGCTTGGAGAGCAAGAGCAGAGGCCTGGGTTCAGATTCTCAGGGATCTGGGTTCAAGTCCTGCCCCCACCCCCCTGCACTTGGGAAAGCTGCTACCTCTCAGAACCCGTTTCCTCCACTGTGAAGTGGAAGGAAAATTGCCCACCTGGGGGCTGTTGCGACTATAACCAGCCAGCGGTGCCTGCAGCACCCACAGACCCCCAGGCGTCTTCAGGGCTCCCTGTGCCCCAGCCAGCGCCAGGAGCCTGCAGGACCGAGAGGGGCCCTGGCAGGGCTGCACAGATATTCAGATGTTCAGACCTGAGGCCCAAGACCTGCCTGCCAGGACAGGGACGCTCCTGCCTGGGGATGCTGGGGTCCCAGAAAGTGAGAAGCAGTGGCCCAGCGCCCTCTGCTCTCACTTCCTCCCCACCAAGCACAAGTACTAATTACGCACACCTCAGCTCCCCGGGGGGGCCAGGAGGAAATGCCCGGCAGAGCCCTCCGTCCTACCCCGTGCAGCCTGGGTCTCCCTCCACGGGCCCAGCCTCTTCCACTGCTGCTTTCAGTTACCCGGCTTTGTAGGCGCAAACACCCTGTCTGTTTTCTTCTTTCTCAAGCCATCTTAGCTGCTTTTGATCTGTATTCTTCCATGTAAAATGTAGACTACATTTATTTATTTCTTTAAAAAAAAATTGAAGCCCAAATGAGACTCCAATTAGAATTGCATTGAATTTATTATGTCCCCATAATTCTCTGGGGAGAATTATGTGTTTATAACATTACGTTTTCCTGTCCGTTCTGTTAGGCTTGCTAAGTAAGCTGACATGTGATCTGCAAATGATGGCAGATGACTGTGTGAGGTGGCCTTGGGAATGTCATGGCTCCTCTCCACAGCACTCTCCTTCACATTCCAGAAAATTCTCTCCACCAGGCATGCCTTTGGCCAGCCCTGGGACATGTACTGCCCCTTGAGGTTTCCAGTACTCTGCCCTACCTTTATAAAGAGCCCCTTTGTTAAACACTGCTGCAAGTAACCTGCTCTAAATGTGGGTCTCTTTCCTGCTGGGACCCTGATAGATCTAAGGGTTTCTCCCAGGAATTCAAGGAAGGTTTAATATCAGAATCTGATCCGTGCAAATACCATCTGAATAGATGACAGGGCAAAAAGTGTCCCAATGTCTCAAGTGATGCCATCGGTGACTTTTTAAAAATTTCTGGGCAAATTAGAAATTGAAACAAATGAAATATTTCTAATTTGATAAAATTGTTCACCAAAAACCCACCAGAAAAATACATTTATGGAAACAGTTGTTGCCAGGAGTTCGGGAAAGAGGAAATGGTTGGATCGGTGGAGCACAGGGGGGTTTTTAGGGCTGTGAAACTAACGTGAACGACATTGTAATGGCAGAGACACGACACTGTGCATCTGTCAAAACCCACAGAACTTCACAGCAAGAGTGAGCCTTAATGTATGCAAATTTTAAAGCTCAGTCAAGAGGCTGGGGGTCTAGGACGGAAGGCGGGCCGTGTGTGGCGAGAGCCTCTGGCTGTATCACAGACCCAGGGAGCAGCTGTATTACAGACGTAGGGAGGGGCTGGGGGATGGGGCTGACCTGGGTACCCTCACAAACGACGAAGTCTGTGAAGCCAAAAGCAAATGGACCCGCACATGAGCCCTGTACCCTGGCAGACACACGCTTCTGCCGCGGGGTACAGGTGAGCAGTCCCTACACTGCTCCCCCTGCACACTGCAGCTTAGCGATTAGGTCCATGGATGGTGGGTGGTGGGGCAGGTTCCTCACTGTGGGGTGGGAGCTACAGACAAGCAGGGGCAAGGGCCAGAACGACCCACACGGCCCAGGGTCAGGGTCGAGACAGCAGCACCAGCTCCTTCCTGTGGGCTCCCTCTCCATGCGGGCGGAGTGACGGTTAACTTTATGTGTCAGCTCCCCTGGCCGTGGGGTGCCGGGTTGAACGTTATTTCTGGGGATGTCCGAGGGTGTTCTGGATGAGATTAGCATTTGAATCAGTGGGCTCTGTAAAGCAGGCCGCCCTCCCCAGGGTGGGTGGTGTCACCCAATCCGCTGAGGACCCGAATAGCGCGGAAGGCAGAGAAAGGTGAATTTGCCCCCCTCTTCCTGCCACGCTGCTTGAGCTGGGACACTCACCTCACCTTCTCTGGCCCTGACACTGAGATTAACGCCATTAGCCCTCCGGCTCTCAGGGCTTCGGACTCAGACCGCACTGCACCACCAGCTTCCCTGGGTCTTCGCGGGCGTGGGACCTCTCGGCCTGCGTGGTCACCTGCGCCCAGGCTTCAGCTGGCATTTCCCCTGCTTGAACTTCTTTCTCGTGCCGCCTTGTGAGAAGGCACCTGCTTCCCTTCCACCATGATTGTAAGTTTCCTGAGGCCTCCCCAGCCATGCAGAACTGTGAGTCAATTAAACCTCCTTTGTGGGCTGGGCGAGGTGGCTCACACCTGTGATACCAGCACTTTGGGAGGCTGAGGTGGGTGGATCACTTGAGGTCAGGAGTTCGAGACCAGCCTGGCCAACGTGGTGAAACCCCGTCCTACTAAAAATACAAAAATTAGCCGGGCATGGTGGCACGCACCTGTAATCCCAGTTACTTGGGAGGCTGAGGCAGGAGACTCACTTGAAACCAGGAGGCGGAGGTTGCAGTGAGCTGAGATTGCACCACTGCACTCCAGCCTGGGGGACAAAACAAGACTCTGTCTCAGTAAATAAATAAAACCTCCTTTGATTATAAATTACCCAGTCTCTTGTAGTATCTTTATAGCAGTGTGAGAACCAACTCATACACCCACTATATTGAAATACGGTTACCAAAATAATAAAGTAATTGTTATTGGATTTCTTGTTAATCTACTGATTCAGGCCAGGCATGGTGGCTCACGCCTGTAATCTCAGCACTTTGGGAGGCCGAGGCGGGTGGATCACCTGAGGTCAGGGGTTCAAGACCAGGCTGGCCAACATGGTGAGACCCCTCCCCCCCCGCCACCATCTCTACTAAAAATACAAAAATCAGCTGGGTGTGGTGGCGTGCACCTGTACTCCCAGCTACTTGGGAGGCTGAGGCAGGAGAATCACTTGAACCTGGGAGGCGGAGGTTGCAGTGAACCGAGATTGCACCACTGCACTACAGCCTGGGCAACAGATTAAAAAAAACCTACTGATCCAGATCTAGCAGCAGCTCTCATGACCAACAGTGTTGAAGCAGGAACAAAAATGAGGCTTCAAGACGCCGAAGCAACTGAAACACGATGGGAAAATACACAGGACTTTGCTGACGGTGGAGTCCCAGGTTCTGTGGAGACCGCTAGGTCCTTTGGCCACATTCACTATTGAGGAACACTCACTTTAGCCTAGAGGCTGGTGAAAGTAAAGATGCAACGTTTTTCCATCCAAGTTCAGGGACACCTGAATCCCATGATCAGTAGGTTCTAGTTTAGAACCCGGCTGCAGAGTTTACACCTGAGTGTGGTGATTACATCTTCACCGTTTCCTGATTTTTATCCCATGATCAGTAGCTTCTAGTTTAGAAATCCGGCTGCAGAGTTTACACCTGAGTGTGGTTATTACATCTTCACCGTTTCCTGATTTTTATCCCACGATCAGTAGGTTCTAGTTTAGAAACCCGGCTACAGAGTTTACACCTGAGTGTGGTCATTACATCTTTGCCGTTTCCTGATTTTTAGAAAAAAAAAAAAAAAAAACCTGTGATCTGAACCAAGGTAATTGATCTCCCTCCCTTCCTACAGGTGTCCACGCCCTTGGGGAAGGTTATAGGGGTTGGATGTGCTTTTGACCCCAAGGGCTCCCTACGTAGCCCAGGCCAGCCTGGGGCTTGGAGGAGGGCGGGTGAGCTGATGAGAACCTCCTCCATGCTCAGCTTCCACCTGCTGGCATCTGTGTGCCCAGCACACAAAGCCTGGGCAACGGGCGACTCCTGTGAGCAGAGCTTCACCCTCTTCCCCTCTCACTACCCCCCACCCCACCTGCAGCCCCTCTCCTCCCTCCCCTTGGTTCGAGATGACCCCAACTCCCCCGGAGATTTCTACTGGGATCTGGTTTGGTTTTTGCTTTTTATGATCCCCTAAACCCATCTTCACCTCCCTGCTAGGGCTCCCCAGGTTGACTGGGGAGGACCCCACATTCCCCATGATTCCACGCAGCAAAAGGCACTTCTGGCAGGAACCCGCATCCCAGGGCAGGCCCTGGGGCACCTTGGGCTGGGGAAGACTGCGGCCCCAAAATCTCCACTCCCTGCGCTGCCATCTGAAACACCACCATGATGGATAATGTCTTACCTAGGGAGAAGGCACCTGTGCTGGAAAAGGAGACCCAAGAGACCCGCCTGGACCGTGTGGGTGAGACCATCGCACCCTCCTGCCGAGGGAGAAGGCACCTGTGCTGGCTAAAAGGGGTCCCAAGAGAACTGCCTGGACAGTGTGGGTGAGGCCATTGCACCCTCCTGCCGAGACGGTGGGCCCTGCTACAGAGCCTGATGCCCCTGAGGAGCTGGGACCACTGTCCTCCCAATACACATACACACACAAACACACACAGAGACACACACCGACACAAACACACAGACACACAGAAACACACACAAACACAGACACACACACAGACACACACAAACACACAGACACACACAAACCCACACACACACAAACACACAGATGCAAACACACACACACAGACACACACACACAGACACACAGAAACACACAGACACACACAAACCCACACACACACACAGATGCAAACACACACAGACACACAAACACACACAGACACACAAACACAAACACACACACACACAGACACACAAACACACAGATGCAAACACACACACAAACACACAGACACACAAACACACAGACACACACACAAACACACAGACACAAGACACACACACAGACACACAGACACACAGACACACAGACACACAGACACAGACAACACACACAAACACAGACACACACATACACACACACAAACACACAGACACACACAAACACACACAGACACACACAGCACACAGACACACACACAAACACACACACACCCTTCACAACCTTCCTGGGCTCTTAGCATTTTCTGTGGGGCTGTCAAGGCAGGAAGATCCAGGAGGGACCCCAGGGCGGGGAGAGACAAACTCTCCCAGCTCAGGAAGGCAGTGTGCTTTCGCCTAAATAACTGAGTGAGCTCACACTAACAGGAAGTGTTTTGATTTTGCAGTCTGAGAGTTAATCCCGTCGCTGGCCAGACATGTTTGCTTTTAGGTTCTCTGGTGGCCCACAGGTCCCAGTTCTGAATGGAAACATCCCGAGGCGGCCCCTCCCCTCCTCAAACTGCACCCTCCCCGGGCATGGCGCTGCCTGCAGGCTGTAGAGAGGGCCTGGGCTTTTTCACACCTTGGGGAGGTGTAGACCAGGGAAAGGAAGAGGAGAAGGATGTGGGCAACCCTCCACCACCAGGGAGCTCCACCACCACTCCGCAGGCCCTGGCGTGGCACCGTCCCCGAGGGCTGGCACCGGGCTGGTGGCAGGCCTCAGCATCAGAGGGTGGCTGAGTCGCACACACCGCCCCTACCCCTCTTCCCGAGACTGAGCCCCTCTCTCTAGCCCCAGAGCAGGAGTCACCCCCAGCCCCACCAGCCACTGCCCATGAAGCTGGTTGGAATTGCCCTCAGCGGCCACAGAGGCCCCAGCGGGGTCCCCAGCCAGGCCGACATGCACTAGCAGCTCAGAAAGAAAGGCCTTGTGTCCAGTGACCTCCCCCAACCTCGGAATGTGGCCGTTCTCTCCTCCCATCCCTACAGTAGGGCTGAGGCTGTCCCGAGTACAAAGGCCTTTTGTCCCCACAACCAGCCCCCACCCGCCGAGGTGACACTGGAGCTGGGAGAGTGGCAGCCTCCATGGCGGCCACAGTGGCTCCCAGCTCCCCTGCAGCAGGGCCTCCCTCCTCCCCCAGGGCCGGGCAGAGGGCACCTGCAGGGCATCTTCCCCGGCACCCCCTGGCTGCAGAGCACCCTGGTGAGAACGATCTAATCGGAGAGCCCAGGCTTATACACAGCTTCTCTCTGCCAGCTGAGAATTTACGTTTCTGATTAACTTGTGTTACCCACAATACACTGTAGACTACAGAAGGCCAGGACCCTCTGAGGTGGTGCAGTGCCCCCAGTCTTGTTCTGGGTGAGGGCTCCACGGACCTCTTTATTTGTCAAAACTCATACACTTTAGTTCTATGCATTTTACTCTGGGTAAACTGTATCTCAGGCCAGGCGCGGTGACTCATGCCTGTAATCCCAGCACTTTGGGAGGCCAAGGTGGGTGGATCATTTGAGGTCAGGAGTTCGAGACCAGCCTGGCCAAAATGGTGAAACCCGTCTCTACTAAAAATACAAAAATTAGCCGGGTGTGGTGGCAGGCACCTGTAGTCCCAGCTACTCAGGAGGTTGAGGCAGGAGAATCGCTTGAACCCGGGAGGTGGAGGTTGCAGTGAGTCAAGATTGTACCACTGCATTCCAGCCTGGGCGACAGAGCAAGACTCTGTCTCAAAAAAAAAAAAAAAAAAAAAAAACTGTATCTCAAAAATACATGGCCACAAAAAAATACATAGTCATTGTTTTAAGACACCAGAAAATACAGGCAAGCCGAAAGAATTCTGAACAACCAACGGCCGCTGCCCGAGGCCAGTTGCTGTGATTGCAGGTACTTTCCACCTGTCCAGACGCCTCCACGCGTGTGACACACACGCAATGCCAACCACACAACGCAGGCCGCCGTGAATGCCACTTACATCTGTCAGTGACAAAACCTGACCGTGTTTCCACTAACTCTGACACAATATTTTAAATGACTGCACATTATGCTGTGTGCATAAGCCAATTTGTGTTCAACAAATCCATGTATTGTTGGAAATTAACCACTTCTGGGGTTATTCTTTCAGAATTCTAAACAGTAGGGCCACAAATATCCTGATAGCTTGGTCTTTGAGCACCTTTAAGGTGCTATCTTGAGGTAAAGACCCAGGATTGGTGTTGCTGGGGCAAAAGACACTCACCTGCATTTTAAAGGGTTCTTTTTTGTTTTTGTTTTTTTCTGAGATGGAGTCTCGCTCTGTCACCCAGGCTGGAGTGCAGTGGTATGATCTCAGCTTACTGCAACCTCCGCTTCCGGGGTTCAAGCGATTCTCCTATCTCAGCCTCCCAAGTAGTTAGGATGACAGGCGCCTGCTACCACACCTGGCAAATTTTTGTATTTTTAGTAGAGACAGGGTTTCACCATGTTGGTGAGGCTGGTCTCGAACTCCCAACCTCAGGTGATCCACCTGCCTCGGCCTCCCACAGTGCTGGGATTACAGGCTTGAGCCACTGTGCCCAGCCTTAAAGGGTATTTTTAATGCCTTATGGAAAGCAGGGGTTCCAATAGGCTTTCCAGTCCAGTCTCTTCCTTGATCTTTATAACTCCAAAGAGCCTGGCAGACACTGAGCCTGCGGGGGAACACGAGAACCATTCTGCCTTGGAAATAAGACTAACCTACTGGATGCAGACCAGAATGCAATACACCTTGACAGTGTAAAACTAATCCCTGGACTTCCGGCCGGGTGCCGTGACTCAGGCCTGTAATCCCAGCACTTTGGGAGGCCGAGGCAGGTGGAGCGCTTGAGGTCAGGAGTTCGAGACCAGCCTGGCCAACATGGCGAAACCCCATCTCTACTAAAATACAAAAAAAAAAAAAAATAGCTGGGCTTGGTGGCACGTGCCTGTAGTCCCGGTTACTCGGGAGGCTGAGACAGGAGAATCACTTGAACCTGGGAGGCGGAGGTTGCAGTGAGCCAGGATTGTGCCACTGCACTCCAGCCTGGGCGACAGAGCAAAAATAATAATAATAATAATACCTGGACTTTTACTTTCACGTAGGCAAGGTGGATCCCACAGGGAAGGTCACCACAACTACTCACAATAACTGAGGAGGCCAGACACATTGTGAAAACCTTACTGCGAAGGCATCAGAGAGCTGCAGAGGCTGCGAGGACTTAACGAACTAAAATTCCAGAGAATGGAGAACTGTCAGATAAGCAGGTGACCCACAGCCATCTTTTTACCTGGGGACATTTGCCTATTTGGGACACTGGGCTAAGGATTGGGCTTGGCCCAGGCAGAGAGCTACAGCCGGGGAAGAAGAAACCAGCAAAGATTCTCACTGTCACAGGGAGGAAAGTGGCAAAATCGGAGTGTCCAGGGCCACAACCAGGCAGCGGGGCCCTCAGCCCCACCCCAAGACACCTGTAGGATCTCAATGCTGCTGCAGGAGGAGGCTCAGGAGCAAGTTGAGCAGCTCTGTGAGGCTGGACTGCACTTCCCACAGCCTTTCAAAGTGGGGAGATCAAGACCCGCCAGGCTCTCAGCTGAAATCTGGAGAGACCAATCCCCCAAACCAGGGCAAACCAGAGGAAGCCTGAACCCCATCAAACTACACACCAGTCCACCCGGGCCCATCCCTCACTGGGTTGAGGGACCTGCCCCTCTGTCCATCCTAACTGCCTGAGGTTTTTGCTCCCAATACAAGCCAGGTGGCTCCAATTAGAACAACTAATGTGCAAATAACAACTATAATTGCCAGGCCGGGCACAGTGGCTCACACCTGTAATCCCAGCACTTTCGGAGGCCGAGGCGGGCGGATCACGAGGTCAGGAGATCGAGACCATCCTGGCTAACATGGCAAAACCCTGTCTCTACTAAAAATACAAAAAAAAAAAAAATTAGCCGGGCGTGGTGGCGGGTGCCCGTAGTCCAAACTACTCAGGAGGCTGAGGCAGGAGAATGGCATGAACCTGGGAGGCAGAGCTTACAGTGAGCCAAGATAGCGCCACTGCACTCCAGCCTGGGCGAGAGAGCAAGACTCCATCTCAAAAAAAAAAAAAAAAAAACTATAATTGCCAGACAAAATATAAACACCAAAATGTAAACTCACTAGGCCAGGCACGGTGGCTCACGCCTGTAATCTCAGCACTTTGGGAAGCCAAGGCAGGCAGATCACCTGAGGTCAGGAGTTCAAGACCAGCCTGGCCAACATGGTGAAACCCCATCTCTATTAAAAATACAAAAATTAGCCGGGCATGGTGGGGTGCCCCTGTAATCTCAGCTACTCGGAAGGCTGAGGCAGGAGAATCACTTGAACCCGGGAGGCAGAGGTTGCAGTGAGCTGAGATCGCGCCACTGCACTCCAGCCTGGGCAATAGAGCAAGACTCCATCTCTCTTTCCATATATATATATATATATTTTATGTATGTTATATATATTATATATATATATAAACTCACTGCATTCTGAGTGACCAAAACCAGACAGAGGTTGTAGGGAGTTGACTACAGGAAATGGAATGACCCGAAGAACCAGAGGACAGAGTTTGGGGTGACCATGGCAGCTGGACTGTGAGGGGGAAATCCCAGAAAGGAGAGCGCCATAGAGAGGGATTCCCCAAAGACTGCATGAAAAACTCAGCTCAGATCTCTGGCAGAACCCTGAGCTATGTGCACACAGGACAGATCCCAGCAATTCACATAGCTGAAGAGAGATTTACCTGCCAGCCACACAGAGGAGGCAGCGTTTACCATTTGAGTTCAGTCAGGTTAACTGCTTGATGACACAAAACCAAAACAGTTAATAATCTGGAGAGAAAGATACGGAATCGCACATCCCTACAGTGTAGTGTTCACAATGCACAGGGTCAACCCCAAATCGACAGACACACCAAGAAGCAGGCAAATGTGACCGAGAATCAAGAACGTGAATTGATGGGAGCCAGAAGACAAAGGAATATATCCTTAAAGTGCTCAAAGAAAAAACATGGCCAACCTACAATTCTACACCCAGAAAAAATATCCTTCTGAGATGAAAATGAAATAAAGACTTTTCAGACAAACAAAAGCCAGGATAATTCATCTTTGATGGAGCTGCAAACGGAATATTAAAGGAAATATATCTAGGCATGAGGAAAATGATCGCAGATGTAAACATGAACATGTAGACAAAAATGAAGAATACCAGAAAAAGTAAAATATGTGGGTAAATTCAATTGAATATAGACTGCTCAGAACAATACTTGTAGTATCTTATAGAGTTTAGAATACAAGTAGGCTGGGCGCAGTGGCTCACACCTGTAATCCTAGCACTTTGGGAGGCCAAAGCGGGCAGATTGCCTGAGCTCAGAAATTCGAGACCCGCCTGGGCAACGTGGCGAAACCCCATCTCTACTAAAAATACAAAAAATTAGTTGGGCATGGTGGTGCATGCCTGTAATCTCAGCTACTTGGGAGGCTGAGGCACAAGAATCACTTGAACCCAGGAGACGGAGGTTGCAGTGAGCCGAGATTGTGCCATTGCACTCCAGCCTAGGCAAAAGAGTGAGACCCTGTCTCAAAAAATTAATTAATTCATTAATTTAATACAAGTAAAACCACGTGTATAACGACCACAACAAAGGAGGTCGGGGATATTTGCAATACAAGTGTACGGCCACGTACAAAAGACTTACGTCCAAAACATATGTAAAGAGCTCCTACAAATCAACAAGAAAAGGATAGACGACTCCCTAGGAAGTGAGCAAAAAGATTTGAAGACACTTTACCAAAGAGGATAGTCCAGCGGTCAGCAAATATGTAAGAAGATACCCCAATTTCCTTGGTTATCACGAAAATGCAAATCAAATCACAAAGTAATATCACAACCCACAGACTGGTCAATATGAACAAGGTGAACACTTCCAGTTATCAGCAAGGCTGTGGAGTAACCAGAACCCTCACACATTGCTCATCACGTGAAGGTTGATACAACCACTATACAAAAGTGCTGGATGGTAACTATTAAAGCTGAACACAGGTAGACCCACTGCCAAGTTTCACCCGACAGAAATGCTTGCACCTGTTCACCAAAGACAGGTACTGTGTGAGCACGTTCATGGCCACACAAAAGCCAGGCGCCAGAAGCCACTCAAACGCCCATTCGTTGTAGAAGGGATAGATGAGTGGGGGGGCTGCTCACCCCATGGAATGGCGCTCAGCAGTGACAATGACTGATGTAGAATCTCGTGCAACAAGGGCGACCTTGCAGACTGTACGCTGAGTGGAGGAAACCAGACACTGTGCGATCCCCTTTTAGGAAGGGGGCAAATAAGATGCAGTTATCTGGCCAGGCACGGTGGTTCACACCTGTAATCCTGGCACTTTGGGAGGCCGAGGCGGGTGGATCACCTGAAGTCAGGAGTTGGAGAGCAGCCTGGCCAACATAGCGAAGCCCCGTCTCTACTAAAAATACAAAACTTAGCCGGGCATGGTGGCACATGACTGTAATCCCAGCTACTCAAGAGGCTGAGTCAGGAGAATCACTTGAGCCTGGGAGGCGGAGGTTGCAGTGAGCTGAGATTGCGCCATTGCACTCCAGCCTGGGCAACAAGAGTGAAACTCCATCTGAAAAAAAAAAAAAAAAAAAGATACAGTTATCCTGGGGATGCTGACGGGGAGATCTGGGGGTAGACACAGTTATCCTGGGGATGCTGACGGGGAGATCTGGAGGTAGATACAGTTATCCTGGGGATGCTGACGGGGAGATCTGGGGGTAGACACAGTTATCCTGGGGATGCTGACGGGGAGATCTGGGGGTAGATACAGTTATCCTGGGGATGCTGACGGGGAGATCTGGGGGTAGATACAGTTATCCTGGGGATGCTGATGGGGAGATCTGGGGGTAGATACAGTTATCCTGGGGATGCTGATGGGGAGATCTGGGGGTAGATACAGTTATCCTGGGGATGCTGACGGGGAGACCTGGGGGTACAGGGGCTGGGGATGGTCTAATTCCGTCTGGATGTCGGTTAGAGGAGTGTGTTGAGTTTGTGAAGACGTCCAGGCGGGGCTGGCTGCATCTTTCCATATCTCCGTTATATGTCAGTGAAAAGTCAGCTAAACACAATCATGTATTTAACCAGCACATTTGGGAAGCAGAGGAAGGAGGGAACGTGGGAGGAGGCCTGAGTGGTGCTTCTCATTGCCCTGCAGAATCAGCAGACCTTGATAATTGTAAAATATGTGGTTACATAAACATAATGACCCAGGCACTTAATGTTTTCCATGGTCATTTTTTTAAATCTAAGGAGATCATTAAGGAACCAGTATCTTTTGTTGTGGTAAAATATTTATCTGAAATGCAGCAACTCTTTCCATTTAAATCCGAATGAAATAAAGTTTGATATTCTATTTTGAAATAAAGCCTATCATCGTCTTATCCCACTCCACTTCTCAGCTACTCTTCTCTTCTTCAGCCCTCTTCTCTGTCTCTCTACATAAGTACCAAGCAAGACATCTGGAATAAGGTTTAGCAATTTAATGATGGTTATTTCTTAGTGGTTGGATTTATTTATTTTTTTCTTTCTTTTTTTTTTTTTTTTTTTTTTGAGACGGAGTCTCGCTCTGTCGCCCAGGCTGGAGTGCAGTGGTGCGATCTCAGCTCACTGCAAGCTCCGCCTCCTGGGTTCACACCATTCTCCTACCTCAGCCTCCCGAGTAGCTGGGACTACAGGCGCCCACCACCATGCCTGGCTAATTTTTTGTATTTTTAGTAGAGACGGGGTTTCATCTTGTTAGCCAGGATGATCTCGATCTCCTGACCTCGTGATCCGCCCGCCTCGGCCTCCCAAAGTGCTGGGATTACAGACGTGAGCCACCGCGCCCGGCCAGTGGTTGGATTTAAAGTGACTTTTAGAGACTCTTTTTTGTACATGTTTGCATTCATTCGCGTTTTAATAACAAGCATTTTTCAAGTTAATAAAGCTATTCTGTTGTGCTCCATCACTAGCTGGGTGACCTGGAGCAAGTTTCTCACCCTCGCTGAGCCTTGGTTTTTGCAGCTGTAAAATGCAGATACGAATATTACCAAATGCATAGGGTTTTTTTAGAAAGATTAAATTAGATTATTTTTCAAAGTGCGTATAGAGTACAGGAGGCCCTTAATACACAATAGCTGCTATTATTATTGCCAAACATAAATAGAGGAGAAAACAACAAAGAGACTCAGCCCTCCCTTCAGGAGGTGATAGTCTGGCAGAAAGAGGCGAGAGCTAACACCCAGATGGAGCCTCATGAGCAGCCTACTGCCCTGGGCGGCCACAGGCATGTCGGGAGGGTAAGCAGGAGCCCGACGGCTGAAGCCTTGGGGGAACTGAGGGGTGGGTCAGAAGTGGGGGACCGCTGCACATGCCCTGCAGACTCAGAGGGTCTGAGTCAGCATCCTGTCCTGAGGGTGTTGCCGGACTGGGGAGTTGGGGAGACCCTGGCCTGCTGGGCCAGCGGAGGACCTCCTGTGGGGGCTGTCTGCAGGAGCGTGATGGGTTGGAAAGCCCTGCTGTCCACAGAGACTCCAATATGAGGAATGGGTGCCTTGGACCTGGTGCTGTAGACAGTGACAGGGTTTGGCTCTGTGTCCCCACCCAAATCTCACCTCGAATTGTAATCCCCATGTGTGGAGGGAGGGACCTGGTGGGAGGTGACTGGATCAGGAAGTGGTTTCCCCCAGGCTGTTCTCCTGACAGTCAGGGAGTTCTCTTGAGATCTGATGGTTTAAAAGTGGCAGTTTCCCCTGCGCTCTCTCTCTCCTGCCACCTTATGAAGAAGGTACTTGCTTCCCCTTCACCTTCCCCCACGATTGTAAGTTTCCTGAGGCCTCCCCAGCCATGCGGAACTGTGAGTCAATTAAACCTCTTTCCTTTATAAAATACCCAGTCTCAGGCAGTTCTTTATAGCAGTGTGAAAACAGACTAATACAGACAGTATCAGGAGAGGCTTGAGTTCATCCAGTGCTATTGGAAGACTCTGTTGGATGGAAGATATTGAAGGCACAGCCAAGGTGTGGAGGCTCTTGAGAAGACAAAAGGTGCTCAGCACACACGTGGAGCTCTCTCCAGAGAGGTTTGCTCAACTCCTGCAGACAGGAAGAGCTGCCCTGTCCTACAGCCCTCTGCATGCGTGATGTCCAGGCATCTCCCACCTGCATCATTTCACCCCCTGACAGCAAGCACCTTGGGGTGGGGTTGTCAGATAAAATACAGAACTCCCAGGTCAATCTGAATTTCAGGTAAACAACAAATACATTTCAGTACAAGTGTGTCCCATGCAATATTTGAGACATGCTGGTGCCAAATATTGCATAGGACATTATATTAGCCCATTCTCACATTGCTATAAAGAACTACCTGAGGCTGGGCCCAGTGGCTCGCACCTGTAATCTCAGCACTTTGGGAGGCCAAGGTGGGCGGACCAATTGAGGTCAGGAGTTCGAGACCAGCCTGACCGATATGATGAAACCCCATCTCTACTAAAAATACAAAAATTAGCCAGGCATGGTGGCAGATGCCTATAATCCCAGCTACTCAAGAGGCTGTGACAGGAGAATCGCTTGAACCCGGGAGGCGGAGGTTGCAGTGAATGAAGATCATGCCATTGCACTCCAGCCTGATCAACAAGAGCTAAACTCCGTCTCAAAAAAAAAAAGAACTACCTGAGACTGGGTAATTTATAAAGAAAAGAGGTTTAACTGGCTCATGGTTCTGCAGGCTGTACAAGAAGCATAGCTGGGGAGGACTCAGGAAACTTACAGTCATGGGGGAACAGGAGGAAGAGAGCAAAGGGGAGATGCCATACACTTTTAAACAACCAGATCTCCTGAGAACTTACTATCAGGAGAATAGCAAGGGGGAAATCACGCCCATGATCCAGTCACCTCCCACCAGGCCCTTCCTCCAAGACTGCAGATTACAATTTGACATGAAATTTGAGCAAGGACACAAATCCAAACCATATCAGACATACTTATCCTAAAACTGTATTCATTGTTTATCTGAAATTCAAATTTACCTCTGTGCCCTGTATCTTTATTTAGTAAAGCTGCAACCCACTTGGGTGATGCTGTGCCCTTGCTTACCTGGTACCACCACTGCCAATCCTGTGCCCAGAACATAGCAGACTTTCAATTAATGTTGAATGGATGTGGGACAGGTGGATGGGGGATAGATGGATGGTGGGTGAATGGGTGGATGGATGGATGGTGGGTAGATGGGTGGATGGATGAATGGATGGATGGATGGGGTGGATGGATGGGTGGATAGGTGGTTAGATGGATGGATGGTGGTAGGTGAAGGGATGAATAGATGGATGGATGGACAGATGGATAATGGGGGTGGGTGGATTGGTGGGTGAATGGATGATGGATGGGTGGATCGGTGGATGGGTGAGTGGATGGATGGGTGGATGGATGGTGGGTGAATGGGTGAATAGATGGATGGATGGACGTAGGGGGTTGGGTGTGTGGGTGGAAGAGTAGACAGATTGGTGGATAGATGGGTGGATGCCTAGATGGGTAGGCGAATGAATGGGATTTGGATTCAGTAAGAGGTTTTAACACTAAGCTGTCTTAAATGCCCAAATGACAGGGCCAAGGTGGGAGTAAATGAAGTGCCAGCTGATGGGAAAACTCCCAGCTCTGACACCTCTCACCACCCCTGCGACTCTCCTGCTCAGATTCTGAATCTGTAAAATGGGAATGCTTAGTGGTGCTCCAGCAAGAGGAAGCTCCATGTGCTGCAACACAAGTTATATGTCCTGACATGGATGCCTTGCTGGGGGTGGTGGGGGGTGATTCGCCTGCAGACGTCAAAGCCCTGCCTGCCAAGATCCTTGACTTCCCAGCCCCAACCAGGCATCACTCAAAGGTGACCTCTCCACTCCCAGCACCAAGGAGTTGCCTTTGGACCCTGACCACCCTGATGGCCAAGGCTAGGCTGGCCAGCACCTCCCCAGCAGCCCTTCAGAGGCCTCCACAGCCCTGTGTCCAGTCTGACACAAGTGTGTCAGGTGGTCATGAGCACCGTTCCCTTCCAGCAAGGCCACCTCTTCCTGTGGGGAAGGGCCTCAGGTAGGCAGGCCGGAAGCACCTGCAGACCCCGCACTCAGAAACTGCCACCCCGCTTGTTGAACCTTGTGTTTTAGAAAGGGTCTTCCTTTCACAGCATCTCCCTCTCCCCAGTCCTCCTCCCAGAGGCTGTTTAAGGGTGGGCGTGGGACCCCCAGTGTTTCCAGGGTTATTCCTAGGGATGGACTTCTTATAAACAATATTGCCCCTCTTCCCAGGGCCCCAGGGCAAGGAGCAGCGAGCCTGGACCTGCAGCCACTGTAGCCCCAGCCTGGGGGAGGGGACAGCACAATCAGGGTGAAGTGGAGTCAGAGGTGGGTGTTGTGGAGGGGGGAGCGGCGCGGGGACAGCTGTCCTGGCCCGGCTACCTTCCCTGCCCCCTGTGACATCAGCCCATCAATTCCCTCCCTCTTTTGCCCTCACTAGGTCGGGTCTCTGGCCCTCGCAGCCACAAGGTTCCTGACTCCTGTGTCCTTGTGAAAGAGCCACACACAGCAGCAGGGGGACTGCCCCCGCCAGGACCAGCCCAGGATTCCTGCTGGATTCCGTGTGTCAGGACCACCCATTCTAGCAGAGGAGCAGGAAGCCCAGAGAGGCAAATCACGCGTCTAGGAAGCAGAGAGGGATCCCCGCCCCAGGGCCGCCTGAGGAGTGAGAGAGCTGAGGCTGAGGTCTGCTGTTACTAGAGCTGAAACCTACGGACCTACCCAGCTCCCGTTTTCGCCGCTGGGGAGACCCACGGGGAGATCAAGGGGCCTGGGGGGGGGGGGGCCCTCCCACCTTGGACGTTGGTTGCCACATCTGCACGTGACGGGGAGAAACGTGTCATTCCAGGAGGACAGGAGGGCGGGGCAGCTGAGGGGGGATCCCCAGATATAGGGGCATCCCCAGGACCCACCCCCGTCCTGTGGAGGCAGGAGGAGGGGCCGCACCCCTGGGTTTGAAAGGCAGCAGCCGCCTTCCAGAGGGAGCGCTGGCGGGACCTTACCGCACCCCCTTCAGAGTAGCCCCCTCCCCCCATTGCTGCCCTGGACTCTGCGGCCAGCAAGCTGGAGGTTCCTAGGGCTATGGGGGACAGGAGGCTGTGGCTGGCTGAGGACTTTGTGTCAATGTTCCCACTGCCTCTGGGGACTGGGGACAGCCAGGCCACACGCGGGGGCAGTGGGACTTAGCACCTGAGCCTGCTGAGCTCCTGAAAGCCCTGGAGGTTCTCGGTTCCCCGAGGTGGGGCAGGGAGGAGGGAGCCCCTGGTGTGGCCTGGTTCTGCTGGGCGGAACACTCAACACTCCCTTCCCTGACGAAGAGGCGAGAGCTGCTTCGGGAAGAACCACCTGCCCTCACCCCACTCGGTCTGGGACAGGCAGGGCACTGGCCTGCCGGGAGCCCCCGCCCCTGTGCCTGCAGCGCTGCTCTGCGCCCTGCTCCCTTACTCCACCTCCTTCCACCTCCTCCCCTTCCTCCTCCTCCCAAGGAGGAGGCAGATGGTGGTGGAAACTCTGCTTCCTCCATTTTCCGGAGCGTGACTCAGCACCGCAGCTGCCGCCTCGGCCCCCACGCAGCAGCGCGAAGCCTGCCCTCCCCTACAGCGGAGCCCGGGGACTCCCCAGAACACCCCTCCCGCAACTCATCTGGAGAACGCAGGGCTGCGGGCTGCCGAGCCCACCTTCCCGGAGCCCCCAGCCCAGCGGACCCCTCCTAGGCAGCTAATTTCCCGCCCACCCGGCGACGGCAGAGGACGTGTGCCGGGGCGGAGTGCGGGCAGGTGGGCGGGGCTGCAGCCCCAGATCTCAGGGACACACAGAGGCGACCACGGGGCTTCTTAGCTTCTGGGTGGCCGCCCCGCCCAGGAGACTGGGCTGAGCGAAGGGGAGGGGAAGGCCTAGGAGGCACCCCAAGAAAGGACCCATCAGAAAACACAGGGAAGTAGGAAAATAAGAGAAATTTCCAGAAGCAAGAGGCTTGGCTCATGCGGAATGCCGCAGAGCCAGGCCTCAACCCACCGGAGAATCTCTGAGAACACTGACTGCAGCCCACCACGGTGGCCCCGGGTCCTGCTCTGAGCTCCTGTCGGCCCTCGTCCTCCCTACATCAGAGCCTCCCCTGGGAGCCCCAGAGATCCTCTCAACTCCTTCTCGGGACAAAGGAACCCTCCCTGCTGAGAGCCCCTGGTGGCTCCTCCCACTCCCCCACTCGGCTCCCTCTCTCCTCCTCACTCCCTTTGTGGTGGGCTTGGCCCAGGAGAGTCCCGGCACCCCCAGCTGCTCTCTGTAAGCCCCTGGGGGTGGCCAGCTGGGGTGGGCTCCCCACTCCTGCCTGGCCGTAATCAGGGAGCCGTGCCTCGGGATGTGGGCACACACTCGTGCACACGCACACCGTCTCAGCAACTGGGCTCTCCTGAGAGTCCCCTTCCCAACCCACAAAACAAGACCTGCCAGCGCCCCCACCCCTTCCTCCCACTTCTGTCCCCCTCCCCATAGCCCTAGGTACAGCTGCAGAAACTGAGGCTCAAAGGGGTCAAGTCCCTTCACTCCATGTGGCAGAGCTGGGGTGGTCAAGAGACCCCAGACCCCAGCTGAAGCCTCCCGCCCTGACATGGGAAGCCGCTCCTGTGGGGCCTGAGCAGGTGCCCAGGACCAACGGGCCAGCCCAGGTGAGAGGCTTCCTGCCAGGAGGCCCTGAGGGTGACCTGGCCAGGGACACCAGTGCTCAAAGGTCCGGGTGGGTCCCAGCCCCAGCTCACCCTCCGTTTGCTGGCAGTGGCCCCTCTACTCTCCCCCAGGACTCCCGACAGCTCTGCAGAGAGGCCTCATCCCCACCCAGCTGGGCAGACTCCGACCTTGCCACCGGGTGCCTTCCCATTCTCCTGGCTGCCAGCCACTCCCCTCTTGCAGCCTCAGTTTCTGCATCTGTAGGTTGGGAGTAATGAGATTCCCCAGCCGGCCCGCTGGGAAGGCTGGGCATCCTGGGGGAGGGAGGGGGAAGGGAATGCCAGGAGCTGGCTGGAGCCAGGTCAGGGAGGCATGGGCCCAGCCCCAGCCGCAGCAGCCACTCTGTGGGCCCAAGCAAGCCCCGGGCCCTGGGCCTGTCCATCTGTAAGCAGGGTGATGGCACTGCCGGGCGAAGTGGCTGAGGGTGGGCCCAGCCCAGCTGCCCTCCCTAGGCATTCATCAGGCCCAGCGCTGGGGCAGGGCACCCAGCCCACACCACATGGATGGGGATGAACCTCCAGCTGGGCTGCCCGACAGGGACAGAGGCAAACAGGGCTCCCAGGATTCCGGGGCCAGCACAACTCTGTGGCTGCCGTAGTGTCAGCTCCAGGCCCCAGAAAGGACTGCAGGGGACCAGGCTGCTCCTGGGTGACCCCAGATGTCCTGGCTCTTCTCTAGGGGATCTTGGGCTGAACAGGGGACTGAGGCCCCAGAGGAAGGCAACACAGGGTCAAGACGGATCCCTGAGGGTCCCCAGTCATTTGTAAATTACCTCTGCCCTCTGCAAAGTGTGAATGCTGATTCCTCGGCCTCTGCCCAAACATATGCACTCTCTCAGGTTCACGCTCACACATCCCCTTACCATTCGGCAGACCCCACCGGCTCTGCCCCAGCTCACCCCCTCCACCTGGCCCTACCATCCTCTGCCCCTCACCAAGGGGGACCCTCCAATCCAATCCCATAAATCAGGGTCCCCGAGCTGCACTCAAAGCCTCCGTCACCTTTCCGTGCTTGTGGAACAAACCCCCCCTCCGTCTTCTGACTCTCACCCCTCCCACCTCAGTGTGTGCAGAGGAGCCTTCCCTGCACACAGCTGAAGTGGCCCTGTGTCCCCTACCCTGGACTTTGGCCAGGCCATTGACCAGGCTGCTGCCTCCACCCATGCCTTGGCATCTGGGTCATTTTTTATTGATGGTAGCTTGGCCCGACTTGGGGGCTTCACACACACCTCCCGTCCAGCAGCCCTAGGAGGTGGGACTGTTATCACCACCCCTATCTCAGCAGGCAGCAGAGCCAGGACCCAGACCGGCCCAGCCACAGCACCCTCCCACTGTACCACGGGACTGCGCTGTTCACAGGGCCACTCCTGACCTCTGGGGAGTCCCTCCAGGTAGGCCAGGCCAGGCCTGTGCTCTGTAATGCAGTCCACGCAGGGCTCCCTGCTGCCCGGGGCAGGGCGGTGGTCCGACAGCTCCCACCCCTCAGGGCCCGTGCACCCGCAATGCCCAACCTGCCCAGCCCACCCAGCCCAGCCACCGTCAGAGGGAGGTTGGCGATGACTCAGGCCTTGAGTCAGCAGCATCGGATAAGGATGCAGCCAACCCTCTGCCAGCATAAGGGATCCCCAGACAGCCCCGAGCTCTGCTAGCTGGGCTTGTGGGGACCCCTGGCTGGAACCGAACCAGGCTCATCAGCGCTCAGGAGCCCGGGAGCCACCTCCCCGGGAAAATTCACATGCACACACACACGCACACGCGTGCACACAGAGGAGGCCTGCCATCAGGGTGGGTGGGGCTGGACTAACACCAGCCCAGGGAAGAGAAGCCAGAGATGGTGGGGCGCGGTGGGCAGTGAGGCGGGGTCTCAGCTGGAGGGGCTCACTCTGACTGTGGAGCACCCATGTGCCTCCTAAACAGAAACTCCACACAGGCCAAGGAAACAGAGCTACCAGCTGACTCACTCTCCCAGCAAACACCAGCTCCTCCCCGAGCCAGGCCCTGGAAGAGAAGTCAACATCACGAGCTGCCATCTGGGGGGTGGCACCAGGCTGTGAAGGATCCACAGACTGGCATATGCAGGAGGAAATGGGGCGGGCGAGGAGTAAGGACCCCAAAAAGCAGGGGTAGGGAAGG
Organism: Homo sapiens; assembly: GCF_000001405.40. Lineage (NCBI taxonomy): Eukaryota > Metazoa > Chordata > Mammalia > Primates > Hominidae > Homo > Homo sapiens. Next base: position 104,681,238 of record NC_000014.9, read on the forward strand.
GCCCTCCCAGCGCCCCACTGTAATAGGGGCCTCATCAATGCCCCATGCTCACTGAATAAAGCACTGCCAGCGAAAGGTGAAAAGAGGAACAAAGAACATTCTCCTGGACGCCACCCACAGAAAGCCACGTGCAGGCTTGGCCCTCACCTTGGGGACCTTGGACACGGAGCTGGTTATGTCACATCTGGCTCTCAGAGCTGGGGCAGCGTCTAGGAGGCCTGATGTAGAAAGCACTCAGCTAAGCCCTAGTTACCGGCACACGGGCACCAGCGCCCCCTCTCAGCAAACTCCACGTCTTATGAAATTAGCACTGGATTTCCACTTCAATTGGAAAATATGGCCAAGGTAAGAGATCAGGAACGACAAGGCCAAGCTGGGGTAGCCGAGAAAGCAGAGCAGACACGGGGGCGGAGAGGTGGCTGCAAGCATCTGAGTGCAGGAGGCACAGGCCCCTGAGGTCCCGGAGGGCAGCACGCTGGTGCAGAGCCGGGACAGCCTGGGGTTCACTCACTGGAGAGGCAGGGTGGGCGGGGCAGGTGAGGATGGGGGCTGGAGCCCATGACATCCCCTTGGTTGCTGAGCATGGCTGACCCCTGGCCACACCCGGCCTGGACGTTGAAGTCTAACTGGGGAGCCAGGCAGGGAGCCAGGCAGGAAACCGGATGCAAGTGGAGATTCCAGGCTGAGGCGCTGTGGGAAGGAGGGGAGCTGTCACTCTCCCAAGGCGGGAAGTGGGAGGGGCTGGGAGTCTCCAGGGAGGGGAGGAGGGCCTGGAGGAGTTCCCTGGGGTGGGGGTCCCAGAAGAGCCAGCAGCCTGTGCGGCGGCATGGGAAAGACCCCAGTGCCTGGCGAGGAATTGGCACAGCCAGTGTATGTGGAGTCAGATAGGGGTTTGGGGTTTGGGGTTATTTTTAACCCGTAAGTCTCCCTGCTATTCTACAGGAGAAAGGGAACGCTGTGCCGGGCGCTCAGGAAGATGCAGGCAGGAGGCAGCAGTGTGGGGAGGGACAGGGAGGGCCTAGGGGCTGGGTCAGAGCCTTGCCCAAGGGGCTTTAGCGGGGAAGTGCTGGCCTTCCCACCCCTCCTCTGGAATCTGTCACCTCCCACCCTGGAAGAGCTCAGGAGCAAATGGATTCCTTTCCATGAAAAAAGCATAGTGCCTGGGGCTAAGCAAAGCCAAGACTGGCAGATAAGGTGCCCCAGATGAGCAGGCAGCTGCCTGCAGTGGGGCGCGGGGCAGGGCCAGGAGGCGGGAGGGCGGCAGGGAGCAGGGACAGCCATCCGGCCTTTGGGATGGGCAGCACCCCTGGAGGCGTGGGGAAGGCAGAGCGGGCTGCCTGGCCTGCAGGCCAGGTGAGGGGAGAACGCAGGCCAGAATCCAGCCATAACCTGGCTGCAGGTCCCATCCAGGTGGGAAGAAAGAGTCTGATATACTTCCAAGCTAGCAGTGAAACTAGGAGGTTCTGTAAGAACTGGGGAATTATTTACCCTAACTCAGGAATGCTCACCGTGAAACCAAGCCCTCACCTAGGGGAAGGGCCACCCCAGCAGTGGCCACTCCTAAAATCCTCACGTCCCCCCCGGACAAGTCTAGCCTCCAGGATGGAAGAAAGTCAGCCAACCCTAGGATTATCACGTCTGGGTTGAACTGAGGGGTCTTCTGTGCATGCAGCCTGCGCTAGTGGCTGGGGCCTCCGCAATGTTGGGTGTGCCTGGGATAGCTCAGAGTAACACGGCTATACGGCACTCAGGGTTGGAAGGGGAGCCAGGCTCCTCTGGCTCTGAGCTCAAGCGGTCCACCCTCCCGAGCCTCCCAAAGTGCTGGGATTACAGGCGTGAGCCACTGCTACCTTAATAAACTAAGTGTTAATGTTGAAAACCCAAGGAGCAGCAAAGGTCCTCAAAGACACAGAGACCTGGGGGAGGGGTCTGCGGGTGGCTGCAATGGGGGAGGGGAGGGGTGGAGGGGAGGAGGGGCCCTGGGGAGGCAGCACAGACTGGTTTGTAGAGTGACCCCTCCGTGGCTTCCTGGTGACCCTTCCAGAATAAATCCCAAGCATGCATCCTCCTACGTGCCTCAGCCTGGGGCTGCCACTCCCTGCCTCCCACCGTCCACTCCAAGAGCCTAGCTCCCCTGGGTGCCTGGGTCCCCCACCAGGGGTGTCAAAGCAGAAGGCTGGCATCAGTGACCAGCACACCTGAAGGCCCTGGAGCCGTGGGGCAGGGAGGGAGGTGTTCAGGGAAAGATGGGAGGGTAGAGGGGAGAGTGAAGGAGAAGGGAGAAGGCCCGCAGGGGAGGGCAGACAGTCGCAGTGGTGTCCTCATTCCAGTCACCATTCCATTCATAAATACTTCTGAAACCCGCCCCCCTCCCCACCACACACACACAGACACACACACACACACACAAATTACCTCCGGAGACTTTGGAGACCTACAAAGTCTTGGCACTACATCTCTTCAAAACACAGTCCAGTGGCCAAAAATCACCTGCAAGACATTCTAGACTTTATTTCCTTCCCTCCAAGATCATCAGGCAAGATCCAATTCATCAGCCTACAGGGCCTGCCCTGAGCCCTCTCCCCCTCTCCCCTTCTCTGCCGCCCCACCCCTGCCTCTTCTGAGTCTGCAGGGTTCAAGGCCAGAAGCAGAGCAAGTCAGAACACAGCTACACGCAGGCAGACTATGGGTTGGGGTGCGGGTGGGTCTCAGGCACTTCCCTGCTCTCAAAGGAGCACCTCCAGGGAGCCCATCTGGTGCTCCCTCCAGCTCCTCAAATTCCCAACACCAGGGTTGCAAGGCCCAGTGTCTTCTCACCTCGTTAGGTGGAGAACCCCTTCTTTAAGCAAAAGATGGCACGGACCCCCGACATAAGACAGTTCAAAGCTGAGCGGCTCTCCCCATCATGCAAGTAACCTGCGTGCCGCCACGGGAAACAGCACGCATCCCATCTGGACTCCCACCAGACAACTGAGGCAACCGAGAAGGAGGCTGGGGAGGGACAGCTCGAGGGCTCACTGGAGGTCAGCAGGGAGGTGGACTGCGTCTCCCGAGGGCCAGCACTGGCTTAGCCTGCTCAGTGAGGTGCCCGAAGGAGGCCCACCAGCTCTGCCAGCACCCGGCCTCTGCACCTCAGCTTTCAGCGGATAGGTTTGTGCAACGAAATATTTCATAGAAATCAAGAAACATGAGTGAACGATGCACACCACCGCGTGGATGAGTCTCAGAGACTGTGGAGCGAAAGAAGCCAGACACAAAGGTTGACATTTACACGCAATCCTAGAATGACGGCTCTATGGTGGCAGAGAGGAGAAAAGCAGTTAGCTTTGGCAGGTGCCCACGGAGGGGGCTATGCAATGGAACTTTCTGGGCCCTGGAGGTGTTGCAGAGTTTGCTATGGGTGGTGGTAGTTACGTGGGTTTCTATGAATGTAAAAACTCTTGGTGTGGTAGACCCAAGCTCTGGGCACCTCACGCATGCCATGCAGCAGCTCGATCTGTGACAGCGAGTCCTGTGTTCCATGATATGGCTGCAAACACTTGACAGAGTGAATGCCGAACCTCTGCTCCTAAGGGAAATAGAGGGCCAGGTTCCTACGAGCCTCTGCTCCAGCCTTTTCAGCAACCAATCAGTACACAATAGAGTTATTTATGTGTTTCTGTTAATATATGTCACTAAACTCCCGGCCAAGAGCACTACAACTCATGCCTGTACAGAGCCTGTCCAACACATGTATTTTCTCCATAGGACACATCATCTCAAAAGCAAGTATTGATCTTATTTTATCTCATTTTCAAGAGATGCAGACTGTTCTTAAGCAAGTACTGGTTTTAGGTTTACAAATACATTTTAGCGAGTAGGCAAATTTGCAAGTACAGAATCTGTAAATAATGAGATTCTACTGTATGTGTGTGCAATATTCAAATGAAGAGGACAGAGCTTCCTGCCTGACACAAGCCCCTGACTGACTGCCCCACCCACCGTCCCTTCTAAGAGCAGCAGCCTGGTCCCAGCTCTTGCCTTCCCTCCTCAGACCAGGGATAAGCCCTGACCAATGTCTACCTCCTGCAGCCAGACACAGACAGGCTGACTCAGGTGCTCTTGGAGTTTGAACTGAGAAATGCAAGAGAAGCTTGCAAAATGCTGAGAGGCTCCACAAGGGGCTGCTGAAGCCCCAGCAGGCAAAGCTGCCAGCTACAGAGCAAAAAGCCAAGGGAGGGGCAGGGATGTTGGAGGAAGGACCTGGCTGGAGGTGACTGGGGGCGGTCGTGTCCTTGTCAGCAAGCATAGAGCAGAACAGCTGCCCAAGGTGCCACAGCTGGAAGGGTGAGTGGGTGGATGGGTGGATGAAAGGGTGGGTGGGTGGGTGGATGGGTGGATGAATGGGTGGGTAGGTGGGGGGATGGGTGGATGAGTGGATGATGGCTGGGTAGGTGGATGGGTGGATGAGTAGGTGGATGGATGTGTTGGTGGATAGGTGGGTGGGTGGATGGATGAATGGATGGGCAGATGGATGGATAAGGGTGGGTGCATGGGTGGATGAATGGGTGAGTAGGTGGGTGGATGGGTGGATGAGTGGATGATGGGTGGGTAGGCCGATGGGTAAGTGGATGGTGGGTGGATGGATGGATGGGTGGGTGGATGGATGAATGAATGGGCAGATGAATGGATGAGGGTGGGTGGGTGAGTGGCAAATGGGTGGGTAAGTGGGGGGATGGGTGCATGAGTGGATGATGGGTGGGTAGGTGGATGGATGGATGGGTAGGTGGGTGGATAGGTGGGTGGGTAGGTGGGTGGGTGGATGGACAAATAGATGGGCAGATGGATGGATGAGGGTGGGTGGATCAGTCGGTGGGTAGGTGGTTAGATGGGTGGATGAGTGGATGATGGGTAGGTGGATGGGTAGATGGATGAAGGGATGGGCAGATGGATGGATGAGTAGATGATAGGTGGGTAGGTGGATGGGTGGATGGGTAGGTGGATGGATGTGTGAGTGGATAGGTGGGTGGGTGGATAGATGAATGGATGGGCAGATGGATGGATAAGGGTAGGTGGATGAATGGGTGGGTAGGTGGGTGGATGGGTGGATGAGTGGATTAAGGGTGAATAGGTGGATGGGTAGGTGTATGGATAAGTGGATGGACAGATGGGTGGGTGGATGGATGAATGGATAGGCAGATGGATGGATGAGGGTGGGTGGGTGAATGGGTGGGTAGGTGGGTGAACAGACGGATGAAGTGTGGGTGTGTGTGGGAATGGATGGATGAATGGGTGAATGGGTACATAGGTGGGCAAGGTGGGTGGACATGGGTGAGCAGGCATGTTTTCACTTACTTCATTCTGTAACAATGTCAGAGATCATCTCAGGGCACCACAGTAGGATGCAAAATAAAATCTCAAAAGGGGAAAAAAGATAAAAAGCATTCTGGGTGCTGAACTGATGAAGGAAATGAACCCATGGCCAGGCTGCTGCTCAGGTGGACCCCAGGAAGCCCTTCTGGGCCTGCAAGTGGCCGCCTGCTGCATGCAGGGCTGTCCTGACTGCACGGCGGCGCCAACATCAGGCTGGGAGGATTTCTCTCAGAACGCCCACACCTGCCTGCCTGTTTCTAGCAGAACTCAAGCTGTCGGTGCCAAGGCCTGCTCTCCCCTCATCCCAATCTTCCAGCAAGAGGCAGAGGCAAGCTCTCCACAGGCCTACAGTGGCAGGGCCACTCTTGCACTCTGTGCCAGTGGCCAGGAACATGTGGCTCCGCCTGGGTGTGTCACAGTACCAGCCTGTACCTGCACGACCCTGTTCTCAGGCATCTGGGTACCTGCAGCTGGGGGCCGGCACTTGTGTACCCGGCTCCGAGGAAGGACCGACACCCAGGAGGGGAGGCTCCAGGCAGGCCATGGCTTCCAGGAAGCAGCTCCGGAAGCCGCAGGCAGTGGCTGCAGGTGGTGTGTTTCTGAGGCCAAATCGGTCCTCTCTTCAACCCCAGGGCCAGGAAGCAAGCTCAGAATAGGGCCAGGATGGAGTCTGGGAGCGCTGGAGGTACAGAGGGTTGAGGGTGAGCCACTGAAGGAGAAGAGGAGGGGGCCTCTGTATGTCTCAGAAAATCAGTGCTCAAGCCGGGTTGAACCCTGCTGCCCCGGGCATGGTGGGTTCAAGCCTGACGGAAAACCCCCTTTCAGTGTCCACATTTCCACCCTCCCAGACCTCTGACCTCGGCCTCCACTCCACACACACACACACACATACACACACACACACACAGACACACACTCTTAATCAGGGCCCAAAGCCCTCCTCTGCACTCCCTGCCGACCCCAGGGACTTCTCCAACCTCTCTCCAACTAAATCACATTCACCCCACCTTCTTCACCCTGCTCCGGCCTGTGCTGGCCTCTCTGGACCAGGTGTGCAGCTCGGAAGCACGACTGGGTGCAAGGGAGACAGCCCCAGGCAGGAGCGGCCCTGGGGGCGCTGGGCCTCCCTCCCCCATCAGGGCAGGAAAGGTGGACCCCTCGCCCACACCTGACCTCCTACTCCAGCCTCTGAGTAAGGCTCAGGACTCTGACTTTCCCCCAGGCAGGTGGACAGGGGAGGGGGCTGCAGGTCAAAGCTCACTCCCCACCAACCTCCTCACATTCCTCCATTCACTGGATCAACAAACACACCCACTGCCCAGCACCGCTGCCAGGCATCAGCTCCCAACGCAGATGAGTCAGCCCCGCCCGTGCCCTCCAGGGTGGGGTGGTACCAGGGCAGGCACCAATGTTCGGGTCCAGGAGTGCACCAGGAGACCCAAAGCCCAGCTTGAGGGAGGGCAGGAAGGCCTTCTGCTCTGGAAGGGGCCCTGGAGCCCGGTGTGGAGGGCCGGAGGCCGGCCTTCCAGGTGCATTCCAAGAATTGCAGAGTGCCTGTCTAGGAGCAGCGGCCGCCCAGGTTGGAGGGTGTCCAGTGAGCGCCTGCCTTGGCTGGCTCCTCAGGCACACCCGGGGCTGTGGCCTGCAGCTGCTCCTGCACTGGGGCTGAGCCAGCAAACTTCCGGGGCTGGGGCTGCTGGGCAGGGCAAGGTCCGCACAGGGAGCAGACAGACGCAGCCTGCAATTCGGCGCTTATCCCCACCGGAGCGGAGGCACACCAAAGCCAAAGGACACGCAGCTGGCCTCAAAGCAGAAGCTGCATCGGGGCTGGGAAGCCATTCAGGAGCCCTTTTCTCTCCCCTCGCCCTCACCCTGAGCCCTGGCCGCCACGGCCCACACAGCAGGCCCTCCGGAGAGAGATGTCAGGACTCCGAGTGGAGACACTTTATCCGCATGTTCTTGACCCTCATACAGCCCTTACGGGTACTTATTCTATTTTACAGATGGGGAAACTGAGGCTCCACAGAGTCATATCCGAGCCTGAGGCCGCACAGGGAGTGCTGGCGCCGGTTCTCAGGGCAGGGGTTGTGTCTGCTCTGTCACATGTCACACGGGGGCTCCCCCAGGCCTGCCTTCCTCTGCCCTCCCTCTAGCTGCCAGTGGCCCCCAAACCCCAGGCCTGGTGCGCTGCTTCCTGCAGCTCTGACTGAGGGTCAGACGTCAGAAGGGACTTCCAGAGCTGGGGTCTGGCTCTCATCCAACCAGGCTGGCTTTCAGAGCCGACTATGGGCACGCCCCATGCTGGTCAATGTCGGCGGTGGGGGGATGGGTGCCCCCCTCAATCTAGGAGACAGATGAGGCCGGACAGCAGAGGGGTGGCAGAGAAAACCCACCCCATTGCGACACCTCCGCGGCCCTCATGCAGCTGTCTCCACCAACCGGCGAAGTGCGGCTGCCCAAGACCGCCGAGACCCCATCAAGGGTGGAAGGGGGTCAGGCAGGGCTGCGGAGAGGAGGCCACATGGGTGGCCTGGTTGATGGGTAGGCTCTCTCTCCCCAAAGCCTGGGAAGAGCCATCTCTGCTGAGGGATCCCCGAACGCGGGGACTCCGGATCCGGCTGGCTGGAACGGGAGTCCCGGGCCGGGGCAGAGAGAGGTGAGCGGCGCCTGGGAGGCCAGTCCCACCGGAGGATAGGGGTGTAGGTGGACGGGAGGCGGTGGAGGGCAGGGACGGGGCGGACAGTGGGGGCTGAGGCGGGAGACGGCCCCGATCTGCGCGTCCCACCCCCATCTCCGCCCACCAGGAGCCAGGCCAGCAGGGACCGCGAGGGGGCGGCCAGGTTATTCACGGGAGTGGGGAGACCCCTTAAAGCGCCCTCAGGGACCGGCCACAGTGGGCGGGGCCACCCCCAGCCACCCACCTCCCCCCCCAGGCCCCGCCCCCGGCCCGCGCTCGCTCCCCACGTGGCCGCTGACGGGCGGGGCGGCACCTCCTCTTCCTCCCGCCCGCCCCGCCCGCCCCGCGCCCGCCAGGAGCCACCGTCCGAGCCTTGCGGAGCGCGGCAGTGGGCGCCGGCTGCCCGCAGCCCCTGACCCGGCCCCGGACGGAGCGCCGGCCGCACCACCGCCCTCTGGCCGTTGCCTCACCGGGTAAGTCCTTGGCCTCGGGGTCCGCTTGGAGCTTCAGGGGAAACTGAGTCCGGGAGGAGGCAGGGGCGTGCTTGGGTCCAGGAGCGAGGTTCCGGGCTGCGGCGTGTGTGCCCAGGTGGCGGCGGGCGGTCCGGCGGCGCAGGGTACAGTTCCCGGGCGGGGACCCCAGGGCGCCCCTGGCCCCCCCGGCTCCGCGCGCCCCGCTCGGGACTATGGTCCTCCGCGCCGAGGCACCGCCCGAGCGCGCACTGGCCGCAGAGTGGTGGGCCCAGGGTCGGCCGGGCCTACTCCCAGGGCAGGCGGGATTTCCGCGCCTCGCGGCTGCCACATCCTGACCATGAATCAGCCACAGTTGGGAAAATAAACTTCAACTTCGGGTCCGCCGCCCGGGTGGCACCCCGAGGTGCGCGCCGGCCTGCGGCCCCACCCTGACTGCTTGGCTTCCAGCTGCCCACGCGCAGGTGGGCGCACAGGGAGCCCTTCCCACCCCGCAACCGCTGGCAGGCTTAGGGGAATCAGCCTCCATCACAGCTCTCTGTTCCTTTTGGGTGGGGTAGGATCCAATCCCTGTACGCCCCCAGACCCACCCGTCAACCCTCTAACTGGGGAGTCGCCCCAGGAGTGACCATGACTAAGGAGGGGAAGGCGGGGTGACCAGCTGTGTCCCTGACCGTCCCCAATGCCCCCTGGGGAGCACAGGCGTGGGGGGTGGTCTGTCTGTCTGGGCCTTCTGGGGCTCAAGCTCCCCACCCAGGGCTCCCGCAGCTCAGCTGTGACCACAGCATTACTGCCCACTCCAGCTGGACACACCAGGAGGCAGAGAGGCAGAGACCCTGCCCAGGCAGGGAACCAGGAACCCAGGAACCGGGCCAGAGGTCAGGCACACCCAGAAGGCGCTGGACGTAGGAAATTCCCTTACTGCCAGCCCTGCCCCTCCGTCTGGCACTGGAATGGAGCAGGATACTCGCCCTCTTCCGGCCTCAGTTTCCACATCTGCACTCTGAAGGGTGGGACAGCAGCTCAGGCTGGGACCTGCTCCCTGCCGCCCTGCACTGGGAAGGTGGGGTCCCAGAGCAGTGCCTCAGACCCCGAGGGTGCCACCCAGCCAGGGGCTTTTGGGGTGTCGGTGCTCAGCCCCCAGTGCAGCAAATAGTAGCATTGGGTTCCAGGCCTGGGGTCTGAGACCTCACACTGCTCCCACCCCTACCAGGGCAGCAGCAATTTTCTGTTCTAAAAGCCAGGTTGGTGCAGTGGGCCCTGCCCAGGCCCTGCCCTCCCATCCCTGGACTGTCATGGGCCCTGCAGCCCGGCAAAGGGGATGTCGCTAGTGGGGACGGACCAAGTGGCCAGGTGCGACTGTAGCCTCCACAGCCAGGGCTCCTGAGTTAACCTTCAGGTGAGCGCCCACTTTGTGGAGGAGCTGACGGCTGTCAAGCGAATGACACACACCGCACATGTGGGGACGTGGAAGCTCCTACCTGAAATAGACTCTGCGCCTTCCATCAAAGTGCAGTTACTTCCTGGGTTGGAAAAGTTATGCGGTTCATGCAGGCTGCGGGAGGGGTGGGTGGTGACTGGAAAGTGATGCGGTGCTGCCTGTGGGTGTGGGGCAGGACGCAGCTGGCCCAGCTCTGGACGGGGACAGTGAAGTAAGCTCAAGCCCCTGGCTTTTTGCTGGTGCCTGGAGGTCAAATTTCCCTGTAGTCAGGAATGAGACCTGACTCCCTGCTGCCAGCCCCTCCCCTACCTCCATCTTGCAAACAGCAGGTGTCTGATAGGTGTGTGGTTCATGGCCCAGTGGACACATTACATTGGAGAAGGCACACCCACCTCTGTTTTCAGGATGGTGGACGGGAAGGCCGGGAGGTGGAGGCCACATAGGAGCCAGTCTCTGGAGGGTGGTCCCCAGGGGCCACAGCAGACCCAGGCCTAGTGGACACCTAAAGTCAAAGACTAAGTTCTACCAACGGTGGGAAGGAGAGAGGGCAGGGGCACGGGCTCCCCGTCGCTGGAGGGGTGAGCAGGGTCCAACCACCTGGCCCCCTGTTAGAGAGGCTTCCACTCCTGCCAGCCTCACCCTAGGAGGGAGAGTCCTGCCTGGTCTGCCTCTGAGCACCCAGACAGCCTGGGTCCTGAGCTGGGGTGAGGTCTGCTCACACAGCTGCCCCCCAGCCCAGTGCCGGTATACCCTGGCAACCACCAGGCCAGGAGAGCAGGGCAGACCGGTGGTGCCTGTCCTCTCCTGAGGGGCCGTCCTCTCTCACAGCCCTTTCTAAGCTGTAATTAAATAAGGAACCACAGGGGTTGCTTAGGGTCGCCCCTCTGAGGGCTCATGTCAGTCCCCGAGGGCCAGCCTCAGGCCGGGTCTGTCCACTCACCATTCACGCCAGCCTGGGCAGGGTCTGTGTGCTGGGTGAGTGGGTGAGGAGGAAAGGAATGAGCCAGCCTGCGGGGTCCCTCCGCACGGTCTCCCACCCTCATCCCTCCCAGTGCGACGTGGGTCCTGCAGGAGCGTTCATTTCACAGGTGAGGCGCGGGACAGTCGGTGCCATTTTACACTCAGTGCCATCCATTCTGCCAGGAGGTGCTGATAAAGCCCCTACTGTGTGCATCTGCCCTTGTGCCCAGAGCCTGGAGCCCAGCCCCGCTCAGCACGGTGCCAGGCAGGTGCAGGGCACTTACTGGGGGTCAGGGTGCAAATGGGCTGGCCCCACAGAGTAGCTGGAGGCCGAGGCCCCCCAGCCCTTGTTGCTACCACTGGGGTAGGCTCAGGGTGCTGGCACTGCCACTCTGGGAATAGGACAGGCCTGTCCTGGTCAAGTAGCCATTACCGGGCCTCCAAACTCGGGGGTTGGTGGGGCAGGAATAGGCCCGCCCTCCAGGCAACCACCTGTGTCACTCCAGAGCAGCCCATGCAGACAGACAACTGCCCAAGGGCCAGCCTGGACCCCGGAGCCCTCCCAGCCAGTCGGCCTGGGTCACAGCCTGGGTGGAATGACCAGTGTGGTCACAGCCCAGATGGGATGACTAGCGTGAAGGCCCTGAGGACCTTGCCACGCCAATGGCCAAGGGCAAGGGCCAAGGCTGCTTTCCTCTTTCGCCTGCAGCTTTTCCCAGAGGCAGCAGGGAGGGAGAGAGAGGTACCAGGAGAGTCCTGAGAGAAGGGCCAGCCTGGGCTGCCCCGAGCCTCTGTGCCCTCAGTTCACTCCTGTTCTCACCCCAGAAGGGTGACTGGCCGTGGCTGGGGCACCCTCCATCTCCCTCAGCCCCAACCTCTGTCTGTTGGAAATGGCATGGAGACCCAGAAGGAGCAGATGGGCACCACTGGAGGCCTGGCCAGGCTCCTGGCCGCCGATCAAGGCCTTTGCAGGGTCAGAGGGACATGGGAAGATGCTGCCAAGGCCCCTGGCCCTGGTGCCCTGGGCAGGGACCCTGTGCTCCCGTGCTGTGACAGCGTTATACCACCCCACCTGCTTCCTGTGACCTGGACACAGTCTGAGCACCCCAAGGTCCAAAGTGGGAGAGGTGGGGTGGGGGAGAGGGAGTGGGGTGGATTGGAGGGCTGTCCTACTGTTACAGGGCTCTGCCCCGGGCCCACCTCACAGTGAAGGCAGAGGCCCCCAGGCAGCCCTTGGTGGGCCAGAACTCAACCAGGAGCCACACTGGGGGCGGAGGGCAGGCTGTCTGCTTCCCATTTTGCAGACGAGGGCTAGTGTCAAAGCCTAGCTTTGAGGCTAACCCAGGGCACAGTTGAGGAGGGAGGGAGAGGGAAGCAGTGGCCGCTGAGCACACCAGCCCCGGGTAGTGGCTTTTCTGTATCATCTCCAAGCCCCCATTCAGCTGCTGTGGGCAGAGGCCAGCCCCAGCCCCTCGCTCTGCCCAGCGAGTGGCCAGCTGCCCAACACGCATGGAGTCCCAGTGGGCATGGCCAGTGGTGCAGGGGTTTGTTCGTGCCTGAGCTGTCCTGGCCCTCGCCGGGTCGGGGGTGGACGTGGCCAGCTGTGCGAGGAGGGCCAGCATCCCACTGGCCTCCATCTCCCCATCTGTACCTGGGTCCTTGCAGGCCCTGGGACATGGCCTCGGTGTACAGCCTGCCTGCCCCACCCTCTGTGCCCCCGGGTCCCTGTTCCTGCTCCAGGCACAGCTCAGACTGTCGCCTGCACCCAGCCTACGCTGGGAGGAGGACACAGGGTGGGGGTGAGGGAGTAGCCACCTGTCCCCACCTGCCTCTGCTTCCACCTTGTGCACAGACATGAGTGGCCTGAGAACGGGAGCCCCTTGGGGACACCCAGGGCCCCTGCCTATGCTTCCATGTGCAGAGGGCCCCCCCGGCTGCCCCTTCCCTGGGCCAGGCCAGGCTGTGGAGGTGCAGGCCCAACAGTGAGGGGCTGCCTGCAGGAGCTGGCAGAGCCATGGGCCGGACCCAGGAGGGGCCACACGGGCGGTGCTGGCACAGCCAACCCAGGTCAGAGCTACGGGGCCCTGGAGAACATCCTGGCCATTTTACAGATGAGAAAACTGAGTCCAGAATGGGCCTGGCTGTCCCAGGCCCCTGGCACCCTCGTGTCCCAGCAAGCATTGCCAAGCGGCATGTTGCACCCACGCTGAGGATCTTGTTTGCCCAGTTGGGCCTGACGGGCTCCCTGGCACTGGCTGCCTGGAGCAGAGGTCAAGAGACGCTGAGCAGGGGCTGGGAAGATTCATGCAACGTCCTAGCTCCGTCCCAGCCGCCAAACAGGAGGTGGGCTGAGTGGGAAGGCGGGCGGTCAGTGCGTGGTTATGCACTGGCATTACAGGTGGCATCTCGTCAATCTGTCAGTAAGCTGTGGGGGTGGCATTGACACACTCATCCGCATTTGAGGACAGGAACCAGGAGATCCTATGGGTCACAGGCCGGTCAGCGGAAGAGCCCAGTCTCACCCTGAATCAGAGCCGTCCCCCACCCTGGGCCCTGGTAGCAGCCCCTGGCCGTGCTGGGTGCGCAGGCTCAGCCTCTCCCCCACTCTCAATCTGTCTTTGTTCTCCCTGCTCCTGGGAAGGCAGCTGCTAGCGGGGATGTAGGCTGGGGGCAGGGACCATGGAGCCTGGCTCGTGGGCAGGCAGCGGGCAGCCGTCTTGTCTTGGCACAGGCAGGGTGGGGGCTGGACACCCTGGGGCCCAGCTAGGCACACAGCAATCAGGACCTGAACCCTGAAGCCGGGGCCTGGCTCCAATGAGCTGCTGCCCTTCCCCCTCCCAGGTTGAGAGAGGCTTTTTCTGAGGACAGAGGAGGGACCTGGGGCCTCGGAGGAGGCATCTCTGAGTATGTCTGGTCCGGGGGGAGGAAACCCAGGTGGGAGGATTCTGGTGACGAGCTCCTGGCCACCTGCCCTCATTGCCCAGCAGACCCCCTGCAGGGTACGTCTGGGGCCTGCGATAGGCCAGCCCTGGGCTCATGCCACCTGCAGGGCCTGATCAGGCCCTGTGCCCTTCCCAGTCCCTAACCACAGATCTGTACACGTCACTCCCAGCCACAGCCATGGTAGGTGCTGGCAGGCCCTCAGGCCCAGGAAGTACTTCCATGTAGCCGCTCGTCCCCCCATGCCTCTCCCTGGGCCCCCAGACTCCAGCCCAGACCCCTGAGAACGCCAGAGGTGACCAGGCCCTCAGGGAGCACCCCGTTGGCCCTGCTGTTTGTGCAGTGGAGACACTGTGGCCTGTAGAAGGCCCATTCGGTGACTGGCGAGCCGCCCACCCACCCAGGCCCTGCACACCCTCAGTGCAGGTGGAAGCGAGAGCTGGGCTTCCTGGCGTGGGGCCTCCGCCCTTCCTGTCCTCCCTTGCCTGGGCTGCGCTTGCCGACTCTCCTCCCAGTGACCCCTCCTCCCAGTGAGCCGGGGCATTTCCTGTTTGCTGCATCCCCCTACCCCCCCTACAGAGTCACCCTCCTCCCTGTGGCTTCCACAGGGCTCTGTTCCTAACCCAGGAAGATGTACCTTCCCCAGGCCCATTGTCTGCCCCAGATCCTGGGGACACAGAGAGCCCAGCTGTAGCCTGGCTCCCGGGCCAGTGGTGTCCCCTGGCGTTCAGTGCTGGCCAGCCCGGACCCCCCAGCCACCTCCACCGACACTTGCCAGAGTGCCATGAAGGACCCCTGGCCCCCAGCTCTGCTCTCTGGGTGACCCAAGCAGGGGCTACCACCGCTCTGAGCCCAGCTTCCCTCTGTGAGATGTTGCTGTCTTTTGATCATTTTGCTTGCTTTCTTCCTCAGTATGAAACGACCATATTCATCCGAGATGCAGCTTCAGTTAGTGATTGGGCAGGTGTCCCGGTGGTATCGCACCCACCATGTGATTGAAATCCGTCACCATGCGGCCTGCTTCCCATCTTTGTCTTCTGATCATGATGCTGCTGAGAGCGCCTTTCTGCCCACCTGCTCCCAGGGGGCCCTTCTGTCCTGCTGTGGGTCCTCACAGTGGCCCGGGGGCCCTCTTTGCACAACAAGCGGAGTTCAAGATCTTGGAGGGCTTTGGAGGCAGGAGCCTTGCACTCCATCCAGATCTTGGGGACTGCAGGTGGCATGAGGGCTGGAGTGCTTCTTGGGTGTGAGACGGGCCAGGTGACAGTGAGGACACAGCCAGCCCTCACCAAGGCCCAGTGCGCCCCATGCCCCTGGACACGTGGCAGTGGGTGGACCCCCATCCTCACCTGCCTTGAGGCCCCCTGTGCACAGACCCTCCCTGGGCCTTGCCGGCAGTTGGTGAGCCACCAGGTCAGTAGAGGTCCCTCAAGGGGCTGTTGGCCTGGTGGGGAAGGTGACACATGCTGGAGGCTCAAAGGAGCTGGGAGTCTGAGTGTGAGGGAGGGGAATGGGGGTCATGGTAGGGCAGGTTCAGCTCCAGGTGCCTCCACCGCCCTGCAGGGCCTGGGCTGCCCAGAACCCCGGGGTGCTGCCAGGAACGCGTGCAGTCCTGGAGATCCATGGGTTGCCAAGCAGTGGAAAAATTGGGGCTCTCGGAGGAGCTAAAAATACAGTGTGGCAGCCCCTGCCTCCTAGTTCCGGAATCCTCTCCTGCCGTTCTGCCCACCCACCCCGTGGAAGACAAGCTCCCTCCCTGCACCCCCACCACCAACGCTGGCTCAGGGCCCAGAAGCACCCAGCCCTGTGCCAGTGCCAGAAGGGCGACACCACAGCTGCCTGCCCACTCCCAGGCAGCAGCCCCCCACAGGTGCTCATGTGCCCAGCCAGTGCCTGCCCTACCCCCGCCACTGCTTCAGGGTCCCCAGAGCCCCTTGGTCCCAGGCACAGTAGGCAGTACCTGCCACCCCAGGGCTGCCAGGCTCAGGGCTTGGCCTGTTCCTCGTGGGGAGCCTGGACCCAGGCAGACCTCTCCCTTCCCTACCAGTGGGGACTTCACAGGGGAGGGGGCTGTCCCAGGCAGACTCAGAACATGTCACAGCGGGGGCCTCCAGGCCCATTGGTGCTGGCCGAGGGCATAGGAGCTCCCACACTGTGCTGTGGAAGGCCCTCCTCGCCTGGCTCCTGGGAGGCAAGTGAGGGAGCCGAGGCCTGGGGGCTTCAGTGGCTGGCTCAGGTCCCTCGCGTGCTGGGATTCAAGTCTGGGTACCCTAACCCTGGCCTGTGTGCCGCTCAGAACCATGGGCCCATGCAGGAGCCCCCAGCTACTCTCCACAGCTCGGTGCTGGGCCTGCCTCAGGAGCCCACACTCCCTGGCTCTGGTTTTCTGTCTGCACCGCAGGGGCTAGGCACATGGCTGCAGGTCTAGTGAAGGCCAGCATGGCCCTGTCCCCACCCACACCACACACTCAGCTTGACTGTTGACTGCTAGGCGGGGCGGTGGCCCGGTGGCTTCCCGAGAGTCAGTGCAGCTGCCCTAGCATGTAGGCATTCGGATGGAGGTGCTGGCATCACCACACCAGGCTGGCCAGGCCCAGGCCCAGAGGGGGACCCTGCCTGCCAGAGCTAGAGTCAGGGGAGAGGCATGGCCCCGTCCTCTGGAAGCCCCAGGCTATTGGTTGACAAAAGCAAGTGCTGAAGAACCATGGTGATGTCCCACTAGCATGGGTGGGGTGAGCCCCTCAGACCTCAGAGTCTTCATCTGCAAAAGACCCTGCCCTGTGCAGTTCCATTGGTGCTGGTGGACTGCCGGGGGGGGTGGATGGGACGCCCCTTCTTGGTGCCCTGACCCTTTTGCTGTCCAAGGCATGGGGTCTGGCCTGAGCCATGGGTACTGGGCCCTGCAGAGCCTGGATGGTCCTGCCCTGCCTCAGCCAGAGCTGGTGCCGGCTGTAGAAAAGATTGCGAAGAACGCAAATTCCTGTGCCTGTGGGGAGGTGGCCACGCCCTACAGCCGGGGCTGGGGAGCTCTGAGGACACATTCCTGCGCTGGTGGCCCCGCCAACCCACTTTCCAGATGGAGAGCAGAGGGGAAGGGTAGCCTGCCCAGGGGCACACAGCTCAGCAATGAGACTCCCGCCCCCTTCCCTTCTCAGTTGGCACTGGCACCTTCCAGCGTATTGTTCCCCATAGCCCCGTGCCCCTGAGATCAGTAAACTGTGGATTCCTTCTGGAATCCTTGCAGAAGTGGACACCACCCCCCAGTGAGAACAGGCAAGGCTGTTTTTGCAGAGCTCGCTGTAGCAGGGAGTCGGCCACCGCCACCCGCGTTTAGCAGAGACTCACAGGCGGGCGGGGGAGTGGGAAGCCTCATGGTTTTCTCATATGGATAATTCACTCTATACATAGAAAGCTTTTTATAGACACAGGGAAGGCTCGGGGATGCCCTGAGAGAGGCTGCTGGCTGGAATTTGGGCTCCTATGAGATGAGACAAAAATCACAGAAGCTGTCAGTTATTACCCAGGTCCCAGCCATTTGGGGCCAGTGGCCAGATTGCGGGTCAGAGTGCTGCATATATGGTCTGGCCGTGGTGTGTTTGCAGGTTCAGCCTCATGCTGAAAAGCAGTTGGAACATTCTCCGGTGTAGAGCCTGACGGGGGGCCTGGGTGAGATCGGGCAGCCTTGGCAGCACCACAGAAGGAGGAGAGCAGCTCCGGCCTCAGCCTCCGGGGCCTCAGCCGGAGCCCTGTCTATGCCGGGCCGCAGCCCAGCGAGACCCTGTTACACTCACTGCCCCCAGACAGCACCCGGTGGGACACGGCCAGCTGGGGCAGCTCAGACACAGAGCCAGGCACCCAGGCACGGGGGTATAGGAACCTGATGGGCAGGAGGGCCAGTTTCCTCCCACCGTGGCTCCACCCCACTGACCAAGGGGGATCCTCTTGACTGGGGTCTTTCAGGGGCTTGCACAGGGCAAGGAGCGCTGGGCAGTGCCAAGAGGGGCAGTACTCAGGTCAGGGAGCATCTTCTGTGTCCAGGGACACCCTGGGGCCTGGGGCACGGTGGCTCTCGGCGGCACTGCTTGTCTCTAAAAGGTCAGGATTTTTTGCATGGAGGGACCCCCGGGGCTCTTGGCTGGAGAGGACACTCTGGATGCCAGGGGCCGGGCCTGGGAGAGTTCATAACTCCGTCCACTCAGCCTGTGCCAAGGGGACAGGGACTCCGGCCAATGGAGGCGGGGGAGGAAAGGAGGGTCAGTTCTGGGGCCTCTTTAGGCAGCAACAGCCAAGGCGGGTGGGAATATATGCAGAGGCCCGGCTGCCTGGCTCTTCATGGTGGTGGGAGCAACCCTACTGCCACCAGGAGGGGCGTTGGGGACCTGAGGCTGCCTGGGAGGGACCCGGCTGTCTCTGGCAGCTCAGCGGTCAGCAGCGATGAGAAGCCAGGGGAGCGTGAGGAGCAGCCCAGGACAGGGCCCAGAGTGGGTGGGCAGAGGTGGCCGGAAGGTCTTGCGCATCTGGGTGAGTGGACGGCCACTGGGTGACCAAGAGGGCCGGGCCTGGGAGGGTGGCTTAAAACCACAGTGCACCGGGGGCTCCGGGCTCTCCGTTCTACAGTGCCCAGACCAGGACCCCCTGCAGGGAGGAGGGGCATCCCAAGGACAGCCTCTCAGGATGCTCCTGGCAGCCTGGTGCTGGAGGTGCAGAAGAAGAAACTGAGGCCCAGGCAGGATGAGTGACTGGGCCAAGGTCTGCTGGTGAGGGCCCGGGCTGGGGACATGCAGATCAGAACCCTGGCTTACACCTGTCAGGCTGCCTCCTGGAAGGAGCCCACTGGCCCCCTGGGGCAGTTGGACAGGTGGAGGGCTGAGGGGCGGTGCGGGGAGTAGGGGCTGGACTGCCGGAAACACCAGGCTTGGTCGTGGACCAGGCTGGGGAGTGGGCCTGAGACCTCAAGGGCAGGTGCTCCAGGACACTCTCCCAAGGCAGGAGGGGAGGAATAGAGCCTCCTGGGGAGGCAGGCGCTTGGGTGCTCGACCCCGCTCAGCTCCCGTGACCTCAAATGCCCTTCAGCCTGGGGTCCCCTGACTTACCGGGTTGGGCAGCACTTGAAGCAAAGCCATGTGGGACCTCCAGTCACAGCCCAGCCGTGCCCAGGTGTGGGACTGTGGGCACAGACCCAGCTTCTCTAGGACCCAGCCGCCTCCAGTTCCCCACCTGTTGTGGGAGGTATAAAGTGCCTGCCTTGGAGGTGGTGGGAAGCCGAGGGCCAGGGTGGAGAGTGCTGGGCCGGGGTGGAGGCTCAGAGCGTGTCCCTGCCAGGCCCGGCCCCCTAGCTCCCTCCCCGAGGCTCCACGCTGCTGTTCTCAGACGCTAAATATAAGATCTAAGCCATACATGGTTGCAGGAGGGCCTGGGATGCCCCTGACCTTCGAGGCCAGTTCCCAGGGTCTGTGGTTGGGGACAGCGGCTGGGGGGATGTGGTGGCGTGGAGCTGATGTCAGAGGTGCAACCCGCCTGTCCTGCTGTTCTGTTTTGGGGAAAGGCACGTGTTGGGGCTCTTCTGGGCTGGGCCTGTTACCTACCCGGGTGTTCCCAGGGCTGGAGTCAGACCTGTTGCGACTGAATCCTGGTAAAACCCTGAGTGCCAAGGGTTTCCGTCTTCCTGTTGGTGTGGGCCCCCTACCCACATGCAGACGGGCAGACTGAGGCCCAGGGGAGACCTGGGAGTCGCCCCTCCTCCCCAGCCACGCTGCTGACGCTGTGGGCACCCCAGGCATGCCTGAGGTTTGGAATCTCCCTGTCCATATTGTCCACTGGGGCGGGGGAAGTGCCCTGGGGTGAGATAAGGCAGCCTCAGATGCGCCGTTTTGTCGCATCATTACCGTGGGTAATGTTCCAGCCAGGGGAGCCTCCCGCTCCCCCGAGTCCTCCCCAAGCTCATCCGGTCCCGTCACTCTGCAGGGGCCGTGCTGGCCTCGTGCTGCAGGTTTCTGAGCCGGCTCCTCCCCTCCCAGCCCTGAGCCTCGGGGTCCTCATGCGCGCAGTAGGGCCCTTCCTGCCTGCCGCCTCGGTTGCTGAAATTCGGTCAGGGATGGGTACAGGGAAGCCTAAGATATAGTGGGGGACACAGTGCTACCCCTAACCCTCAGCATGGCACGTGAGCAGGAATTGCAGCAGAGAAACTGAGACCGAGGGAAGTGGCCCCGCCTGCGCTGGTGGCCAGGAGGACAGCCCCCATCCCCTCCCCGCTGACGGCTCCCTGCCCTCTGCCTGCAGCTCGGCAAGATGTCGGTGAAGGAGGGCGCACAGCGCAAGTGGGCAGCGCTGAAGGAGAAGCTGGGGCCACAGGATTCGGACCCCACGGAGGCCAACCTGGAGAGCGCGGACCCCGAGCTGTGCATCCGGCTGCTCCAGATGCCCTCTGTGGTCAACTACTCCGGCCTGCGCAAGCGCCTGGAGGGCAGCGACGGCGGCTGGATGGTGCAGTTCCTGGAGCAGAGCGGCCTGGACCTGCTGCTGGAGGCGCTGGCGCGGCTGTCGGGCCGCGGCGTTGCACGTATCTCCGACGCCCTGCTGCAGCTCACCTGCGTCAGCTGCGTGCGCGCCGTCATGAACTCGCGGCAGGGCATCGAGTACATCCTCAGCAACCAGGGCTACGTGCGCCAGCTCTCCCAGGGTGAGCCGCAGTGTGGGAGGGCCGCCCAGGCGGACGCTGGGGACCTGGTATGAGGCTTCAGGCCCAAAAGGCCCCGGGAGGCCTGGGGAACCACCAGGAGGAAGCGCAGCCAGGCAGGCAAGGAGGGCTTCCTGGAGGAGGACTGGCTTCCTGGGCTCAGGAAAAACATCCACATTCACTCCGAGTCTGAGGCTTCCAGGTCACCCCAGTCCCCGCACTGCTGCACCAGCGGTCCCCCTGTGCCCCTCTCTGTTGTGTGGCTCTGCCCCACCCTTCCTCCCCGTCCTGTGCTGGCTCCCACCCTCTGGGCTCTCTGCCCTCGTCCACACCTCGGCGGCAGGAGTCACTGAGTCAGAGATGCGAATCCACCCGAGTGGCTCCCTACATACACCTGCCTAGCTCCAAGCCCTTCAGCCTCAGCCCAGACAGAGCCCTTGAGGTCTGGCCCACACCTACTGATGGTGTCACCCTCCACCTCCCAGCGCCTTCCCTAGCGCCTCCCTCCCCGCCCTGTCCCCTACTCCAGCACCCAGGGGACTCGTTCCCGGCAGGCAGGCAGGCCCTTGGTCTCTGCCTCTGCTCGTGTTTTCTGCCTTTGCGTCCTCCAAGGTCCTGCGCCGCTAAGCCTTTAAGCCCCAGCTCACTTTCCTGTCCTCCAGGAAGTCTCCCCAGGCTGTGCCCAAAGTTAGTCCCGGTCCCTTGAGAGAAACCCTTGCTGTGCCACTCCATGGCTGCTGCCAGGTCCTACCGATGCTTGGGGACGAGCTAGGGTGGGCAGTGATGGGCGGGGCTGGGCCCATGGGGGCGGCAGTTACCTGTGCAGGCAAGCAAGCCAGAGGCGCCTCGTTTCTGTCGGACCCAGGGGACAGAGGCAGGTGTAGGGGCCAGCCATTCTCAGCCCGTCTCCCCAGCCTGGGCCTGGCAGGGCCCCTCTATGGAGTCTTTTGTGAATTGTTCTCAGCAGGGTCAGATGAGAGACACCCCCAGAACTTTCACAGCTCCAGATGGGGTGGGAGGCAGGGGTTCATAGGAATGAGGTTGTGTCTGCCATAAACACAGTAAGTGCTGCATTGGGAGAAAAGCTGGGCCCAGAGCCAGTGACAGGATGGGGCAGCTGCCTCCAAGCCCTTCCCTGCAGGGTCTGGCCCTGTGGTCCAGGAGCAGGGCCAGGACACCGAGGAGTGGGGCACCTCGTTGGGTCCCAGCCCACTGCTGTGGGCCACAGACAAGTGCCCGGCACCCCCTGGCGTCTGCCTGCCAGGCCCAGAGCCCCAGCCCTGAGCCCAGCTGCACAGGCATGGGAAGGGGTGCATTGGCCCTGCTGAGCCTGCCCACTCCACCCTGGCAGCCCTGGACACATCCAACGTGATGGTGAAGAAGCAGGTGTTTGAGCTACTGGCTGCCCTGTGCATCTACTCTCCCGAGGGCCACGTGCTGACCCTGGACGCCCTGGACCACTACAAGGTGGGCGGCAGGGCCTGGGCCTGGGCACATGGGGCTCCCTGCCTGGGTGTGCCCTGACCCCGCCCTCCCCACAGACGGTGTGCAGCCAGCAGTACCGCTTCAGCATTGTCATGAACGAGCTCTCCGGCAGCGACAACGTGCCCTACGTGGTCACCCTGCTTAGCGTGATCAACGCCGTCATCTTGGGCCCCGAGGACCTGCGCGCGCGCACCCAGCTGCGGAACGAGTTTATCGGTAAGCACCTGCCCTGGGCCGCATGCCCGCTCCTGCCCGCCTCTTGGCCAGTGCATCCCATGCTGCATCCACCTGGGGAGGTGGGAGCGCCACAAAAGCTGCCCCCGACCCAGGGCCCCAGAGGAAGGCGCCATCTCGGGCCTGCCACCACCTGCCCCTTCAATGGACACAGGCCTCAGAACGCCTGGGGGTCAACCCTGGACCGTTCTCATTTGTGAGACTGGCCAGGCAGTGGAGCCGGACAGGGGGCCTGAGACCTCGTTCTAGCCCTGCCAGTTCTGGCAGTGAGCCCTGAGTAAGCATCACTGTGTGTCCAGCATGATGTCTCCCCTCCAGAGCCTCAGGTCTCTGGTGTCCCATGAGTGCAGCAGGGCAGGGTCAGGTGCTCTGGGTGGCAGAAGTGAAATGGGGAAGGCGGGGAGTGGCCTCCGAACCCTCTGACCCTGTCCGTCCCTTCCCAGGGCTGCAGCTGCTGGACGTCCTGGCTCGCCTGCGGTGAGTCCCCACTGTAGCGGTCCTGCCGGCTCCCCCTCCTGCTCCCAAGGCCAGGCCCACCTGCCCTTTGGCTCCCAGCCACCTCACCTAAGCAGCACCTCCAGATGGCAGGGAGGTGGCTCCCTCGGAGTAACCCCAGGGGTCCAGCCAGAAGCCAGGTCTCAGGCTAGAATCCAGCTCACTGTCCCTGGCAGCTGCCCACAGAAACTAGGGTTGCAGCAGCCATAGAAAGGACAGAATGAGCTCATATCCTTTGCACACCGTGGATGGAGCTGGAGGCCGTGATCCTAAGTGAACCAACCCAGAAACAGAAAATGAAATGCCAATAAGAGGGAACTACAGGGTGGTTCACGTGGACGCAAGATGGAGACAGGGACACGGGCTCCAGGGCGAGAGTTGAAAAACTACCTACAGGGTACAGTGTTCGTCGCTACTTGGTGTCAGGCCCACTAGAACAAGGGTCCCCAACCGCCAGGCTGCGGACCGGTACCTGGCCTATTGGAACCGGGCCACGCAGCAGGAAGTGAGCGGTGGGCGGGCATTCCTGCCTGAGCTGCACCTCATGTCAGATCAGCACTGCATTAGATTCTCCAGCGCACGCACGCGCGCAAGGGATCCAGGCTGCGCGCTCCTCATGACAATCTAATGCCTGATGATCGGGGGTGGAACAGTTTTATCCCTAAACCATTCCCGTCACCCCAGTCTATGGAAAAATTGTCTTCCACAAAACCAGTCCCTGGTGCCAAAAAGGCTGGGGACCACTGCCCTAGAAGGCAAATCGCCTACGTTACACAGTGTACCATGTGGCAAACACGCACATGTACCCCCGAGTCTAAAATAAAAATTTTTTAAAAAAGAAACTAGGGTTGCCAGGTACTGTATGGGACATGCAGTTCATTCAGGTTTCAGATACACAACAGACGATATTTTGGTGTAAGTATATCCCAGATGTTGCATGGGATATACTTATGCCAAAAGTTATTCATTGTTTGTCTGAAATTCAAATTGAACAGGTACTCTGTAGTTTCATTTGCTAAATCTTGCAGCCCTGCTGGGAACCCACATAGCTGAGAAGCTCTATCCAGGCCTCAGTCAGGACTGTACTCAGGGGGGTGTCCTTACACCCAGGGAAATCAGCTTGGAGGAGCCCAGGGCTAGAATGCCTGGTGTTGAAATGGCCTCAGGGGCCAGGCGCGGTGGCTCACGCCTGTAATTCCAGCACTTTGGGAGGCCAAGATGGGCAGATCACCTGAGGTCAGGAGTTCGAGACCAGCTTGGCCAACATGGTGAAACCCCATCTCTACTAAAAGTACAAAAATTAGCTGGCCGTGGTGGCATGTGCCTGCAATCCCAACTACTCAGGAGGCTGAGGCAGGACAATCATTGGATCCCAGGAGGTAGAAGTTGTAGTGAGCTGAGATCGTACCACTGCACTCCAGCATGGGTGACAGAGCGAGACTCCATCTCAAAAAAAAAAAACAGAAATGGCCTCAGCAAAGTTTGCCCACATGGGTGCCTGTGCCCCACCAGTGTGGGCTGAAGGGGGCCGGCCCTGCCTGCGGAGGGCTGTGCTCATTGACCAGACTGAGATGACTGGCAAGTCCTAGGCCCAGTGAACACTAAGTTTCCTCCTGCTCAGGCCAGAGCCCCGCCCCTCCTGTATCCATGCAGCCCTGTGGACCCACCTCAGGTGTGGTCTTCACTGTAGTCACGCAGCGCCCAGGGGAGGGCCTTCCCTCCCCCAAGGTCACGGCCCGGTTCCATTGTGTGCCACCTCCCCAGGCCTTGGTGCACGTTACTCGATGGGAGTGGGCATACTCGCCCTTCCCCTTCCCCAGGGGCGTGCGGGTGCCTGGTGACCCGGGGGCAGCCTGGCAGGGCGCAAGGCACTGACCTGGGAGCTGCCACTCTTAGGTCGCTATCCCTGGCTATGTGGGTCACATGTCAGCCACAGCTGGCTATGGCCTGGCTCAGAGTCCCAGGTGGGCTGAGCGGGGCTGGTACACTGGCGCTGACCCAGGCTGCCCCGCCTGCGTGTTGGTGGTGGCAGCAGCAGGCTTAGCCCACCTGGCCCCTCCTGCACAGAGACCTGGAGGATGCCGACCTGCTGATCCAGCTGGAGGCTTTCGAGGAGGCTAAGGCCGAGGACGAGGAGGAGCTGCTGCGAGTCTCTGGCGGGGTCGACATGAGCAGCCACCAGGAGGTCTTTGCCTCCCTGTTCCACAAGGTGGGCTGGGGGCTGCAGGGCGGAGGGCAGCCCTCCAGGGCAGGCTGTGGCCCTGAGGTCCAGAGGCTGGGCCTGGAACGGTCCTCCCTGCCCTGGTCAGACCCTGCTGTGACCTGGGCCATGGTGCCAGCTTTGGGGTGAGACTCCAGGGAGCAGCAAGGACCCAGGGGTTGGAAAGGGAGGTGGCGCCTAGAGCGGGCAGCCTGGGGGCCGGGCTGGGCCCTGGGGGCAAAGCCAGGGCCACAGGACCCAGAAGGACGGGGCTCCAAAGACCA
Source organism: Homo sapiens (assembly GCF_000001405.40). Lineage (NCBI taxonomy): Eukaryota > Metazoa > Chordata > Mammalia > Primates > Hominidae > Homo > Homo sapiens. The sequence continues at coordinate 104,706,452 of NC_000014.9, forward strand.
GTGCGGCCCACAGCCGGCCTTACTGTCCTGGGCCCCAGCTGCCCAGTCCCCATCAGGTGGGCTTCAGAGGCCTCAGGGCTTGGTGAGGGGCTAAGAGGCTGAATTCTCGTCAAGCTCAGGCCTTCCCCTCATTCCCTGAACCTTGCAGCTCTCATCTGGGGGCAGTTGTGTCCCCAGGTGGCATCTGGCAACATCTGAAGACATTTTTGGCTGCCACGGCTGGGCAGGGGGTGCTGTTGGCATTGAGTAGGTAGAGACCAGTGGTTCTGTTTAACATCCCATAATGCACAGGACAGTCCCACATGTCACCAGTACCACAGTCGCTGAAACTCTCATCTCTAGGGATCCGTGGGAATAGAGGGGGTGATGGGGCTGGACACCCTGGCAGACAGGCCACAGTCCTTAGTCCACCAGGGAGGGGCCGGCTGCTGACCTGCACCCCACACTCGCCCGTCCAGGTGAGCTGCTCCCCGGTGTCTGCCCAGCTCCTGTCGGTGCTGCAGGGCCTCCTGCACCTGGAGCCCACCCTCCGCTCCAGCCAGCTGCTCTGGGAGGCCCTGGAGAGCCTCGTGAACCGGGCCGTGCTCCTGGCCAGCGATGGTGAGGGGGCGGGGCAGGGGCGTAGGCACAGCCTGGTGGGCAGACACTGAGGTCTTAGACCATGGGGGGGGGAGCCTGCCCTTGGCCCCAACCCATCCTCTGCCCAGGGGAGGTGGCCGCTTTTTCCTGCCTCTTCCTCAAGCCCCCATCCCTCCCTCTCCGGCTCCCTTCTCCCTTGACCCTGGACATCCCCTACTGCAGCCCAGGAATGCACCCTGGAGGAAGTGGTTGAGCGGCTCCTGTCTGTCAAGGGGCGACCCAGACCGAGCCCCCTGGTCAAGGCCCATAAAAGCGTCCAGGCCAACCTAGACCAGAGCCAGAGGGGCAGCTCCCCGCAAAACACTACAACCCCCAAGCCCAGCGTGGAGGGCCAGCAGCCAGCAGCAGCTGCTGCCTGCGAGCCCGTGGACCACGCCCAGAGTGAGAGCATCCTGAAAGTTTCGCAGCCCAGAGCCCTGGAGCAGCAGGCGTCCACCCCACCCCCACCCCCACCCCCACCCCTGCTCCCTGGTTCCAGTGCCGAGCCCCCTCCCCCTCCCCCACCACCCCCCCTGCCCAGTGTGGGGGCTAAGGCCCTCCCAACAGCACCCCCGCCCCCACCCCTGCCAGGCCTGGGGGCCATGGCCCCCCCAGCACCTCCTCTACCACCACCCCTGCCAGGCTCCTGTGAGTTCCTGCCCCCACCACCTCCACCACTCCCGGGCTTGGGATGCCCGCCCCCACCCCCACCCCTGCTGCCTGGTATGGGCTGGGGCCCTCCTCCACCCCCACCTCCACTACTGCCCTGCACCTGCAGCCCCCCCGTGGCGGGAGGCATGGAGGAGGTCATCGTGGCCCAGGTGGACCATGGCTTGGGCTCAGCATGGGTCCCCAGCCATCGGCGGGTGAACCCACCCACACTGCGCATGAAGAAGCTGAACTGGCAGAAGCTGCCATCCAACGTGGCACGTGGTGAGGGTCCCCAGACCCCCAAGGGAAGCTTCCCCTAGGACGGGGGCTGGTCTCTGCTGGGGAGAGGGGCAGGTGGCACATGGAACTTGTGTGCGCGTCCTGCCCGTGCGTGGCCAGGGCAGCCTGGCCCTTGCTCTGGGCTCGGCGCCTGTGGTTGAGGTGGGGACGGGGGAGGAGCAGGGCAGGGGCTACCTCTGAGGACCCCCCTCCACATGCTCCCGTGAGCCAGTGCATCTGGGGTGCCATGGTGCCCTGGGGCCCTGCTACAGGTGCTCAGGTAGGGAGGTAGGGTGCCTGCTGTACGCTGGACCTGGACCTACTGGGCCCCAGGCAGGACATCCTTTAGACCCTCTGGGAGGCTCCAGCCCCTGCCTGCTGGATCGCCAGGCCCCGGGGCTGCGAGAGCCTCACTGGCCGTGTCCCCACCCGACAGAGCACAACTCTATGTGGGCGTCCCTGAGCAGCCCCGACGCCGAGGCTGTGGAGCCCGACTTCTCCAGCATCGAGCGACTATTCTCCTTCCCTGCAGCCAAGCCCAAGGAGCCCACCATGGTGGCCCCCCGGGCCAGGAAGGAGCCCAAGGAGGTGGGGACGGGGAGGGGACTCAGACCGGGGCCGCCTGCCTGGCCACCCTCCGGTACCAGCCTGTTGGGTGGGGGGTTTTCTAGATCACTTTCCTCGATGCCAAGAAGAGCCTGAACCTCAACATCTTCCTGAAGCAATTTAAGTGGTGAGTGAGGGAGGTAGCCCCCATCCCAGGCCACGGAGCCTCGCCTCCACCTGAGCCTTCTGACTTGGGCCCAGCAGTGCCCTCTGCAGGCCGCCATGGGAAGTGCACACTGCATCCCCTAGGCAGGATTGTAGGCGGGTAATAGCCCCATGCTGCCCCAGCTAGGGGCTGTCCAGGCTCCCAGGGACAGAGCGCTGGGACCTCCCCCCACAAGGCCACAGACAAGTAGTGGCTAAACCAGTGGGCCCTGACTCTCAGCCCCCGAGTCCTTTCCTGCTGCGGGTGTCCAGCACTGGCCCGAGGGAGCTGGCTGGACCCGACCCATCCTGCATCTCCTGAGCAGGGCCCATGGAGGGTAGCGAGGGTGGGAGTCAGCCTGGGTCCCCTTCACCGCGTGACCGTGGGCAACAACTCGACTGTTCTGTGTCCCCCCTGCCCTGGCCACCCCATGACTACGTGGGGAAACCCTGCCAGGTGGGGTCCCAAAGAGGCTGGGTGGGGGTGACTCATGATTCACTCACCCCTGCCCGGTCCTCTCCCTGCTCCAGCTCCAACGAGGAGGTCGCTGCTATGATCCGGGCTGGAGATACCACCAAGTTTGATGTGGAGGTTCTCAAACAACTCCTTAAGCTCCTTCCCGAGAAGCACGAGGTAAGAGGACCACCCCCACACCCCACCCCCAGTTAGTGCCACCAACCAAGGGAGAGGCTGTCCCGGGGGCTCCCAGCAGGGAGACAGAGAAGGGAGGCATCCCAGCCCTACCTCTGCCCTGAACCGTGAGCCACAGGGAGCCATGATGGGCACTGGAGGGGCTGAGCCCGGCGGGCAGTCCGGGAGGGCGGGAAGCTGGCATGGGGGGATCCCACATGCCGTTCTCCTCCTGGCAGATTGAAAACCTGCGGGCATTCACAGAGGAGCGAGCCAAGCTGGCCAGCGCCGACCACTTCTACCTCCTCCTGCTGGCCATTCCCTGGTGAGCATGGCCGCCCTCAGACCCCAGGGCCTGGGCCCCAGGTGGGAGGAGAGCAGGAATAGGGAGCAGGGCCCAGCCAGGGAGGAGAAGAGGCTGTGCCAATGGCTGCCCCGGGCTCCAGGAGCAGCATTGCAGCGGTTGGGCTTCTAAACATCACTCGAGCCCCACCCCCAGTCCTTCCCCTCAAAGTGTGGGGCTGGAGGCCTCTGGAGGAATTGGATCCTGCTCTGCGCAGGCCCGGGAGGGTGCCTGTTGGATGGGGCAGGCGGTGGAAACCCCCTCCCTTTGCCCACCACCCAAGCCAGAGCCCTGTGCTGAGTGCCCCTCTGGCAGGGACAGGTGGGGGGTGCAGGCCACTGATCCCTGTCTGTGCCATCCCCAGCTACCAGCTGCGAATCGAGTGCATGCTGCTGTGTGAGGGCGCGGCCGCCGTGCTGGACATGGTGCGGCCCAAGGCCCAGCTGGTGCTGGCTGCCTGCGAAAGTGAGTGGGGCCAAGCGGGGCACGTGTGCAGGAGGGACAGGCCTCCGAACCGGGGCGGGAGGGCTGCTCGGGGCCCCTGCTACTGCCAGTATCATAATGGCTGCTAAGAGCACCTAAGGGTGCCAGCCTTCACCACCACTCCGGAAACCACCCTGCTGCCACCACCTCGGTGCACACACCTACTGGACGCACAGACACACGCATGCCCACCGCCACTCGGGCACGTGCACACACACAAGCACACTGCCACTCTCCGGCACGCGCACACACAAGCACACCGCCACTCAGGCACGTGCACACACGCATGCACACCGCCACTCGGGCACGTGCACACACACAAGCCCACAAGCACAGTCACACACATGCACACAGGACACACAGACACACGTACACACCCCCCCAACACACACACCCTCACATACATGTACAGACATAAGTGCACACACACGGGCACCATCTCTGAAAGGGGAATCCATGGGGACCTGCCACAGCCACTGGGCAGGGAGAGGGACAGGTACGGACCAGTGAGGCACAGCTCACGTCTGTCAGGCACACTGTAGGTGTCCACTCCCGTCGGTGGAGGGTTTGCAGCCCCCAGGCCCTGTCCTGTGATCCTTCCGGTGCTGGGCTGAGCCTGGGGAGGAGCCAGGGAGTGCAGGGGCACTGGCAAGCAGGACCACACCCCACCGCCAGGGCATCTGGGGGCTCCGAACCAAGAGCCCCTCTCCAGCCCTGGCTGCCCCTGCAGGCCTGCTCACCAGCCGCCAGCTGCCCATCTTCTGCCAGCTGATCCTGAGAATTGGGAACTTCCTCAACTACGTAAGTCAGGGGCAGCTCCCCATCCCACCTGGTGCCAGGGGCTGGTGAGACTCACTCCCTGCCCCTCCCAGGGCAGCCACACCGGTGACGCCGACGGCTTCAAGATCAGCACATTGCTGAAGCTCACGGAGACCAAGTCCCAGCAGAACCGCGTGACGCTGCTGCACCACGTGCTGGAGGTGGGCCGTGGTGGCGGGGGCATAATGGGAGGGCTTCAAGTCCCCCCGGACCTGGGGTGTAGAGGCGTAGAGGCCATACCCCCATGCCCACCACTCAGGCCGCCGGTCTCCCTGTCTCAGGGCTCCGTCTAGAGCCAGCAGCCTCAGTCAGAGCCACGCCCCCACCCCTCCCAGCACCCCTTCCTTCCTGCAGCACTGGCTCCCCTGCACGAGCCTTGTCCCTCCCCAGGATACCTGTCCCTGATCTGGGGGACAGTCCCTAGGAAAAGCAGAAACATCACAAAGTCATAGCCAGGCCCAAGGGAAAGATTTGAGGGTCTGGAGTACTGGGGGTTTTCTGGACCTTAATTGCTAAGGGTTAGAGCTGGGGGAGTGGGAACAGGGTCATCCCCAGGTGGAGAGTATGACCACAGTGGATCTCACTGGACGTGTCCCATTGCAGGAAGCGGAAAAGAGCCACCCCGACCTCCTGCAGCTGCCCCGGGACCTGGAACAGCCCTCGCAAGCAGCAGGGTAGGTAGCTCCTGCCAGCCCGCCCACCTCAGCCAGGTGGGGGCCTGACTTCTGTCCCCAGGCAGTGAGGTGGCTGCCCGCCAGGGCTGGGTCTCACAGCTGCAGCGCAGCCCCGGCGCCACGGAGCCCTGCCCAATAGAACACTTCCCTTTTGGGACAGGACCGGGTCTGCCGTGGCCTATCCCCTTCTGACTTAAGCGAGGAAACAGGCCTAGAGTGGGCAAGGGCTGGCCAGGTCAGGGTCACACCACGGGCAGGTCTAATACAGCCCCTTCACAAGGTGGACCTTCACGACAGCCGTGAGCAGGCTCGGGCCTCCCTCATTGTATAGATGAGGAAACGGAGGCCCAGGAAAGCAGTGTCACCTCCTGGGTCACACAACCCAGGCAGGAGGGCAGCCTGGGCCACCCCACTACACAGTCCGGGCCCCTAGCACGGAGTTCTTCCCGGGCTCCACCTGCCCTGGAAGGTTCTCTGGCTCAGGAGCTGCTCAGCCTTGGGGAGAACTAGGCAAGCAGGACAGGCTGACCGTTAGGGTCCCCGCCCAGATGCTCACAGGGGGCTGAGGGTCAGCTGGAACAGGCACTCAACCCCAACACTGCACGTGCAGCCTCAGAGTACAGCCTGCAGGGTGCACAGTGGGGTGCCGGGGGGTGCAGGGGAGGGGCTCCCCTGTCCCAGCGAGGCTGACGTCAGCCGTTGCTGTCTCTGCCCGGCCCTCCTCACCTTTCAGGATCAACCTGGAGATCATCCGCTCAGAGGCCAGCTCCAACCTGAAGAAGCTTCTGGAGACCGAGCGGAAGGTGTCTGCCTCCGTGGCCGAGGTCCAGGAGCAGTACACCGAGCGCCTCCAGGCAAGTGGGCACCTGGGCCTGGGGCTGGCGGGAGAGGCTGCCCTGATAGAGTGAGCTGGGCGAGTGGCTGTGCTGTCTCCTGGCTCCAGGGTGGATCCTGGGGCCCGAGTTTCCCCAGGTGTGCATGGTCAGGGCACAGGCCCCTGCTCCTTGTCAGAGACCACCGTCCTCAGGGCCTGTCCCTGTGGCCGTCACCCTCCCGCAACTCAGGGCCTCACCCCGGGTGGTGCCCGCGCGGGGCTCTCACGGGACTGTCACGTGCCCTTGCCCCCAGGCCAGCATCTCGGCCTTCCGGGCACTGGATGAGCTGTTTGAGGCCATCGAGCAGAAGCAACGGGAGCTGGCCGACTACCTGTGTGAGGACGCCCAGCAGCTGTCCCTGGAGGACACGTTCAGCACCATGAAGGCTTTCCGGGACCTTTTCCTCCGCGCCCTGAAGGTGGGGCAGCCCGGCGGGACACAGCCTGTCTGGCTAGAGTGGGGTCCCGAGGCCCCTGGCCTTCCTCCGGCAGGATGGGCAGAGGCACCTTTCGTCGGGCCGACACAGCCATGTGGGCCCTGCGCTGCTGCGGCTCAGGGAGGGGGACGCCCAGGCCCATGGAGCCCCTGAGGGATGCCACGCTGGGGTGACGGGGCCACATCTGCCAGTGCAGGAGAACAAGGACCGGAAGGAGCAGGCGGCGAAGGCAGAGAGGAGGAAGCAGCAGCTGGCGGAGGAGGAGGCGCGGCGGCCTCGGGGAGAGGACGGGAAGCCTGGTGAGGCTGGGCCGGCTGGGCGGGGAGGGGGTGACTCTGGGATCCTTGTCTGTGCTCCAGCCTCCCCACCACCCCCAGCCCTCTAGGTGGGCTCCAGGGTCCCATGCCGCTCTCTGAGTGCCCCACGCTCCTCAGTCAGGAAGGGGCCCGGGAAGCAGGAGGAGGTGTGTGTCATCGATGCCCTGCTGGCTGACATCAGGAAGGGCTTCCAGCTGCGGAAGACAGCCCGGGGCCGCGGGGACACCGACGGGGGCAGCAAGGCAGCCTCCATGGATCCCCCAAGAGCCACAGAGCCTGGTAAGACCCTCTCCCACTGCCTCCTCATGGTCCCCTTGCCACTGTCCCTACCCTGTGCCTCCAGGAAGTCCTCCTGACTTCACTGGAAAGCCCTCTCCTCTCCCTGGGCCACCCTGGAGGCCCCTAAGACTGGGGACAGCCGAGGGGACAGGTGGTGGCCGCTCAGCCCTCATCCCTCCCTCCACTCACTCCAGCTCCTCCACTGTAACCGCAGGCCCTGCCCTCAGTGCTGAAGCAGCAGTCCAGCCCGCTGGGCTCCAGAGAGATGAGGCCAGGCCCACTGACCGATGCCCTTGGGCTCAGAGGGTGCTAGAGGTGGCAGGAAAGGCAGGCGGCAAGGCCCTGGTGGGAGGACCCCATTCCTGGGGTGGCTGCCTCAGGGTGCTGGGAATGGCATGGCCCAGTGTCCCCCACCCTGCCACAGTGTAGACAGACCAAGGACGCTGAGGCCGGGTCCTGCTCTGAGACATCAGAGGAGGCTTTCTGGGGAGGAGGTTTTGCAGGGCGTTCAGGTAGACAGCGGAATGGAGGAGGCTGCACCTGGGCTGGCTCGGGGGCAGGGTGCCTGCCCTTCACTGGTGTGTCCCTCCATCCAGTGGCCACCAGTAACCCTGCAGGAGATCCCGTGGGCAGCACGCGCTGTCCCGCCTCTGAGCCCGGCCTTGATGCTACAACAGCCAGCGAGTCCCGGGGCTGGGACCTTGTAGACGCCGTGACCCCCGGCCCTCAGCCCACCCTGGAGCAGTTGGAGGAGGGTGGTCCACGGCCCCTGGAGAGGCGTTCTTCCTGGTATGTGGATGCCAGCGATGTCCTAACCACTGAGGATCCCCAGTGCCCCCAGCCCTTGGAGGGGGCCTGGCCGGTGACTCTGGGAGATGCTCAGGCCCTGAAGCCCCTCAAGTTCTCCAGCAACCAGCCCCCTGCAGCCGGAAGTTCAAGGCAAGATGCCAAGGATCCCACGTCCTTGCTGGGCGTCCTCCAGGCCGAGGCCGACAGCACAAGTGAGGGGCTGGAGGACGCTGTCCACAGCCGTGGTGCCAGACCCCCTGCAGCAGGCCCAGGTGGGGATGAGGACGAGGACGAGGAGGACACGGCCCCAGAGTCCGCACTGGACACATCCCTGGACAAGTCCTTCTCCGAGGATGCGGTGACCGACTCCTCGGGGTCGGGCACACTCCCCAGGGCCCGGGGCCGGGCCTCAAAGGGGACCGGGAAGCGAAGGAAGAAGCGTCCCTCCAGGAGCCAGGAAGGTAACTCAGGGAGGGGCCCCGGGCACCGTCCCACGCCAGGGCGCTGGCACCCAGCCGGTCCCTCCCCTTCCCCATTGGGCACTGCAAGTTCCAGCGGCACCCAGGAGAGGTGACTTGGGTGCGGCACGGGAGAGGAGGCGGCAGTGCGTCCACCGCAGGGCGGCTATGTGGGCTGCCGCGGCCCGTGCAACTATTCCTCCAACCTACTAATTCCGACCTTCACGCCACCTCCGTTAGGGAGTAGGGGGCGGACACCGGGCACCAGGTCCCAGGCAAGTGGCTGCCATGTGGCTTAGTGGCCAGAGAACCGGGCAGCCCTCAGAGGGTGTTGGCATGGCTGTCCCGGGCCCCCCAGCCCCACCCACTCCGAGTCAGGGTTGCTTCTGTGTGATAAGCCGTTGAGTGCGTTTCTTTTATTTGGAAGCAGAGGTTCCCCCTGATTCTGATGATAATAAAACAAAGAAACTGTGTGTGATCCAGTAAGGTATGTACGCAGCCGGCGCTCCGTGGGGGCTAACAGCAGCTGCAGGGCAGTGGGGCTGGAGCTTGCTGCCCACACCCCTCCGGGACACTAACCTGGCTTCTCTCCAGCCCGCGTGGTGCGTCAGTGTGGCCTTGCCGCTCCCGCAGCCCTGGTGGTGGGCTTCCCGCCCCATCCCCTCCCTCTCCGCAGGTTACCTGCTCAACTGGTGCCTCCTGCAGGCAGGACGCAACCTCAGTGCTGGCCCCGGGCATGCGGGCCTCGAGAGGGCAGGTGGCAGGGCCAGCCGGACTCCCTTAGCAAGCAGGATCCGGGCCCTGGGGCGTGGGCGGGACCTCCTGGCTGGCAGGACAGGCTGAGGTTGCTCCTGTCTGGTGTCCTGGCGCTAACTGCAGTTCCAGTAACCCTGTGGCTTTCCTGCTCTGTCTGTTGGTGGAGGGCTATCTTCACTCTAAGTGTGTCAATGGCGTGGGGCCTTCTGGGGCATGTCCCCAGGAAGTCTGTGAGGAGACCGGGACAGTCGCAAGGGCAGATGCTGCCAGGGACAAGTACACTGCAACCCCCCTCCTGTTGGACAGTGTCCTCCCACCCCGAGGCCATGGGTGGGTCTATGGAGAAGCAGATTACCCCCCGCACACCGAGTCTTCTGGGGGGCGACCAGCCAAAGGTCAATCAGCCAGGTCCGTCCACAGGGCTGGAGAGGCCAATGCATCCAGCTAGACAGGACCAGCCTGCACTGGGTGGAGGAGGGGCTAGAGCAGAGAACCAGAAGGTCCAGCCCGGCCGATCATGAGCTCTGTGAGCCCAGGTCGTGGCGTCTTCCAGCACCTCCAGCCTTGCTCAGAGCCAGCCCGGTGTCGGTGCATCACAAATATGCTGACCGCTGGGCCTGGGGCTTAGGCTCAAGGTGCACACCTGAGGTCTGCTGGTGCCCATCAGAGGCAAGAGCAGTCGTGACCCCGGAGAAGCTTCTCCGGACAGCTTGTCCTCGCTGTTGGGGCACGGCCTTCACCCTGGGTTCCAGCTTTTGCTTCCAGGGTCATCTTCCGAGTGTGGCTCTCTGGTGTGAAGCACCCACGTGTACTTTTTAGAAAGGTGCTGGCATCTCCCTTAGAGGCTGGAACTTGGACTTGCTGGCCCTGAGTGTGAGGAACAGTGGAGCATGCAGGTCTGGGGCGGGCGGCCACATCTGACAATGGTCCAGTGAAAGATGGACGTGTCCAGTGCCAGCTCCACGCTCCACCTGGTTCCCTCCTGAACCTGCTACACGTGCTTAGCCTCCACCCGCCCCAGCTCCTGCCACGCACGTGGCTGAGGGCAAGAGGAAGAAGTCCTCTTCTCTCCCCAACTTTTTATTTTTTATTTTTTTTCAAGACGGAGTCTCACTCTGTTGCCCAGGCTGGAGTGCAGTGGTGCGATCTGAGCTCACAGCAACCTCCACCTTCCAGGTTCAAGTGATTCTCCTGCCTCAGCCTCCCGAGTAGCTGGGACCACAGGCACACGCCACCACGCGCGGCTAATTTTTTGTATTTTTAGCAGAGACAGGGTTTCACCATGTTGGTCAGGCTGGTCTCGAACTCCTGACCTCAGGTGATCCACCCGCCTCGGCCTCCCAAAGTGCTGGGATTACAGGCGTGAGCCACCGTGCCCAGCCCCCACCTTTTTATTTAGAAAATCTTCAACACCACAGGAAACTGCATAGATCAGAATGAACAACACCTTCTCCCCGAAATTACAACCATTTGCCAAAAATACCAAAATTGTGACCATTTTGCTACATTGCCCCCCTCCAACTGAGGCATCTGAGAGTTTCTTATAAACATCATGGCACTGGAGCCCTAAACTCGCCCACAGACACCTGAGAGCACAGCCGTCTTCCTCAGTCCCCCCCGGGCAGGGTGCGCTGCCGTCCTCCCAGTCCGCCCCCACCGGGCAGGGTGCGCTGCCGTCCTCCCAGTCCCCCCCCCGGGCAGGGCGCGCTGCCGTCCTCCTAGTCCGCCCCCCCGGGCAGGGTGCGCTGCCGTCCTCCCAGTCCCCCCCGGGCAGGGTCCGCTGTGGGGCGCTTCACGTCCACATGCTTCTAATACTCGGTCCCAGTGCAGATGTGCCACTTGCCCCAATAATTCCTTCTCTAGTTGTTGCTTTGTTGTTTTTGCAAACAAGATTGTATCCAGAGTCACATGCTGTGTTTGGTTATCATATCACTTCAGTCTCTTTTGTTCTAGAACATTCCTGCCCCTTTTTGTCTTGTATGACATTGACGTTCTGGAAGATAACTTCACTTTGGGTTTGCCTGATTGCGCCCCCAAGTAGGTCCAGGTTGAGTTTTGGGGCAGGAGTTCTACCCCAAGGGATGCCATGTCCTCCCCAGCTGGGTGGGGACGTTTGTGGCAGCAGCGCTGACCACGGCTGCGGGGGTGGTTTCTGAACCTCCACTGCACGAACACCACGCTGTCTGGTTAATAAGCACCGGTGGTGACCTGTGGAACCAACCGCTGCAGCGCGGTTCTGTGTTCGCCGCCCCTCGTCCGAGCGTTCCCCCCTCCCCTCCCTTTTTCCATCACGTGAGTTTTGAACGTGCAGTAATCCTTCACTGCCACTGCCGTGCATTTGATGGGGACCAGCGGGGGCCCTGAGCGCTTCCCATCTTTGGCACAAGCCCCTGTTCCTAGCTCACCCCAGACTTGCTGATCCCCCCATCCCTGCACGGGCCTTGGTCTTGGCCATTTCTCCAGGTTCCCTGAGTGGGGAATGGTGCTGAGACCCTCCTTTGAGTGATTGTTTTGGATAGTTTTTGTTTTCTTGCTGTCTGTTTAGAGTAGTGGTTCTCAAACCCTGCTTGGGCCATCCCACTGGGGAGCTGGGACACCACCTGGCACTGTGGTGGCAGTGGGGGTGACACTCAGACAAGGGCCATCGAGGGCCCCTGGACCAGAAAGCGAAGAGGGCGTTGGGGGCAGGAGGCCTGTGGGGCCATGTGTGGGGGCCGTCTGGGTGGCGGGAGCTGTTGGGGCAGGGCTGAGCGCCCTCAGCAGCCCACTGGAGAAAGCGCTGCTGGGGTCCTCGTGTGGGGCCCAGGGCCCGACGTGGAAGCAATGGAGGGCTGCAGGGGGTGGCAGTGGGGATGAATGAGTAAGGACAGAGTGCAGCCTGGGTCTCAGACAGGGGGTGGGGGACAGGCCACAGAGATTCCCTATCTCAGCAGAGAGGAGACAGGCTCAGGCTGCCACGCCTTGCCAAAACCCAGCCTGGCCAGGCCAGCCCGGCACCTTCCACCTAGATAAGTTGTGCTGCTCCAGAGAAAGAGCCTGGGGTCAGAGTGGACCTGCGATGCATGGCACAACCTGCTGGACAGTGGCGATGAGGGGTTCAGGGACCTGGGCACCCAGAAGCGGGCACCTGATATTGTACCCAGCAAAACTGCTCCTAATAATGTCATTTTTTCTCTCTCTTACAGGCCTCAGGCCCAGGCCCAAGGCCAAGTGAGAGAGCCCAGGCCACAGGACATGCTGCCATTCTGCCAAGAGAGGCTCTTCTGGGGGCCAGGCTGGGACTGGGCCCCGGAAACCAAAACTCCGTGCCTTACCCAGCCGGGGCCCTCCTGGAGCCTTCTTGGGGTGTTGTGGCTGGGAACCCGACAGGCACCAGTGCCCTGCCAGGCCTGGTGCCCTCCTGGACCGCCTGCACGTGCCAGCCTCCCACCTGCTTCCTAAAGGCAACCCTGGCCCACACCCGCATGCGCCCGGTGCAGCCTGCCAAGGGCCAGTCGGGGGGTGCTGCGTCCTGCCAGTGTCCACCACAGCTCTGCCTGCCCTTCAGCCCAGCAAGGTTTAATCAAAATGCAATGCTTTGCAAGTCTTTACTGCTTGGAGGTGGCTGAGTTGGGGGCCCTGGGCAGGGGTAAGCTGGCAGGCAGTGCCATGGCAGGCCAGGGTCCCCTCCCATGGGGTCTGGCCCCCGTTCCAGCATGTCCAGCCCCTGAAGTTGGAGTGGGGGGCGGTCTGCCTTTGCTGCCACTGCCAGGCCTCTGCCCTGCAGCTGAAACTTGGCCATCACATCAACAGAAAACCCCTCCCAGTGCCAGCTGCCCAGCGTGGGCAGGCCCTGGGGACAATACAGGTCCACCTGAGGGGCTGCAGGGTGACACCCAGCAGCCGCTGCCCCCTCACTGCCCACCCAGCGAGGGCAGCCTACCCGAGCCTGCCCCCTGCCAGGTGTGTGCCCTGAGGCTGGCGGCTGGATGCGTGGCCAATAAAAAGCAGACCTAGCCCGGTGTGCGACTGTCGTGTTCAGAGGCTGCGGGAGTGGGCGGTGGACGTGGGCTCCCACAAACATGGTGAGCGCTGGACAGGCCCCGTGTGAACACTCACTGTTGAGGGGCCCCCAGGCCCCGTGTGAACACTCACTGTTGAGGGGTCCCTGGGCCCCCAGGCACCGTGTGAGCATTCACTGTTGAGGGTCCCCCAGTCCCCCAGGCCAGGGGCTGTCCCTGGAGCCCTCAGGAGGCAGTAAGAAACATCTAGAAGAGGGCAGACCCAGTGGTGAACCGCATCCAACAGTGGTGAGATGGGTGCAGCTCTACAGGGGCGTAATTTACAAACCACCAGACTCCCTGGTTATGTGTGTGCTGCGGTGGTGTTTGCTCTCCAGCAGATCAAGTTTGTGCAATGATCCATTTTGAGAATCTCTCCGTCACCCCAAGAAGTCCTCTCGCACCCATCAGTCCGACCCCTTCCCCGTGCTCCTCCCCAGCCCTGGCAGCCACTCACCTGCACTCCAGACGCTCCAGATGTCATGCATGTCTCCTGGCTTCCTTCGGCTGTTTTCACGCGCCATCCTCACGGCAGGCTGTATCAGGACTTCATTCCATTTCATGGCTGAAGCACATTCCATTGCATGCAGGGACCACATTTTGTTTGTCTGCTCTTCTGTCCATGGACATCTGGGTTGCTTCCAGTTTGGGGCTTCTGTGAATCCTGCTGCTGTGGACATTTGCGTAGTCCTCGTGTGGATGCTGCTGTGGACGTCTGCGTCGTCCTCGTGTGGATGCTGCTGTGGACGTCTGCGTCGTCCTCGTGTGGATGCTGCTGTGGACGTCTGCGTAGTCTCGTGTGGATGCTGCTGTGGACGTCTGCGTCGTCCTCGTGTGGATGCTGCTGTGGACATCTGCGTAGTCTCGTGTGGATGCTGCTGTGAACGTCTGCGTAGTCTCGTGTGGATGCTGCTGTGGACGTCTGCGTAGTCTCGTGTGGATGCTGCTGTGCACGTCTGCGTCGTCCTCGTGTGGATGCTGCTGTGGACGTCTGCGTCGTCCTCGTGTGGATGCTGCTGTGGACGTCTGCGTCGTCCTCGTGTGGATGCTGCTGTGGACGTCTGCGTCGTCTCGTGTGGATGCTGCTGTGGACGTCTGCGTCGTCTCGTGTGGATGCTGCTGTGGACGTCTGCGTCGTCTCGTGTGGATGCTGCTGTGGACGTCTGCGTCGTCCTCGTGTGGATGCTGCTGTGGACGTCTGCGTCGTCTCGTGTGGATGCTGCTGTGGACGTCTGCGTCGTCCTCGTGTGGATGCTGCTGTGGACGTCTGCGTCGTCCTCGTGTGGATGCTGCTGTGGACGTCTGCGTCGTCCTCGTGTGGATGCTGCTGTGGACGTCTGCGTCGTCCTCCTGTGGATGCTGCTGTGGACGTCTGCGTCGTCCTCGTGTGGATGCTGCTGTGGACGTCTGCGTAGTCTCGTGTGGATGCTGCTGTGGACGTCTGCGTAGTCTCGTGTGGATGCTGCTGTGGACGTCTGCGTCGTCCTCGATGCTGCTGTGGACGTCTGCGTCGTCCTCGTGTGGATGCTGCTATGGACGTCTGCGTAGTCTCGTGTGGATGCTGCTGTGGACGTCTGCGTCGTCCTCGTGTGGATGCTGCTGTGGACGTCTGCGTAGTCTCGTGTGGATGCTGCTGTGGACGTCTGCGTAGTCTCGTGTGGATGCTGCTGTGGACGTCTGCGTCGTCCTCGTGTGGATGCTGCTGTGGACGTCTGCGTAGTCTCGTGTGGATGCTGCTGTGGACGTCTGCGTCGTCCTCGTGTGGATGCTGCTGTGGACGTCTGTGTAGTCTCATGTGGATGCTGCGAGTTTTCGTTGCTCTGGGGTAGATTCGTAGCGGAGGAACAACTGGGCGACACGCTAAGTTTATGTTTAACTTTTTAAGTAACTGCCTAACTGTTTTCCAAAGCAGCTGCACCATTTTTCATTCCCATCCATGCTATTGTTTTTCAGTTAAATAGCTCCACTCCTCCCCCTCCCCACCCTCCACAGAACTGCCAGTAAAACTGGACTATGGAGTATTGGGTGGGGTCACCTACAAGGTCATCTGCAGCAAGTGAGACCATCGCCCCTCCTGCCTGGAGAGGTGGGACTGGGGACCCTGTGACAGGAGGAGCTGCCCTTCCTGGAGCCTGGTTTTTCTTTTTCCTCTGTGCTCCATGAGAAGTCAGTTTAGTGGGCTACAGCCAGCAAAGGAACCAAAACCAACAGGAGCTCTGGGGGTGCCTTGCATGGCGAGGCTCCGTGGCTGCACGCGTGTATGCAGGTGGCTGTGGGTGTCTGTGTGTCCTGGGCCACTGTGTGCGATGGTCCCACTGGGAGGTGTGGCCCCCAAAGAGTGGAACCCACAGGTGGACACACCCATGCACCCTCGTTCTTGCCCAAGGTCACACATCGAGACAGCAGGGCCCAGATGGATGGCCCCAAGCTCGGTGGCTCCCGTGCTGCCCACACCTGGGGACAGGCCCACTGTGGGGGGTAAGGGGTGGAGGTGTTCTAATTCGGGCTGAGCCGTGTGACTGGCAGGGGCCCCAGCTGTTGGGCCTGGGCAGGACTGTTTTTAGAAAAGCCCCAACTCCCTGCCCCTACCCGGGCCCGTGGCTATTTATAGTCCGGGCCTGGAGAAGTCAGTGAGTCACTAGCGTTCGCCTCTGCAGGGTCAGTCCAAGCCCCCTTAGTGAGGTGGTCTAGCATGTCCCCCAGTCCCCCAAGCCTCTATCTGACATCTGCTAGCCCAGAGCCCCAGGGGTCCCCAGGAAGGGCTCAGAGCTGGTGGCCCCCCCCAGGCCTTGGCAGCACCTCCTTGTCTGATGGGACTTTGTGGTTCCTGGTGGACATTTAACATTGTCGGTTTCTCTCATCTGGAAACAAACCTCCATGACGCTCTTGGTTTCTCCTGTTGCAGTCTGCCTCTTCCCTACCTGCACAGCTCTCTGCTGTGCCCCAAATTCCCTCCTTGACACCCCCAGACCCACTGCCCCACCCTCAGGTGCAGCCCCTTCTCAGCAGGCTCCAGGTTCTGCCAAATCTCAGAGCCCTCCAACCCTGCTCCAGCCCCTTCCCAAGCTGGGGCCGGTGGTCTGTTCACCCCCGACCAGCTGTCACCCCCAAGGTGGCACTAGGAAGTTCATGCATGAAGACTGCTTTTCCACTGAGGCCCCACTGACTGCTTGGAACCCATACAACGGCATTTTCCCCGCAAGGATGCTGAGGGAGAGGAAGTGTCGATGTGCCCAGTGGAAGAAGAGGGGACTGGGGACATGGGTGCAGGGGGCAGGAGGCCAGGCTTCAAACAGCCCCTCTCCCCCAGGCTGGGGCACGGTCAGGTGCCAAGAGAGGAGGGGTGGGGAGGCTGCAGGCAGGGGTGGGCAGTGGTGTCCTTGGCTGCACCTGAATCACTAACTCAGTGTGAGCGACCTTTGCTGTGACAGGCCCAAGCTCCACTCCTTCCTCACAGGGAGTGTCCCGTCTCCATGGACTCCCTGTCACTAGCCTTGGAGTTGCCCTGAGCCCAAGGGGCCTCGTGGCTCCAGGCTCTTTGGCAACTGAGAGCCGTCAGGGAGGGAACAAAGGACCCCGCCTCCCTGCTCTGAAGCAAGAACCTGATTCTCTTTTCCGCCCTTGGGGCCCCAGGACCCTTCTCTTGGCCACCAGGGCTGGCTTCCTCCAAGCCTCATCTACTTGGGAGGGGTGGGGCGGGATGGGTGAGACAGGACAACCAGCCGGGAACACGGGAGCCTCGCAGACCATCGCCTCCCTCTGGGGCCTAGTCCCTCCACAGGCTGGGCCGGGAAGGTCTGGTGTGGGACCTCTTGGGAACCTGGGCCCCACGGTGGCGTGCATCCCTGGGGGTTGCTCCCATGCCAGCCAGGTGACGCTGACAGGATGGGTCCCTTTACCCCAGACTTGGGTGCTGAGGGCCGGAGCTCCATGCTGGAGCCCGCCTGCTCGCTACAGCCAGGCCCGAGCCACAGCGCGCCCGGGCGGGACGCGGGGCCCCTGCCGTGGGGCAGAAGTGCGGGCAGTTGCGGGGACACAAAGTCCTCGGAGAGGACGCGCTGCGCGGCTCTTCGCGGCCGCCAGGGGGCGCGCCCGCGCCCAGGGCACTCGGGGTTCCACGGGGGGCAGGTGCGCTCCTCGAGAGTGCGGACCCTCTAGGTGGGGTGCAGGACGCAGCTCCCCTTTTGCAAACCGCACTCCTTCCCTGGAGGGAACGACCACCCCTGCAGTTGCTGGAACCCCGAAGTCCTGGGCCCGGCAAGGGCTTGGTGGGGGGTGAGGTCGCGGTGCACAAGCCCTGGTCCCCGACGGGCTAGCGAGAAACTGCCTCCGTTGGCAAATTCGTGGGGGCGGCTCCCCAGGCCATCTGCCTGCCTGGCCGTTGGTCCGTGCGGCCCCTCACCCCTAAAGTGCTCGAGACTCAACTGGGCTTCCCGGGCAGCGGCGAGGGGGCGGGGATGTGGCGGCCGGAGGTCACCGGGGCGTCACTGCGCCCGCCCTGGCCCTCCCCCGGCCCGCCCCCTGCCCCGCCCCCTGCCCCGGCCCGGCTCCATTTAATGGCGCGGACGCCGGCGGCGGCGGGCTCCTGGCCGGGCCAGCGCAGCGGAAGAGCCAAGCCAGCATGTCGGGGACCCGAGCCTCCAACGACCGGCCCCCCGGCGCAGGCGGCGTCAAGCGGGGGCGGCTGCAGCAGGAGGCGGCGGCGACCGGCTCCCGCGTGACGGTGGTGCTGGGCGCGCAGTGGGGGGACGAGGGCAAAGGCAAGGTGGTGGACCTGCTGGCCACGGACGCCGACATCATCAGCCGCTGCCAGGTGCGGGCTGGGGCGCCGGGTCCCTCCCCCACCGCCCAGCGAGCCCCCCTCCCCCGACCCAGACGGCCCCTGTCCTCCCATGCCCTGGCCGGTCACTCACCCGCTTGGATGCCTTCCTTCCGGGAGCACCTTTCCCAGGGCCACCCCACCCACGCACGCACACGCACCACTCACACAACCCCCGACCCACACACACCGCCCTCCTTCCACCCACCCCTACTCCACCACCCCGGCAGCGGGCCAGGGCACAGCTATAAATACAAGTCGCTGAGTTGGGGACACCCGATCCTTAGGGGGTGGCGCATGCCATGGGTGTGACGCTGGACCCTCCATGGGGGAACCAGAGGACCCAGCCCCAGGATGGTTTGAGGACCCCCAAGACACCCCCCTTCCTCATTTACAGTGATCACCTGGGGCCTGTCTGGGTCTGGGATAGGGCTTACCTGGCTCCCCGCAAGGTCTGCAGGTGGTGGAGGGGGTAAAAGCTGCCTGCTGGGTGGGGGTGACCCCGGTGAGTCAGCCAAGGAGAGGCAGAGGTGGAAGGGGGCCAGGCCGTCCTGGGGGGCAATTGGGGCCGCGCCTGAGGGAGGGTGCTTGGGACGATCCTAGCCAGACATGGGAGAGGGAGGGCCACAGACTTCTGGCCAGGGTGACCCCGTGGCTGGCAGTGCCACCGAGGAGGCCAGACCTGCTTTGTCCCCCAGGGCCCAGGGCTGGGCCTCTGCCAGCCGGCAGCTGCTCTCAGCGCCCCCATCTGTTCTGACTGAGCTGCACACTGGGCACTCTCTCGGGCCGCCACCCTGGGGCTACATGCCCCATGCCAGGGCAGCCAAGTCTGCTGCCCATGGGCTGACTTACAGCTCCAGGCACAAAGGGGTCAACTTTGGGATGCACGCGTCTGGGGTTTGGAGCCTGCCTGGGGCTGCTGCCAATAATGGAACAAGGGCCCCCGCACCGTCCCTTCTCCGGGTTCTGTGGCCTCCTTCCTGAGCTCCAGAGAGGAGGGCTGGGGCCCAAGACGAAGGGAGTCAGCCCAGCACCCTGTGTGGCTCAGGGCTGTCCGAGCCCCTCCTGCCGGAAGGGACTGTGGCTTCCTAGAAAGTTCTTCCTGGAACAGTGGGGGACCTCCCCCCTTGCTCTCCGTCCTAAGCAGCAGGCAAGCACATCCCTCGCTCCAGAGATCCCCCAGGTCCTAGAGGTGGTCCTCAGCCCATGCTCCCTCCACACTGCCTCTGCCCCGCCACCTTGTCCTGGGCCGCCAGGGGGCATGTCCAGCGCTCTACTGCTCTTCACCCTCCAGGGCGCCCTCAGCGTGGGGCAGCCCCGGCCCCTGACCCTCCTTAGACCTCTCTGCTCCCGTGAGGCCCAGGCCCCTCCCTATGAGCTGCCAGCTCTGGTGGGCGCCATGCACTTCTGCAGGGCGGGCTGGGGCCCCCACAGGTGCTGTACACAGCATTCACCTGGCTCCGCGCTCCCAGCTGTGGAGATGGTTCTGGATCTGGGCACTCCCTGCTGTGCCCCCCACCCAGTCCCCCCACAGCCCCGCTCACTCGCAGCTGCACACGGGAGCACGGAGGATGCAGCAGGCTGGAGCCCATCCCGCACTCCGGCCACCAGGCTGCCCCCGCCAGGCCACCCCCACCAGGCCACCCTATAGCCTGAGGGAGCCCCTGGCTCTCCAAGTGAGTGGGAATAAAAGAGGTTTGTCCCTGGAGCCCACACCTGTCCCCCTGCAGCCTCCTCACGAGCCAGTGAGGCAGGATCATCCTGAAGAGCTCCTTCACAGGGGAACAGAGGCTCAGGCGTGGAGGAATGAGTCACTGCCACATTTGGAGCCCTCACTGGTGCCACGTGCCCACCATGATAGCCCAGGGCCTGGCCCTTTGTCCCCACCTGCGAGTGCGGGGACCGAGCTGGATCTCAGCGGGGCGCCGCTCTGCAAGGGAAGGTCAGGGACTGGTCTTCTTTGGGGCCCCAGCCCCAGGCTCTCTGCAAGTGCTCAGTGACCCCTACCTCACAGTGCCCATCTCTCCTCCTAGCGGTGGGGGTTCTCCCCTACCACCGGGCTCCCAGCACCTCCCCTGTTCTTGTGCACACCATGTCTGACCACCCCATGTCGTCAGAGGCTGGCAGAGGGTCTGGCTGGATCTCCCCAGGGAAGACTGCGTCTTTCTTACTTGGAGTGTGGATGCCTGAAGCCAGATGAAGGTACCCGACATGGGGGTCTCCAGGCGCACAGAGGCCAAACCTCACCCTCTCACTCAAGGGGCTGAGCAGAGGACAGAGCGAGGGCCGAGTGGTCCAGGTGGTCAAAGTGCACGCCGTGGGCAGAGCGGGCTGGGCCGCATCTGGGAGGCAGGCTGGCTGCCAGGAGGGCTGAAGCTGCCAGCCCTGGCAACAAGCCTGTTCTGCTCCCCAGTCCCCAAAGGGTCACCTGGGCCTGGGGCCACCCTGGGTTTTGGCTATGCTCCTTCCCTGGCTGCCCAAGCCTCTGGACACCCAGGCTCTGGCTCTGCCTGCTGCTGACGCCTGCACCAGCAGAGCCATCACTTCGAGCCCAGCTCTCAAGCCCCCTGGTGGCCCCTGGCACTTGGCAAGAGTTGCTGCTTTGCTCACCCTGGACATGGACTTTCCACTCTGCCCAGAGGTGATCTGGGGCTGCCCAAAGCCCCGCACGGCTCGCCTCATTCTTTTCCCATCCCGGTGGTTTGGGGCCTGTGGTCAGAGTGCATCTGGGGGCCCCTGAGAGTGTCGTCACCTCCCACAGCCTCCCGCCTTGGGTCCACCTTTAGGACCTGTTTCCTGGGCGGCCTCCCTTCTCCAGGCTGAGCCTACATTTTGCATCCCCCACCTTCTGACCACACCCCCACCTCACACCTCGGCTGTCTTTCCTCCATTCCAGGGCGGCTCTGGGTCTGTTCGGCTGCACTATGCCCCCTGGCCCCACTATGCCATCTTCCTCCTTGCCTGCTCCCCTGGCTGCTTCCAAGCCTCTCTCCCCTCCAGGCTGAGTCTCCTCTGAGCCAGGTCTGCCCTCCCTGCTCTGCGGCCACATCACATCGTCTGCCTGTCTGTGCTGGGGTCCTGTGTTCCCTCTCTTCTCTCTGGGCACGGACACCCCATCCTACTTCCGAGGGGGTCCCCAGGTACCTCCGCCTGTGCTTCCTCCCTTGCGTCCATGGCGTTTCCTTCCCCTGCGTGCTGTCCAGCTCCTACCCCTCAAATGGGCAGCTGAAGGCAGGTGCACCTGGGTCTCCCCTGCCCCCTGTTCCCAGGCTGGCAGTGCCCGGCCTTCACCCCCTAGTTCCTCCTTCCATCTCCAAGATACTTCCTCTGGATAACTGGGCTCCCTGCCGAGGACCACAGGGCTCCAGCGCGCCCTGGTCAGGGTTTAGAATCCCCGTCCTTCTGCTGCAGTGCTGACCTCAGGGCACTGGGCTGTTTATGTCTGGCCATGCCCAGTACACGGGCTGAAGGGGCCTGCCCTGGGTCTCCATAGCGCACTCCCAGCCTCCCGTGCCCTCCAGGTCTAGCTAGAGCCAGTGTCCAGCCAGCAGACGGGTGGAAAGCTATGGCCATGTATGCAGGGGTGTGAGATCACAGGGTGTTTCTCTGTGGTGTGGCAGCGCCAGGTGGGAGCTGGCATCCTGTGCATTGAGGGCCCCTGTGCTGTGGCTGTTGGGGCTCTGGGCACCCTTTCCAAGGGGCCATCAGGTAACGCTTTGCCTTAGGCTCCAGGGTGCACCAGAGACCTTCTGGGAGTCAGAGGGGCAGCTGCCTTGGCCAGGGAATGCCTGGGGTTGCTTCCAGAAAGAGGTCTTCCCCCTACCCCACCTCTGCACTGTTGATGGTGCTGGTTACTGGGCCGTGGCTCCAGGACAGAGGGTCCCTGCAGTTACACACAGCCCTGCCTCATTGCAGGAACACCAGTCCCGGGCAGCTGAGACCTGCACACCTGTAGCAGTGACCTCGGTTCTGTCCCAGACCTCACCCCACTACCAAAAGGGGCAGAGAACAATTCCTTTGGGTTGAAGGAATGAATGAATGGTGGGAGCCTGCAAGCAGAGCCCAGAAGGGAGTGAAGCAGTGTAAGTGGGTGAACCCACTGCACCACACTGGTAGTCACAGGTGTGTGCACACTGGGCGCCAGGGCCCCTTGCTCTGTGCCGGGCACAGTCGTCGTACAAACTGCCATTGAGTGCCAGTGCCAAGAGGTTGGGCCCAGGAGCCTCACGGCCTCTGAAAAGCACCGCCGGCCTCCCCCTGCGCTTGCCACTCTGCTGCCTTCACTGCCTGGCGTGAGCTCGCTGACAGCCAGGCCCTGGGCCAGGGCTGGGGATGGACACAGAGGCAGGAGAGCTGGTCGCTCCCATTCCAGGGGGAGAGGTGCAAACAGCCACTCCACTGTCCCCTCCTCCCCAAGCCTGCATGAGAGCTGAACCAGGAGGTGGTATAGCATGGGCCTGGCACAGCTAGGGCCGAGGGGGAAGCGGGCAGAGTGCAGTGGCGTTGAGGCACGGCGCCGTCAGACATGCAGTCCGCTAACGCTGTGGGGAGGAGAAGGCTCTGGAGCATGGGAGGTAGCGAGCCTCGTCCAGGTGTTGCTGCAGGTAGGGCTGACGATGGGGGCTGCATTGCAGGGGAGAAAGGGGCCTCCTTGGGAACCCTGGGCCAAGCAGACGCTGTGGCCAGAGGAGTCATCCATGGCAGTAAAGGGCCTATGGACTGCAGGGCAGAGAAGGGCAGTGGCAAGTGGGCCGGGAGTGGAGGGGGCCCTGGCAGGTCAAAGGAGGTCAATGGACAGCCCCCAAGCCAGGCAGATGGCAGGTGGCATCCCAAGGATTTAGGGACGGGGTGGACAGGAGCAGGACGATGGCTGCAGGGCAAGGCTGGGACCCGCACGGGTGACAAGCTCAGTGCAGGGGCAGGGCATGCGCCATCTGGGCAGTGTGGAGGTGAGGAGCAAGGACAAAGCCTGTGTGTGGAGACGCCTTGCACGTGTCAGCAGCATGGCGTCGGCGTGGGAGGGAGGAGGTAGCGTCGGCGTGGGGGAGGAGCGTGGCGTCGGCGTCGTGGGGAGGAGCGTGGCGTCGGCGTGGTGGGGAGGAGCGTGGCGTCGGCGTGGTGGGGAGGAGCGTGGCGTCGGCGTCGTGGGGAGGAGCGTGGCGTCGGCGTCGTGGGGAGGAGCGTGGCGTCGGCGTCGTGGGGAGGAGCGTGGCGTCGGCGTCGTGGGGAGGAGCGTGGCGTCGGCGTCGGGAGGAGCGTGGCGTCGGCGTCGTGGGGAGGAGCGTGGCGTCGGCGTCGTGGGGAGGAGCGTGGCGTCGGCGTCGTGGGGAGGAGCGTGGCGTCGGCGTCGTGGGGAGGAGCGTGGCGTCGGCGTCGTGGGGAGGAGCGTGGCGTCGGCGTCGTGGGGAGGAGCGTGGCGTCGGCATGGTGGGGAGGAGCTGTGGGGTGGCAACCCAGAGGCAAGGAGGTGGGCAGAGGCCCACGAACCTGGCCCTGACCCTCAGCTCGTCCCCAGCTCACAGCACAGCCCTCCCCTGGCTGCCTCCAAGGAGTCTCCAGTTACTGAGTGGCCACTCCGTGCCAGCTCAGCCCACCCCTCACCTTCCCAGTGCCTGTGGAGGCCCAACTAGGGTGACGCTGGGAGAGGAGAGGGCTTGGAGGAGCCACGGGTCAAATGCAGGAGGCCACACCTGCCTGCCCAGGAGGACTGCAGGAGCCGGATCCTTAACACCTGGAGGGGAGCGGGTGGGTGCGGTGGCGTACATCTGTAACTCCAGCACTTTGGGAGGCCGAGGCGAGCGGATCACTTAGGGTCAGGAGTTCAAGACCAGCCTGGCCAAGTGAAACCCGGTTTCTACTAAAAATACAAAAATTATCTGGGCATGCTGGTGGGCGCCTGTAGTCCCAGCTACTGGGGAGGGTGAGGTGGTAGAATAGCTTGAACTCAGGAGGCAGAGGTTGCAGTGAGCCAGGATCACACCATTGCACTCCAACCTGGGCGACAGAGTGAGACCCTGTCTCAAAAAAAAATTCCATTGTTTAAAGCTGTCCAGGCTGTGTATTTTGTTTTGGCAGCCCTGGAGACTATAGATAGATAGATGATATGGAGAGAGGTGTAGAGAGATATTTACTTATAAATATATGTACATATATAAAATGCCTGGAGGGACCAGCAATGGTGGGAGGACTGGGGAGTGGCCCCGAGAGGTGCTGCGGGTGTGAGGGTGCGCACAGCCTCCTGGAGGGGAGGGGCCTGAGTGGGGCAGTGGAGATAGGGCTGGCCACAGGGCCGTGCCTTCCCTGGCCCCCAGAGGGGTGAGTTGGGTGGACCCGCAGGGACAAAGCAGGGGTCAGAGCTGTGTTTGGTTCCTGAGTGGGCCTTGTCCAGGATGGAGAGAGCCTCTTTTCCTAAACTCCCTGCCACCAGGGAGGCAGCTGGCACGGATGTCCCCTAGGGACTGTGAGTGACAAGCCAGACTAGGCAGAGAGTGGGGGGGGGGGGGGGGCTCAGTGTCCGTGGGGGCTCAGAGCTGTGTCCTGACCCAAGCCTGCACCACAGAGGGGAAGACCCCAAGAGAAACCTGGAGGCAGGTAGAGAGCGCCAGGGGGCCACCAGGCTCCCTTGGTGCCCCTAACTCTGGGCCCCCAGCCTGGTCTGAGCCTTTGGGTACAGGTCACTCAAGGCAGGTGTTCTGCACCATCCATCTTCATATCGTCTCTCTCACTCGCACCCTTGCATCACTGTGCTTCTGAGAGTTGGGCGCTTACCTTAATCTACTGTCCCTGACCTGGCAAACAGTGGAAAGGTGGCATGATGTGGCCCTGCAGCTGCTACACCTCTAGGCGCCATCATTCATGCCATGGCTCTGTGACAGCACCCCCTAGAGTTGTGCAGTGTGCAACATGGGTGACTGTCCATGGCAGCTCACAGCATGTGGCTCAGCCCATTGGCCATGCAGGGGGCTCCTTTCCTAGGAGCAGCAGGGCTGGGCTTCCTCTCCACCTGTAGGGGCAGCAGTGGGCATCTTAGGTAAATGCAGGACTCTGCAGCCCCTAGAGGACCCTGAGTGGTGGCTGAAGGATGGATGTGCCCATGGCCTTCCCAGAGCTCAGGTGCCTCAGCTCTGCTTTCAGAGGAGCAGGGCAGCCGAGGGGTGCCTGGCAGAGAGGCCTGCCGGCTGGACGTGGGGACCCTGGAGCTTGGCCTGAGGGGCTGTGGTGGGAGCCGTGCCTGAGCAGGGCTGTCCCGTGGCACACACTCGCCCTGGCTCTTCTGCCCATCACTTATCCCCATGAGGCAGGAAAGACAGAGTGAGTGCGGCTGCCCTGGGGGCTCGGCACTGGGGGGATGGTGACAGGACTCGGGGCTCAGGGCCGGGCTGCCTGGAACAAGCAGACCCTGAGGGGCCCCCTGCAGCAGGATCCATGGACCCATCTACTGGGCCAGCAGGGGCCAGGAAAGGAGAAGAGGGAGACCGGTGGGGCTGGAGGCACCAGTGCGTCTGTGCAAGAGGAGGAAGCCCTGTGAGAGGGCAGCAGCCTCCGGACTGCCCTGCACACCGTGCTGAGAGGCCTGGCGTCCACCTGCAGCCCAAGGCAGCTCCAAAAGAAGGTCCTGGTGCTTCTCCAGGAGGCGAGGCTGGCCCTGATGTTTGGTCCCTCCTCATCGGCCAGCCTCATGGTCAGCCTTGGCTGGTGGCTCCCATGGCAAGGCAGACCCTGGCCTGGACCTGAAGGCTCTGCCTTTGTGCAGAGCCCCAGCCTGACGGTACCAGTTTTCCTTTGTTCCCCTTTGTCCAGCCCTCCTTGGATGCCTTTGCTGTGGGAATCCCAGGCTGAAGCTGGAGGAAAGGCAGGAGGACTTCTTGTCCCCAGCCTCTCACCACGTGCCTGTGCAGCCTGACGTCCTGAGACCTCAACTGGTGATGGGGAGGACAGACTGGTGTCTCTCTGGGGCCATCGTCCTGGGCTCCCCAGAACTGGGAGCCCCTGCGGATCAGCAGGCCCCAGGCTCAGCGTCCTGAGCTGGCTCCTGCTCCCAGGGGTGGCCTGGCACTGGCCCTGCGGTCATTGGACACCCACTGGCCTACGACAAGCCGCGCCTGTTCCTAGGAGCCTGTGTTTGCCCCCAACAGAGCCAGGGTGTGCCTAGCAGGGCGTTCCTGGGCCTGTTGACGTGGGCACTGGGCACTCTGCCATGGTAGGCAGCACTTGGCCTGACTGCCAGGTCATCCCTCGACGCCTGCCCCCCCGCCCAGGCGGGGCTGTGTACAAGGGATAGGCTTCCCTTCTCTCAGTTTCCCTACCTGTCCTCAGAGACCTCACCCCTGACTGCCCCCAAAAGGCAGCAGATGCAGTCGTGGGCATGAAGGTACTCCATGACCCCAGCGGAGAGGAATTACCACATATGTGCCGAGGCAAGGACAGAGTAAGAGTGGGGGTCTCCAGGAGGGTGCTGTGACCCCCAAACCCAGAATCTGTTCGAGTCACGCCAGGGCCTGCCCCGTCCCGATGGACTGAACCTGTGCGCCCAGGGCTGACTCAGCGTCTGCTGAGCAGCACAGGCTGAGAGCCCTGCCCATCCGCCCAGGCTGCAGAAGTACCCTGACCCTCCACCCCCACCCTGCCTTGGCGCCTGGCAGCATTAGCTCCCACAAGGCCTCCAGGTGCCCTCAGACCACCCTCCCTCCTGCCACCAGGCTTCCTGCATCTCTCCACCTCCCAGGATCCCCACCCAGTTCACCCAGCACCGCCCCGCCCAG
This sequence comes from Homo sapiens, assembly GCF_000001405.40. NCBI lineage: Eukaryota > Metazoa > Chordata > Mammalia > Primates > Hominidae > Homo > Homo sapiens. The sequence goes on from NC_000014.9 coordinate 104,733,231, forward strand.
AGCCACTGTCCTGAACTGGTTTCCTATAAGGACTGGGCCCAGCCAGGCAGGGCCAGGCAGAAGTCAGGGCGTGGAGGTGGGGACTCCTGCCCTGCGAAGGGGCTTCAGGGCTCTGAGTGCTGCCTAATCTGCCAGTGTGTGAAGTTACGTCCCAGGAGGGTGAGCCCCCTGCCTGGCATCTCTGGATCTGCCCCCCCTCTGTCCCCAGGGTTGCCCTGCCACGAGGCGCCGGGGCTGTTTCCGTGTAACTCTTGTCCAGATGCATCGTGAGGAGCTAGTGCAGAGGGAGGGGGCCGCCATCACGGAGGGTCCTGCTTGGGCAGGCGGGGAAAGGCTATGTGAGACACCCCACTGCCAGGCTTGTGAGGGTGGGAGGGGAGCTGAGACCCCTCTGCCGGGCAGAGAGCAGTGGGGTGTGGCTGGGAGAATCCCCCATGCGTAGACAAGTTGAGGGCTTTTCTGCCGGGAGGTGAGGCAGGAAGGTGGGGCTGGATCTGGGCTCTGGGGTCCTGGGGACAGAGTGGGCCCCAAAAGGGAAGTAGTGAAGGAGAGACCAGACCAGTCTGTGGGGCAGGGTATCCGTGTGTGGCCCCCCGCAACCCCACCGGGACCCTGCTTACCCTCCAGGTGGAGCTCAAGGAGAGAGGGCAACAGGAAGGGTCCCCCATGCCATCCAGTGGCTGGCCAGAAGTGGGGCTGGAGACCTGGCCTTCTCTCCTGGGGCAGAGACCTTCTGGGGCTCCCTCCAGGCTCTGTCACACTGGGCCTACAGGGGTCTCTTATGGTGGCATAAAGACCAAAAGGTGCTGTAGGGATATCCCTTGCCGTTGGTGGGGGCCTGGCTTCAGGGGCAATGAGCCATCATGGGCCATCAGAGATGCTGCCTCTTCCTCAGCTGTGAAGCGGGGCCTCCTGCCTGCACGTAGGGGAGCCCTATCAGCCGTGCCTTGGGACTGGAGTGTCCCTGTATCCATCATGCCACCAGCCCACCTGCCCTGCAGGAGCAGAGGGTGGGGGCAGCAGGGGACACCCACTGGACCTGTGCCCTGCTGAGCAGAGCCAAGCAAAAGGCAGGAGGGCTTTGGTTCTTGCCCCACCTGGAGAGGGTCCCTAGCTTATCCTCTAGCTTCCACTGGCACAAGAGGCCCTTGGGGAAGCGAAGGCAGTGGCATCCAGGGCGTGGCACAGTTTGCTTGTATCATGTGGCTGTCTCATGGCAGGAGGGGGATTGGAGCCTGCACATGCTAGTCCCAGGCCCTCTCCCCACCATCAGCAGGAATCCCCCCAGAGAGGGGAGCCTGTGGCTGGGTGTTTCCCAGAACAGGGCTGGCTCAGAATGGCTTTTTCTTTTTCATTCTTAGACGGGAGGTGCCTGCCCAAAGGGAAGGGTTTCTGCTAAAGTGGGTGAGGGCAGGTTTGGCCGTGGGGGTGCTGAATTCATGTTCTGTGGGAGGGTTAGGCCTCCTCATTCCTGCATGAGAGGAGCGAGCTCCAGAGCGGGGCCCGCAGCTGCAGAGACCTGCACCAAGCCACCTGGAGGTGTTGGCACCAGCCTGGGCCAGACCCTCCCCGACCCAGGCCCCTGACCAAACTGCTGCCCTCCTTCCAAGGTGCAGGATGCCCACATCCCAGTCCCGCACAGACGCATCAGAGCTGGCCACCAAACCAGACACCCCAAAATCCAACAGCAGTGCCCTGCAGGGACAGACGAAGCCCCATGTGGGTCAGTCCATGTCCGGGGGGTCCTCAGTACCCAAGTGCCTTCAGCTCAGCCGGGTTTCTGTTCCAGGGGGGCAACAACGCCGGCCACACGGTGGTGGTGGATGGGAAAGAGTACGACTTCCACCTGCTGCCCAGCGGCATCATCAACACCAAGGCCGTGTCCTTCATTGGTGAGTGCCCTGCCCCGACCTGTGTGTGAGCAGGAAAGGGGGTGTCAGCCAGCCCAGGAGCCCCACGCATGGGGGCACGGGGCACCAGAGCCTGGTGATGACTGCTCTAGCAGTAGGCTGGACCCCAGCCTCCACCTGCCCCACCAGGCACTGGTGCACAGAAACCTGCATAGCCCGGGCCTGGGCTGGGAACGCAGCTGAGAGGACACAGGGCTGATGGGAGGAGGGGCAGAGTCACATCCACCGCGCAGGAGCGGGAGTGCCTGATCCCTGATCCCTGATCCCTGATCCCTCACATGCACATACTTCCTGTGTGGGCATGGAGACCACACGCCCATGTGCCCGTGACTCCATGTGCATACCTGTGAGTGAGTATGTGCTTGCGACAGGCCTGGCTTCTCGCTGCGTGGCGACCAGGCTGTGTGGACAAGGCCGTGCCCTCCCCGGCCCTGCCGAGCCATGTGGCCGTCCTCTTGCCTGGGCTGCTGTGGCCACGTGGCAGGCCTGGTTCCAGCCCCTTCCCAGTCCGTGCTGCAGAGGGACCTCCTTCCACATCGCCTGCCCCCTCCTGGGTCCGGACACAGCTCCTCCCCTGCAGCCACCTGTGACCACTCAGTGCTCCAAGAGGCGAGCCACCTCTGTCCCCAGGGTTCCGTGGCTCTTTCCCTCCTTCTCTCGGTCAGAAGCCTGCTCTGTGCACCCTGGCCTCAGCTCTTAGCCCAAAACCCCCTTGCTCAGAGAAGCTTTTCCTGATCCCAGTGGCCAAGCCAGCCAGGCCCCTTCTTGTACTTTCCCTTCCAGCTGTTTCCAGACTTCAGCAAGGCCATCCTTGTGATGTATCTGACCCCTTCCCAGCCCGTCAGGAAGTGGGGGTCAGGCGCCTCAGGTGTGTGCCCAGCAGATGCATGGGCCTGGACCCATTCAATGTGAGCAGAGGGAGGAAGATAGCGCGGAGGTGGCTGCCGCAGGGGCCATGTGTGGTCAGGGGCTGAGCTGGAGTGACTCACCCAAGACCATCCCCTGGGGTGCAGACCCAGTCCCTGGCCCTCCCAGCAGTGGGGCCAGGACAGTGTGGGGGCGGTCCCTAGTTCACAGCAGGGAGGCCCTAAGCAGTGAGGTGGCCTGCCCGCCATGTCGCAGGAGCCCCTAGCCCTGGCAGACTGGGCAGTAGCGCTGGCTGGCCGCTCCGGGTTGTGCTGCAGGAAGCCCTTCTCCAGCCGCCAGCCTCGTCCTGCCCAGCCCTGGGCCCCACATGGCAGGAAACAAGGCCAAAGAGGCACCGCTTAGCAAGCGGCAGGACGTGCCAGGGCTCACACAGACACCCTGAGCTTGCAACACTCCGGGCCTCTGCCGCGTGTTTATTTCAGGATGCCGTGGCATTTGGGTGACCTTTTGTGCTCACCATGGCTTGCGTCGTCTCCGGGTCACTCTCGTCTGGACTGAAGTCCCGTCTCCCTCAGCTGAGCCTGTGCCATGGCCAGCCTCAGCGGGAACTGGCAAAGGGAAAGGGGTTCCTTGGGGAGGCAGCAGGGGTTTCTGAAGGCTTCATCTTCAAGCAAGGGGTTTAGAGCTCAGGAGTGTATTTGTGTTTTTTTGTTTTTTGTTTATTTTGAGACAGGGTCTGGCTGTGTCACTCAGGCTGGAATGCAATGGCACAGTCCTGGCTCACTGCAGCCTCAACCTACTGGGCCCAGGGGATCCCCCTGCCTCTGTCTCCCAAGTAGCCAGGACTACAGGCTTATGCCACCGCACCTAGCTGATATATATATATATATATATATATATATATATGCATTTTTTTTTTTTTAGAAATGGAGTCTTGCTGTGTTACCCAGGCTGGCCTCCAACTCCTGGCCTCAGGCAATCCTCCTGCCTCAGCATCACAAAATGTTGGGATTATAGGCATGAGCCACCATGCCCCACCAGAGCGGTGCATTTGTGACAATCGATGAACCTACACTGACAGGTCATGATCACCCAGAGTACATAGTCACCTCTGGGTTCACACTTGGTGCTGTACATTCTACCAGTCTGGACAAACGTATGCTGTGTATCTGCCACTATAGTATCGTACAGAATTTTTTACTGTCCTAAAACCCCCGAGCTCCACCCATTTCATTCATCTCTCCCCCCTCAACCCTCGGCAGCCACTCACCTTATGCTGTCTCCTCAGTTTTGCCTTTTCCAGAATCTCAGAGTTGGAATTGTACAGTATGTCGCCTTTTCGGATTGGCTTCTTTCACTCAGTAACATGCATTTAACTTTCCTCTATGTCTTTTCATGGCTTGAAAGCTCATTTCTTTTCAGTGTTGAATAATACTCCACTGTCTGGATGGACCACAGTTGATTTCTCCTTTTGTTTACTGATGGGCCTCTTGACTGCTGCCGAGTTTCGGCGATTATGAATAGAGCTGCACATCTACGCGCAGGTTTCTGCAGGGACATCAATTTCCAGCTCCTTAAATACCGAGGAATGTGTTTTGCATCCATCACCACCATCCACCTCCAGAACTTTCTTATCTTCACACACTGAAATGCTGAAATATCAAATAACTCCCCAGTCTCCCTCTCCCAGCCCCTGGCGCCTCCCATTCTACTTTCTATCTCTATGAATTTCACTTTTCCAGGGACTTCATATAAGCGGAATCATCCTGTTTGTGTCCGTTTGTAACTGCCTTATTTCACTCAGCATAATGTCTTCGAGGCCTGTGTCAGAATTTCCTTCCTTTTTTAAGGCTGAATACTCTTCCATCGTATGGGTAGACCGTGTTCTGCTTACCCATTCATCTGTCAATGGACAGCTCTTGGCTACTCTGAATAATGCTGCTATGAACATAGGTGTGCCCATTTCATGCTGGGTTGTTTTTTGTTGTTGTTTGTTTGCTTGTTTGTTTTTTGAGACGGAGTCTCGCTCTGTCACCCAGAGTGCAGTGGCAGGATCTCAGCTCACTGCAACCTCCGCCTCCCAGGTTCAAGCGATTCTCCTGCCTCAGCCTCCCGAGTAGCTGAGATTACAGGCATGCGCCACCATGCCAAGATAATTTTTTGTATTTTTACTAGAGATGGGGTTTCACCATGTGGGCCAGGCTGGTTTCGAACTCCTGACCTCAAGTGATCCTCCTGCCTCAGCCTCCCAAAGTGCTAGGATTACAGGCATGAGCCACCGCACCCACCCATTTCATGCTGTTCTTAATGTATGTTTTCCAGTGTCTGGGACACAACTCTGTCTCTCATGCCTCTGTCTCTCATGCAGGCAACGGGGTGGTCATCCACTTGCCAGGCTTGTTTGAGGAAGCAGAGAAGAATGAAAAGAAAGGTAGGTCCAAGCTCCTGCAGACTTGCCCTGTCCCAGACGCGGTGCCCTGAGCGGTTGTTGGCTGGAGCCTTCCTGAGGGTTTCTCCCACGGAGGGGACTGGCAGGGGTGGGTTCCCAACATAGCTGGCCCAGCTCATCACCCGCCGGCTCTACCCGCGCAGAAAGCGAGTGAGCTGGGCAACCCAGAGGCCTCAGATGCTGGTGGCCTCAGCATCACGGGGCCAGGTAGCACCTGGGAAGTCCAGGAAGGAGCCAGGGACCTGGACCAGACACCCAGTGGGAAGTGGGGACTGCTGGCCTAACTATGCCTGCAGGGAAGGATGTGGCTCCTGGGGGCTCTGCGGAGCATCTGGCCAGGCACGCAGAGGCCAGACCCACCAGCTGGGGGTGTGGGCAAGTCAGACCTAGTGTGGGCAGGGACGGACGGCAGCCTGAGTGGGTCTGGGAGGACGCTGAGCTGCAGCCTCAGGCTCAAGGGCGGGACGGGTGTGAAAAGAGCAAGAATGTGATTCTGGGGACATGGGCACCAGGGGGTACCCAGACTGAGGCCCTGAGGGGGCAGGTCACCTTCAGAGTGGCAGCAGCTAGGGAGGAAAGCCGGGCACTCACACCAGCTCTGGCTTCCCAGCCTGGAGTGGGCGAAGCCTGCAGGCACGAGAGTGGGCATCCTGGCGGCGGGGTGGAGTGAGGGTCCGGGAGTCTCAGCTGGGGAGGAGACAACGAGGGGCGGGTCTGCCGCTTGCTGCGCAACAGAGGTGGCCCTGTCAGCCTCCTCCCTGCATGCCTTACCTGGATGGGAGCCGGGCGAGCTAGCCCAGCTCTGGCCCCTCACGTGTGAGCTGCAGCGCACCTGTGAACACTGACCCACCTGTGTGCCGTGTCCCCGCAGGCCTGAAGGACTGGGAGAAGAGGCTCATCATCTCTGACAGAGCCCACCTTGGTACGTTTCCCACTGGAGTACAGGGAACAGCCCCTCCTGCCCCCACCATTGCCAGCCGGCCCTGCTCCTACATGGCCACCGAGATCAGGGAAGTCCCCAAGGCCTTCTTGCTCCACATGGCTCCATTAGCTTGTACATTACCCTTTTCAAAGAGCTTCAAGTTGGGAGCTGGGTCAGGGGTCACTAGCCCATTTGCAGGTGGGGAGACTGAGCCCCAGACACTCATGGTCACACCCCAGTTTGTCCTCTTTGAAATCTCAACCACCCCCTTCCCAGGAGACTCAGGCCAGCAGGAGGTGAGGTCCATGTATACACATCTGTCCTCTGCTTCTCTCCTGTCTCCTGCTGCCCTCACCTGGCCCGCCCGACAGTGTTTGATTTTCACCAGGCTGTCGACGGACTTCAGGAAGTGCAGCGCCAGGCACAAGAGGGGAAGAAGTAAGTCTGCCGGGACACTCTCACCCTCGGGGAGTCTTCTGGGCCCGTAAGCCGGTAGACTGTGGGGCGTGTCTGGTCCTGGGCACAACGAGGAGGGTACCTCAACCCACTCAAAGCCCCTGGAGAATGGCACCGTCAAAATTCCACAGCGCATCACCCAACCCCCGGACGAGCCAGCCCGTCTCTCTCTGGGGTTGCACACTGTCCTTGCCGGCTGCCACTGCCACGCGGCTCCCCCCAGGAGTGCATAAGCCCTACCGTCACCTGTCACACCCACCACCTTTCCTGACTCCACACGGCCCCAGGGAAGACACGAGGAACACTAAAGCAGTTTAGTAGAACCTCAGATGTGCCAAGGACACAGGAGTGAAGCAGATGAGTGTCCTGCCTCAGAGAGGTGATGGTCACACACTTACCCACTCACACTCTCACACAGGCACACACTCATGCTCTTACATACACACCACACGCCCACGCATGCTCGCACAGTTATGCACATGTGCACACGCCACACAAGCCCACACACCCACGCAAATGCACAAAAGTACACACAGCCACACATGCACACACTCCACATGCACACATCCACCCACAGGCACACACCATACCAGTACATCCATGCTAGTGCGTACACCCACACACGCACACACTCACAGCTCAGCCAGACACAGGCAGCAATGGTGGGCACTGGAGTCATGAGCCGGCGGGGGTCATGGCCTCAGTGGGATGCCTGAGCTCCTCAGGGCTCCTGGGTTCTCATGGGTACCCACTCCCCATCTTTCAGTATAGGCACCACCAAGAAGGGAATCGGACCAACCTACTCTTCCAAAGCTGCCCGGACAGGCCTCCGCATCTGCGACCTCCTGTCAGATTTTGATGAGTTTTCCTCCAGGTACCTGAGCCGTCTGCAGTCCCCGGGGAGGATGGGGAGAAGTTGCCGGAAGGGACTGTGGCTAGTGGGGAGGGCCCTGAGGACCAGCATGGACCATGACAGGGGGTGATGATGACTGTCCCTTGTGCAGATTCAAGAACCTGGCCCACCAGCACCAGTCGATGTTCCCCACCCTGGAAATAGACATTGAAGGCCAACTCAAAAGGCTCAAGGTGAAGTCGGGGCCGCAGTGTGGGGGCTGCGGAAGTGCTCCTCCAGGGAGGCTGGATGTCCTACCTGGTGCTCGTTGAACACCCTTGGGGCACACCTGATACTAGGCATTGTTATGGGCTGGCCAACCTTCTTGGGACGCAGGCCTCCCCTGCCCCAGGCCACAGGCTCACTCTGCTGCTTGGCCCTTCCTTGCAGGGCTTTGCTGAGCGGATCAGACCCATGGTCCGAGATGGTGTTTACTTTATGTATGAGGCACTCCACGGCCCCCCCAAGAAGATCCTGGTGGAGGGTGCCAACGCCGCCCTCCTCGACATTGACTTCGGTATGTCCGGGAGGGTGTGCGTGCCAACGACCTTTCGTGCCTGCCAGGGAAGACCCAGCTGCGGAGAGCCGTGGGAACCGATGGGGGAGGGAGGGGCAGACCCGCTTTCCAAGGCCACAGTGCCATCCATGCCCGCGGAAATGATCCTCGTGTCCTTAGTGTTCCTATTGTCAGCAAGGGAGGGGAGAGGAGAAAGGGCTGGGCTAGAGATGAAAGAACAGGGTGACAAGGTCAGGGGTGGGGCCAGGGAGCCTGGCAAGGTGGGTCAGAGCCAGCCCTTCCGATGGTCTGTACAGCCATATCCCGTCCTCACCCCCACGGGCGCACCAGCTTACCCTCACCCCCGAGGCGGCCTGGTCACCTCAGGCCATGCTGTGGGCAACTTTCTCCCTCCTCTCACCCCAGACTCTTTTGTGAGCCACATGGCCCAGCACACAGCACCCATTCGGCCACTCCACCAGGACAGGCCAGGCTGGCGACCCCACGGAGGGGGCCCCCCACGGTTTGAACTGCCCACTGCCCTTTACTGAGAAGGCCTCTTGGGCCGGGTGGAATAATCTACAGGGGGTGACAGGTAGCCCCCTAAACCTGCTCTGTCTTGCAGGGACCTACCCCTTTGTGACTTCATCCAACTGCACCGTGGGCGGTGTGTGCACGGGCCTGGGCATCCCCCCGCAGAACATAGGTGACGTGTATGGCGTGGTGAAAGCCTATACCACACGTGTGGGCATCGGGGCCTTCCCCACCGAGCAGATCAACGTGAGTCCCCAGCCCCTCGGGACCCCGTGGGAGGACAGGGAGGCCAGGCAGGGGTGCCGGGGGTGGGGTGAGCAGTGCCAGGGTGGAGGCTCTGCGGACCTTGCCAGTGCCATCTCCCCATCTCCCACCAGGGCGCTTCCTGCCGTGCAGGCCAGGGGAGAGCTTAGTAAGAGGCGCTGGGGTGGGCCTGTTCCCACGGCCACAGCACGTGAGCTCACACGGGGTGCGCACATGCCCACACGTACACGTGACCTCGTTCCCCTCGGAGTGTGTGAGGCCCACAGGCAAGTGCGGACGCCTTGCAGTTCCTCAGGACACCCTCATTCGGGGTAGCTGGTGGACTCACCTTGGCTCAGAGAGGACACTAAGCATCTTCCCTCAGCCTTGTCCCCAGGTTGGGGGGTCCTCTGTCACAACCAAGCTAGAATTGGGGCTGAAAGCCAACCCCCACAACCCTGCCCAGCTCTCCAGCCCCAGGAAGGTTTCTGGAAGCTGCTGTGGCCCCAGAATCCTCAGGAGACCCCAGCCTTCCTCTTTCACCCTCAACCTGTGACCCTTGGTAGGGCAAGGACATGGCCCTTGTGCCTGAGCAGGAGGAAGGGCAGGTGCTGGGAAAGCCAACACGGGGAGGGGCGGACGCCATCCAGAGAGGCTTGAGAGGGTGCAGGGATACATATCGGGAGATACACACACCCCTGACCCCCAAAGCCAAGCTGCAGGGCCAGGCCCGCCTCCCCCAGCTGCCCATGGCAGGAGGGGAAGACAGCAAGGCTGCCCGTGCCTTCCCCAGCTCACAAAGCCTAGTGGTCTGGTGTGTTCAGGAAGAGCGCTCGCCGGCTCGGGTGGCATTGTGGGCCAGGCCTTGCCCATTGTGAGCCTCAGCTGCTGGACAGGCTTACCAGGGGTGTGGGGATGTCCGGGAGCTGGATGTAAGGACTGTCGGTGGAGGCGGGGCACCCTCAGGGATTCTGAGAGCTGTGTGCAGGGAGGAGGGGGAGCAGCAGGGCCAGGCTGCACAAGGCTCCCACGACAGCTCACATGACGTCCTCCCTGTTCTCATGTAGGAGATTGGAGGCCTGCTGCAGACCCGCGGCCACGAGTGGGGAGTGACCACAGGCAGGAAGAGGCGCTGCGGCTGGCTCGACCTGATGATTCTAAGATATGCTCACATGGTCAACGGATTCACTGCGTAAGCAACCCATGCTGCCATCCCCACTGGGACCGTCCCTGACTCCCGACACCTGCAGAGGCAAGCAGCACTTGACGCAGGGGCTGAGGGCCACCAAGTCTCCTTGGACAAGGTTTCCACTGATCTCGACCCTTCCACAAAGCACGGCCCAGAGGTTAGCGGTATGGAGGCCTGTGCAGGGTGTGTTGGAGCCAGCCGTAGGAGCACAAACTCCCACCCCAGGGCTGATGCCGTGAAGGATGAGGGCATCCCGGCACTTGTGAGAGGTTAAAATGCTTCATGTGGAGAGCGGAAGTACCCAGGACGAAAGGATGCACTGTCATCCTGCTAGAAGGACGGCAGCATGGGTGCCGGCCTGTTGAGGCATCCGCTCTGCAGGCCCCTCTGCTTTCCACAGACTGACCCAGGCTGCCCAGCTGTTCGGGCTGTCTCCCAGGGATCTGAAAGAGGCTTTGTGTGAGGGGTGGGCTCACAGCTTCCTTTCCAGCTCAGTCAGACAGGCCAAGGCTGTGAGTCGCACATCTTTCACCAGGGTTGAGAGCATCAGCCAAAATTCCTGGAGAATTAACCAGACCCCTGCTAGGTGGGTATAGAGCTAATCCGGCAACGGGAAGCAGAGGAACCGAGTAGCTGAGGGTGTGGCGTCTGGGATCCGTGACCCTCACTTTCCTTGTGCGCGATGCAGGGTTCACGGCGCAGCCTCATCACGTGCTAGGGCCAGCATGGAGGACAGGCAGGGTCAGCAGTGCTCAGCAGACCCATCCATAGCCTGCTGCATCTGGCGCCCCTTCAGGCTTTGCCCACGGAGGGAGGAAAAACAGAGCCCATGGCACAGGGCCTGGTGCCGAAGATGGACCAGGAAGGGAGGCTGCCATCATTGGCATCAGTGGGTGGGTGGGCAGGGACCAGGAAGGTGACTAGGACAAGGGTGCCATGCTCACGGGCTGGACACAGGGCAGTGCTGGGCCCTAAACACGGCTGTGCTGTGGGGAAAGTGCACGTGTGGGGACGGGAGGGGAGAAGTGGAGCCTGGGGGAGCAGGGGTCCCGGGGGGCACTCGAGGTACAGGGGACTTGGAAAGGCAGAGATGAGGTGCAGGGCGTGAGCAGAAGCCCCCACCCTCTGGCATGTTTGTCAATGGCGCTTTTTTGGGATCACTTAATCTCTCTTTTCCACTCAGTGTAAATCAGCAGTCCCTAACTTTTTTGGCACCAGGGACCAGTTTGGCGGGAGATGATTTTCCCACAGACAGGGCAGGTGGCAGGGGTGTGGCGGCGGATGGTTTCGGGATGAAACTGTCCCACCTCTGATCTTCAGGCATTCGATTCTCACAAGGAGCATGTGGCCTAGATCCCTCGCATGCACAGTTCACAATAGGGTTCAGGCTCCTGTGAGAATTGAATGACAGGAGGTGGAGCTCAGGCCGTAATGCTAGCTTGCCCGCCACTCATCTGCTCTGCAGCCCAATTCCAAACAGGCCACCAACCAGTACTGGTCCACAGCCCAGGGACTGGGGACCCCTGCTGTAAGTAACAGAAGCGAGAGGTCAAAAGCAAGCGGAAGAAACCCCAGCACTGCTGACCACTTCTTGGGTTTGCCCGGCCCCTTGGCTTTCCACAGGCTGGCCCTGACGAAGCTGGACATCCTGGACGTACTGGGTGAGGTTAAAGTCGGTGTCTCATACAAGCTGAACGGGAAAAGGATTCCCTATTTCCCAGGTATGTGAAGTGGGGCAACCGTTCTGCCTGTTGGGCCGTTTCATGGTATTGGAATAGATAGGACCTGTGACTTCTCAGAGAGGGGTGAGTTCCCACGTTCACAGGACACAGGGCAAGCAGCTTGTCTCCAGTGACCAGCCTCCATCATGGCTTTTGCCTCTCACGGGTTTCTCCCCACAGCGTTCCCCAGGAGGCCTGGCTGGGCAGGGGTGGCTGTAGGCCCCTTCCAGTGTTTTGGGAATGGCTCAGGGGGACAGACTACTCGCCTGGGACCCTGGGGGACCTTCAGCTGCCTTGAGGAAAAGGCCCACCTGCAGGGAGCCACGGGAGGCACACAGGAGTTAGTGGATGCGGTCGGCTCTGGAAGATGTAAAGCTCTATGCGGACGTACAGGATGACTATTTCATCTGAGAAAATACGCTTTGTGGCGAGATTTTTAAGACCTAACCGGGATCCCTGCTCCATGCACCCCTTCTTCTGGAAAGCATGAAGGAGGTGCCATTTTCCTGGGTTTCACAGGTTTCAGTTTCGTGTGCGTCTGGATGTGCCCCCTCGACCTCGGTCCAGGGTCATGTTCTGACCCTGTTCCCCACAATGGCTTCCTCCTCAGCAGCCCTGGGCGAGCTGCTCCTGGCTGGTCTCCACTCAGCAGATCTTTGTAGGCCACACAGGGCCACTTGGCTACAGGAGCCATGTGTGTCCTTGCAGGCGGTGTCCCTGACCCTCCTGACCCTTGACCTTTGAGAGGCTGCACTTGTGAGGACTGCAAGCTCTCCTCATGGTGGTCCAGGGTCCCAGGGGGACACGCAAACACTGCCTGGCTCCAAGGCTCAAACACACTTGCAGCGAGAACCCGTATTCCAGCATCTTCCATCTGTAAGGGTGGTTGTCTTCTACCAGGAGCCACAGAGTCCTGCACAGGGCCGGGATCCCTGCCCTCTGGGAGTTGATGCTCTTGGGGTGGGAGGACACAGATGCTTCAGGATCCCTTAGTGCTTCAGGATTCTAGAGTCTCAGAATTTCCAAGCCAAGGCTTGGAGTGCCTCAGCTGATGTCACAGTGGAGGTTCTAGCAGAGTGGGTAGCACATATGTGTCATGTCCCTCTGGTCTGGAAGGCGTGTAGTGTCTGAGCCCCACTGCTGTCCCCTGCTTACCACCCAACACTGAGAAAATCAAACTGGGCCACGTGCCCACTTGCTGCCTTCCTTGCAGCTGAGTCCCTAGGCAAGGAGGCCCTGGATGGGGGTGGCCGTGTCACCAAATATCCGCTTCCCTGGTGATAGGAGGTCTGTGGGCCCCACTCATCTCCTGTGTGCTTCCCCCAGCTAACCAGGAGATGCTTCAGAAGGTCGAAGTTGAGTATGAAACGCTGCCTGGGTGGAAAGCAGACACCACAGGCGCCAGGAGGTGGGAGGACCTGCCCCCACAGGCCCAGAACTACATCCGCTTTGTGGAGAATCACGTGGGAGTCGCAGGTGGGTGCCCTGCATCCCCAGCCACCCTCCCTGCACCCTGGATGCCCCAAGGGGCCCACATCCCAGCGCAGGGCTTGGTGAGCAATAAGAAAACCAAGTGTGGTCACCAAGCGAATATATTGCATGGCAGGAGGGGAGGACGACTCGGAGCTGGGGCAGTGTGGCTCCGGGCTAGGGTGTGGGTGTGACCTTGCCGGGAGCCCCTGCCTCTCCGCATCCAGAACAACAGATGGGACACATCCCAGCCATATGAGTGTGTCATGTTTACCCTCATAACCCAGAGGTGTTTGCACCTACAGAGAAAGGGTCTGCAGGGAGAGTCACTAAGTAACTAACGTTGCCATTTCCAAGGAAGAAGGGAGGAGACTCCTGTTTTCCGCTGCGGGAGGATCAGTCCCCCAACATGCACTACCTTCATAACTTAAAAATTAGAACTGCCTCCATTTGGAGAGAAAATAGCCCCTTTTACCATTTGAACTACACAGAAAGATACGACACTAAAGACAACTTTTTCTGAACTTTCTGCCTCCAGTGTGTATCATAACAGTCTTTTCTGCTCTCTCAGTCAAATGGGTTGGTGTTGGCAAGTCAAGAGAGTCGATGATCCAGCTGTTTTAGTCACAGACTGAGCTGATCCCAACAGGCCCTGGCAGCGTCTGGACTTGTGTAAACAGCAGCAGTCACGTTCCTCGGCCGCCACAACCAACACCAAAGCAGGAAAACCATTTTCTGTACTTTTATATTTCTGTTCAACCTGTTGGTTTCTACAATGATTTTAAACATTGGAAAGCCAGCCTTGTGTATATTTTTAAAAATTATATTCAAAATGAGCCAAAGTGCTCAGAGACCTTCTATGACACATTAGTGTCACATGGTTGCGTGTCCAGCCGAAGCAGTGTAATAAACATCTCCAATGGCCACTGAATGGGAGCAGTTGTTACATGTTTGATTTGACTTTGTCTTTATTGCTTTTAAACACTGAAAGACAACAATTCACTGTGACAGGAGTCTGGAGGATGTAGCTTCCTAAGAGCTGCCCATGTTTTTTGGGTAACAAAGCCAAGCCTTGTGTTTACTCAGAAAATTAAATAGAACAAGCCCATATAAGAGACCAAGTCAATTAAATATGGTTTGTTTTGAGACAGAGTCTTGCTCTATCACCCAGGCTGGAGTGCAGTGGCGCGATCTCTGCTCACCATAACCTCTGCCTCCCAGGTTCAAGCGATTCTCCTGCCTCGGCCTCCTGAGTAGCTGGTATTACAGGGGCCCGCCACGACGCCCAGCTAATTTTTGTATTTTTAATAGGGATGGGGTTTCACCATGCTGCCCAGGCTGGTCTCAAACGCCTGACCTCATGATTCACCCACCTTGGCCTCCCGAAGTGCTGGGATTACAGGTGGGAGGCACCGCGCCAGCGTGTTTAGTTTTTAAAATGATATTAAGGCCAGGTGCAGTGGCTCAGAGTTCGGAGTAAGTTTAGAAAAACAACTGCCCTTCCAGTATCCTTTCAAAGACAGGGAATCCTACAGAGACGCCAGTCTGGCGGGGTTAGACCCTGACTTTTGAGCACTGTGGCTGTCAGCTGGTCTCGCTAGCCCAGGAAGTTCAGCAGGCTCTACTGACACGGCAGGGGCCTGGGGGCATAGGCTGGGTTATGAGATTCCTGTGACTCCAGGGATGCAAGCAACTTTTCTAGACAGTACCAAGAACAGCCCTCAGTGACTTGAGCGGCAGGAAAGCCATGCAACTGCACGGCTCTGCCCCAGGCCACGGGCGCTTCCTTCCTCAGGCCGGAGTCCCTCAGCAGCACTAGCCACCTTGAGATGGGGTGGGACACACAGGCAGAAGCCAGCCTTTGAGTATTCCCAGATGCTCTCCTTTCATAACACAGCAAGAGAGACAAAAAGGGAGCCCCGAGGCAGGGGTAAGCTCCTGGGGAGAGGGGGCTGCGGGCTTTCTCTACTCAGCCCTCACATCTACACTGGGCCCTCAAAGTCAAGTCATCTAAATTGAAATTTGAGAGCTGCAAAATAGGTTTTCAAACCTCTGTTTTGTAGTAGCTGCTAAATCTTCCACCAGAACACAAGTTGTCATCGTTTTCTTTCCTCTCGGGATGGAAGGCAGGCGTTTCACAGGGTAAAAAGACACCAACGCAGAGGGGAAATACTTCTCCCCCAGCACCAACTCACTCACTTCCACGTGAACCAGAGACAAGAGGCTCTGGCGTCTGAGCGGTGGGTTAGTGCAGACAGGCAGGTCAATCATTCGGGTCTCCACCCCCTTCTTCTCAGTAGCAGATGTTTGGAGGGTCTGAGTGGTTATAGTAAGGGGCTCTCTCCACTTTTCATCAATAACACAGCCCCAGTGTAGATGGGGTCAGAGTGGTCTCTGTTGAATACATGGGTAAAAGACAAATTAGTGATAATTGTAGTGAATTCTTATCATTTTATGACAATATTTATTCAGAATGGCATCCATTCTGAATAAAAGTGGGACTTTCTGGTACAGAAGCAGGGCTCAGTCATTCTTGACAGTTTCTAGCTCCTCACCTCCTCCCAGTTGCCCAGGGTGGTCCACCCAGATCTCTGCTTTATACACCTGCCAGCTGGTGACCAGCTCCCTATGGGACACCTGGATACAACCTACTGGACTCAGCCCCTGGCCCCCACACCCCTCACGGACTGTGCAGACGTGCCACAGTGACCACCACCCAGTCACAGCAAGATGCCATGAAGCTGATGCCTGCCGGCTCGAAATCACACCCCACAGGAAATGCACTTGAGTAACAACACCCTGGACCTGAATACAGATTTGGTGCACAGGCCGCTGGCTCGCTCCCCACCATCTGGCTGGGCCTGCCTGTTCCCCGTGGCTCCCCCTCCCCACTGGCCTGTGAGGAACGCTGCCTCCTCGCTCCCGCCCGGTTGAGTCACACACCTGCTCTGCAGTTTCATGTGTTCTGCTGTGCTGCCTCCTCCAGCTCTCACCTGACCCTTGCACCCAAACCTCACTCTCCTGGTCAGGACTCTCCCAGAGAGACCATCATGATAGGAATGAACTGATCACTGCTCAGACAAAAGCCACAGGCTGCCTGCCAAAGCCTAGAAGCAAGCTGCTGGTGAGAGGAATGCCAGCACAGCTGGATACACAGGCCTGAGGCCATCAGCCAGGGTCAGGAGGCATCCCACGAGAGCACACACTGTAACCCCATGCCCACCGCCCCCAGAGCCCCATCAGGGAAGGGCCAAAGTTTACAGCCACTCTCCAGGAGAGACCTCAAGACGAATTAGAGGAAAACTATGACAATGATTTTGTTTAATGATAATTTTCCTTTTTCCTAGCACTCTGGAAAGCTGCCAGTTTCTTTACAAGTTAACCATCAATCTGATGCAGGGCAGGTGAGCCCCAAAATTGGGGCTTAACCCTGGAGGGTTCATGGCTTCACCCAGGAAGGCATTCAAGGGTGAGCCAGTGGTGTTAGCCAGGCAAGTTTGTTAAAGCAGCAGAATCCTACCCAGCAACCTCTGAGGAACCGGCATGTGGCCTGGGGGACAGCCCCACTCCATAAGCTGCCCGATGTTCTGTATCTGTCCACGATGGTGATGAGACCCTAGGAGAGTTGCAAGTCTGAACACAGGGAAATCTTTAGAAATCCCCACGATCCATAAGATTGAAAACAATCCTCCTCTCTGAGAACTTCATCTATTTCTGGGATAAACCAAATCTGTGTTTAGTCACACGTGACTCCAACTGAGTAACTTTCAAGTCATTTCCCTAAGGCAGAAAAAATTCTCCATTATGCCAGCAAAGTGGCAAGGAAGAGCCAAGAATGCTTGATCCCATCCCCACCACAGGGAACCCTGCACGGCAGGAGGAGAAAGGACATCTAAGCTGGAGACTGGTAAGGTTTCAGCCACCCATGGCTAGGAAAGCATACACTGCCTCTGAGGGGGCGTGGGCAGCTGCAACACGGGAGTCACGTGGGAGGGGTTTGCGGGACTCCAGGCATCACCTCTTCACACCGGAGGCAACACCGATGGAGTCGTGAGAACATAGTCCAGGTGTGTCCAGAATTGGTGGGTTCTTGATCTCACTGACTTTAAGAATGAAGCACTAGGTCCTCACAGTTGACTGTTACAGTTCTTAAAATTGTTATGTCTGCAGTTTGTTCCTTCTGATGTTTGGACGTGTTTGGAGTTTGTTCCTTCTGGCAGACTCACGGTCTTGCTGGCTTCAGGAGTGGAGCTGCAGACCTTCACAAGGAGTGTTACAGCTCTTAAGGCAGTGTGTCTGGAGCTGTTCATTCCTCCCGGTGGGTTTGTGGCTTTGCTGGCCTCAGAAGTGAAGCTACACACCTTCCCAGTGAGTGTTACAGCTCATAAAAAGTGTGGACCCAAAGAGTGAAAGAGCAAAGCCCCAAACATGTGGCAGAACACCAACACGTTCCCACTGCCTGCTCGGGCGGCCTGCTTTTATTCCCTTATCTGGCCCCACCCATATCCTGCTGATTGGTCCATTTTACAGAGGGCTGGTCTGTTTTACAGAAAGCTGATTGGTCCGTCTTGACAGGGCGCTGATTGGTGTGTTTACAATCCCTGAGCTAGACACAGAAGTTCTCCAAGTCCCCACAGAGCACTGATTGGTGCATTTACAAACCTTGAGCTAGATACAGGGTGCTGATTGGTGTCTTTACAAACCTTGAGCTAGACACAGAGTGCTGATTGGTGTATTTACAGTCCCTTAGCTAGACATAAAGGTTCTCCAAGTCCCCACCAGATTAGCTAGATACAGAGTGCTGATTGGTACATTTACAAACCTTGAGCTAAACACAGAGTGCTGACTGGTGCGTCCACAATCCCACAGCTAGACATAAAGGTTCTCCAAATCCCCACCAGATTAGCTGGATACAGAGTGCCCATGGGTGCATCTACAAACCTTGAGCTAGACACAGGGTACCGATTGGTGAGTTTACAAACCTTGAGCTAAACACAGTGCTGATTGGTGTATTTACAATCCCTTAGCTTGACATAAAGGTTCTCCAAGTCGCCGCTAGACTCAGGAGCCCAGCTGGCTTCACCTAGTGGATCCCACACCGGGGCTGCAGGTGGAGCTGCCCGCCAGTCCCGCGCCGTGCGCCCGCACTCCTCAGCCCTTGGGCGGTCGATGGGACCGGGTGCCGCGGAGCAGGGGGCCGCGCAAGAGCCCACGGCAGGGGGGAGACTCAGGCATGGCGGGCTGCAGGTCCTGAGCCCTGCCTCGCGGGGAGGCAGCTGAGGCCCGGTGAGAATTCGAGCGCAGCGCCGGCGGGCCGGCACTGGTGGGGGACCCGGCGCATCCTCCGCAGCTGCTGGCCCGGGTGCTAAGCTCCTCACTGCCTGGGGCCGGTGGCTCCGATTGCGGGGCCCGCCGAGCCCACGCCCACCCGGAACTCACGCTGACCCGCAAGCGCCACGTGCAGCCCGGGTTCCCGCCCGCACCTCTCCCTCCACACCTCCCTGCAAGCTGAGGGAGCCGGCTCCGGCCGCGGCCAGCCCAGAGAGGGGCTCCCACAGTGCAGCGGCGGGCTGAAGGGCCCCTCGAGCGCGGCCAGAGTGGGCGCCGAGAGCGAGCGAGGGCTGCCAGCACGCTGTCATCTCTCACAGGGCGAAGCCCACGCCACAGGACGGGTCGGTTCTGTACCCGCCGGGGCAGGGGAGAGCCGCCTCTGGTGAGCAGAACCCCGGAGAAGGGACGACGCGGGTGCACCTCGCGGCATGGGGACACCAAGTCAGACGAACCCGCTGTGCAAGAACATTTTCCACACAGCGGCGCATACCCCCGCCCGGGGGCGCTCGGCAGCCGCACGCGGCCCTCAGAGCGCAGCCCCCACACGCCTTTACTTCTGGAAGGCGGAGACCGCCACAGTGAGGAGCTAAGCCAGCTGAGGCAACACAGAAAAACCCCCGTTCCTACCCAAAACCAAAAAGCGGGGCGCGGAGGCGCGCGCCTGCGGTCCCAGCTACCGGGGAGGCCGAGAAGGGAGGATCGCCTGAGCCCGGGAGGCGCAAGCTACAGTGAGCCGAGACTGCCACTGCACTCAGTCTGGGTGACAGAGCGAGACCCTGTCTCTAAAGGGGAAAAAAGAGCTAGGAAGAAGCGGGCTGCCTCTTAACTTCGGAGAAGTAAATGAGGAACTATAACCAGTGTCTACCGTTTAGGAACCAAACAAAAGCTGACAGGAATCCCGCCACCGACCCAGCCGCCCCAGACTTTGCCCTGGCCTATCCCGCGCCGCTCCTCAAACTAGACCCGCCCCGACGTCGCCCTGGCCTATCCCACGCCGATCCTCAAACGAGGCCCGCCCCCGATGCACAAGCTCCGCCCTCGTTGCACCGTCCTGACCCTCGGCCTCGCCCCCGCCCCCTGGCTCTTCCCGCGCAGCCGAATGCCGCGACCTGGCTCCCACCCTTCGTCGCTTCGCGCCGCATAGGAACCCCGCCCCTAGTCTCTCCTCCCGCCTATCCTGAGCGGCGCGCGCACAAATCTCTCCCACGGACCCGCCCACCCTGATCCTCAACCTGGCCCCTGGCCTTTCCCGCGGCGTCGAGTCCAGTACACCGACGCACGAGTCCCACCCCCGATCTCTCCCTCGGCCTATCCCGCGCCGCTCCGCGCAGGAGTCCCGCCTCCCACTTCGCCCGCAGCCTATGACGCGCCGCGTCGCTCCCTCTCCTCAAACCCGCTCTCGCCCGCGGATGGGCGCGCAGCTGTGACGTCACGGCGTCGTTGGTAAGGGGCTGGCGGCCGGGGAGCTGCGTAGCTCCCGGCCCCGCGGCCATGCCCAAGCGGAGCTGCCCCTTCGCGGACGTGGCCCCGCTACAGCTCAAGGTCCGCGTGAGCCAGAGGGAGTTGAGCCGCGGCGTGTGCGCCGAGCGCTACTCGCAGGAGGTCTTCGGTGAGTGTCGGGCGGGCTGCCGAGGGTCCGCTGCGTCGGGGCCTGGAACGGGCCGGGCCTCAGCGTCCCCTCTGAGGCCTGAGCGGGGGGCTGGAGGGCCCTGCTTTCTGGCCCCGCGTTCCCGGAAGCTGGGAGGCCGCGGGGACACAAGCTGGCCACGCCCAGGGCTGGGGTCAGTGAGGGGGATGTGAGGACCCCAGCGTTCGCCCACCCTGTCCAACAGCCTGAAAGAAAAGGGTCCCTGCCCCTAGCCCCCGCGCCCTCTTCCACGATCCCGGTTAGTCGCCGCCCTGCAGTGAGCGGCACCCGCCTGGTGCTTTCTCAGGACTGTCCCGTGCAGGATGTCCTGGGAGAGGTTGGGGAGCGGGGCGTCCTGCATGGAGTCAACCCGAAGAGTGCCCCTCCTGTCCCAAGAGGTATTCATGGAGCGCGCGGCCCTGCCAGGCACGGCGGCTTTCTCGGGAGACCAAAGGCAGGCAAGACAGATGTGCCCCGTCTCCCGGGAGCTCCCCAGCCTAGTTGGGGAGACCAGCAGGAGGAGTCGCCACAGGTGGTCGGGGCAGGCACAGGTTTGTGCAGGCGCACCTGCAGGGATGGCACGGAAGGCTTCTTGGAAGAACAGTCTGAGCGGAATCCTGTGGGGGCGAGTAGGAGTTAGCCAGGCAGAGGAAGGGAAGGAAGAGGGCGAGGCAGAAGCCAGGCAGCAGGAGAGCGAAATAGGACTCCGTGTGGCTGCAGTGTCCAGTTCTGGGTGGGATGTGAGGGCAGTGAGCTCCCAGGCCTTCTCTGGCTTTCTCCTGTGGATTTCAGGCGTGTTGATCTTATTGATCATCACTCTGACTGGGGTGATTAATACCCTGGGGCAGGTAAAAAGTGGAGCTTACCTTGCCTAGTGATTGGGACACAAAGTCTGCACCTGTAGAGCAGTTAGAGGATGACCCGGGGTGTGTGATTTACCTGGTGCCGCTTGTGCCTTGGGAATGAGGGAAAGACTCTGCCTCCCGAGGTTCCTCTGTGCGGTGTCTCCAGTGTGCTAGGGCTGTGAAAGCGAGTGCTATTCTGGGCCATGGGGAGGTAAGGGGAATGATGCCGTGGGAACTGTGGCAGGACCGCAATCGTGTGCCCTCTCAGGACAGTTGAAAAATTCAAACACTGTGCAGGCAAGAAGAGGAAGATGGAAATGGGGCCTGGCTCAGTATGGCCCTTTATTCTTCCCGAGTGTCCTGACCTGGGCGTTGGCAGGTGTGTGCCACTCACCGGGTCAGGTCAGGGAGGTCTGCTGGGTGCAGTGGGCCTTCCATGGTAAATGCAGGACACCTACTTTGAACTGTGTGACAGTTTCCAAATTCCAGGCCACAGCTGTTACCCTGATCTCTTAACCTCGAATTGTCCACAAGGCCTTGAGGACAAGGATTAGCCTCACCACGTGTCTGTCCCATTCCTTTCCCCTTATAGATGGGGGAAGGTGTGGGGGGCCAGGAGGAAGGTGCAGGGTGTTGTGGGCTGGCATCAGCTACTCCATGTGAGTTACCCTGTCACTATTATTGCTGCCCACTTCATGTAGAGCCACATAGAGTTTCTGGGATCTCTGCCTTTACTGTGTTATGGTGAGGTGCAAAACAAAAAACAAAGCATTTCTGGGTCTGGCCCTGGGCATCTGATTTTTCAAAGCTCCCCAGGTGACTGAACTGTGGCCTGATGGAAAACCACTGCTCCCAGGGATGGGTGGGTGTTCTAGAACAAGAGGTCTGGAAGGTTCTGGGATGCTTGTCTTGCCAGCAACTCTGTAGCAGGTGAAGGGGGTGTGCTCTGGCCAGAGGCTGTAGGCCCAGCTCCAAGCCTCTGGCTGCTTCCTTGGCAGGGGACGAGTTTTGTGAATTAGTGCTCCACAGTGCAGAGCTCCCTCTGTGCATTCCACAGAGCCTGGTTTCCAGGTGGGGAGTGCTGGGGAAGCAGAAAAGGGAGAAAGGGGACAAGCTTAGTGAGGCGAGGCCAGCCGTGAATTGCAGAAAATGAGCCGAGTGATAGGAGAGGGAACCCTTGCATCAGACACAGGTGGGGCTGCAGGGCCAGAGCCTTCCTGGAGGAGATGACAGCTAAGCCAGGTAAGGAAAGGACGCACAAGCATTCTCAGCATAGAGGCAGAGCAGGACCCAGCTCGCCAGGGCACAACACAGGCTGGGGTTACTGGGAGACAGAGGGCACACAGGAGGACGATGGGGTTCATGTGAGGCTAGAAAGACTCAATGGCCATGCAGGGGCTTCGTTGGTACACAGTGAAGGACGTGAGAATGATTTATCTTCCCCCAGAGAAGACCAAGCGACTCCTGTTCCTCGGGGCCCAGGCCTACCTGGACCACGTGTGGGATGAAGGCTGTGCCGTCGTTCACCTGCCAGAGTCCCCAAAGCCTGGCCCTACAGGGGCCCCGAGGGCTGCACGTGGGCAGATGCTGATTGGACCAGACGGCCGCCTGATCAGGAGCCTTGGGCAGGCCTCCGAAGCTGGTGAGTGGCACCAGCAGCCCTTTGTGGCTGTGGCACTGAGGGCAGGTGGTGGCACGAGCATTTTTCTTGATTTGCAAGGTCAGGCTTTTCCTCCCTGGGTAAGCAGGACTCTGACCCAGAGCTTGGCCTTCTGGCTCAGAAGGCTCCTGTTATCAGGAGGTCTCACATTCAAGACTGGAAGTTGTTAAACAGCTTCTAAGTACTGGGCCAAAAAAGCAGCAGAGACTCCCCGGGTATCCCGTCTGCTTTCCGCCTGCAGCCCCCTCAGATAGTCCCACAAGGCTGGAAACATGCCAGTCCCATCCCTATGCAGTGTGGGGTCTCAGAGCATCACCTGTGTTGCTGGTTAGAAATGCAATCCCCGACTCTACCTCAAGTCTGGTTGGTGTGTCTAGGAGGAGCCCAGGCACCTCTTTGTTAACCAGTAAGGCAGTGGGCCACACTGAGACCCAGATGGGACACATGGAGTTCTGACAAGCAACAGGGGAAGAATGGTCCTTCCAGCACTAGCCTCCAGGTAGCAGAGGGACCTGGTAAGGGAAAGAGCACTGAACTTGGAGTCAACTACAGGCATATCTCACCTTGGATCTCTGTAGTAAAACGGGGGTCCTGTGCACTGTACCAGGCTCACGGGTTGTCAGAAGGATCCAGTGTAGGTGGGGATGGGGTAGGCAGGTCAGAGCCCTCTGCCCTCAGGTATGCATGGAGGCAGGTAGCCCGGCAGTCCCGGAAACTCCAGTCTCCTTGCAGCCTGACGGCTTGGCGTTTCTTCCTCACAGACCCATCTGGGGTAGCGTCCATTGCCTGTTCCTCATGCGTGCGAGCCGTGGATGGGAAGGCGGTCTGCGGTCAGTGTGAGCGAGCCCTGTGCGGGCAGTGTGTGCGCACCTGCTGGGGCTGCGGCTCCGTGGCCTGTACCCTGTGTGGCCTCGTGGAGTAAGTACTTCAGTCCCTGGAGCTGCTGAGATCCCATAGCCCCAGCAAGCCGTGATGGGGGACGGGTGGGTCACCCATGTGGGCCCAGAACACACACGTGTGGCCCCTGATGCAGTGCCATCTGGCATTGCCTAACGGGACATGGTGGCAATAGATGCTTGGCCCAACTTTAGTGGTTAGTAATCCTCTCTAAGGGAAAGCTGAACCTCACAGATGACCTGCTCTGTATCCGGCTCTAGTCCCTGTCTTCAGCCACTTCCTGTTCTGATCTTTGAGCACCCCCACCTCCTCCTCCTCTGGTCTTTGAGCCCCCCCTCCCCCCGTCCGAGGAGCCCCTGGTTGGTGACACAGGTGCACACCGCAGCTTCACCACAGTCATGCGTGCCGTTTGGTTGTAGACCCTCTCAGGCAGGAAGTGGAGTGTTTGTGTAGTCTCCCATTTGTGGGTGGGTTTGCTGCAGCTGGCTGGATCCCGTCCTTACTCCTAAGGTGGGGAGGGGCGTTCTCACCCTAGGGGCTACTCACCTGGTGGATGGGAGTGGACAGTGTGGAGCCTGTTTGCCCTGCCCCGTGAGAAAGATGACTTCATCCAGACACATGTGGAACTGGCTCCATAGACCCAAAGCAAGCTTAGTCCAAACAATGTCTGAAATTGTCCATCTAAAATAGAAACCACATGTTACATCTCGAGTCCTTTCTCTCGAGCCTTTCTTCAGTCGGGGCAGAGGCCCAGACTCATTGGAGACGGAGAGCCCTGGGCAGGGGGGGCAGCACCAGGGAGAAGCGCCGCGTGCCAGTGATCGGCTCCCATGGCTTCAGCATGGGCAGGAGTGGGGTAACGCACCCCATCCAGGTTGGGAATCATCTGCAGGGCTAGCTATGAATGTGGGATACTCTGTCTTTGCTTTTCACCCGCTGAGTTCATCTTCTTTCCTAGAAGTAAACTGAAAAGGGCAGGGTTTTCTCATTGTCTGGTGGCCCTCTCACCAAAGCAGAAGTGAACATAGCCATGGGCAGGTTCAGCGGAGAGGTGGGTCCCAGAGCGCTGCGTGGCTGGCCTCCCACTCCTGCCCTGCACACCATCCTTGAGGGACTCCCTTGCGCCCATTTCCTCCTGGCCTCTACCTACTTTCTGCTGCTGCTTCCTCCCATACCCACAGAGTTCACGTTGAGCTGAGTGGGCCACTGTCCCCACTGTGGACACACTCTTTTATCGCAGCTACAGCACAGGAGGTGGGCTCTGCCCTCTTTCACAAATAAATGACTTGTTCCAGGTCACAAGCCAGAAGTGGCATTCCCAGGCCAGGCAGCCCAGCTGGTGGCACCCGCAGTCTCCTACCCCCTCCCCTGCCATTTCCTACTTCAGGACCAGGCGTCGCAGGAGTGGGGGAAAACAGGGATCTGTCCACACGGCTCTGGTTTAACACAGATGCAGCCCAGCAGCCTTTGGCGTCCTGCTGATGGCCTGCACTGGCCCACGCCTGGCCCGTCCTCTGCAGGGCTCTCCAGCTGGCTGCCGGTGGCGGTGAGGGGCTGTCTTCGCGGCTCACCCACAATACTACTGGCAAACTCTGCAAACCAAGTGGCAAGCAGTTCTGGCTGCCTTGTTGACTCCACGGCCCTGTCGTGTTTGGGGTAGCCATTGCCAGTCCCGTTTCCTCGCAACATCTCTCTTAATCACTTTCTCCCTGTGTTTTGCCGGGTTCCCTAGCCTTTACCTTTAGAGCTTTCTTTTTTTTTTTTTTTTGAGACGGAGTCTCGCTCTGTCACCCAGGCTGGAGTGCAGTGGTGCGATCTTGGCTCACTGCAACTTCCACCTCCTGTGTTCAAGCAATTTTCCTGTCTCAGCCTCCCAAGTAGCTGGAGTTACAGGCGTGCGCTAGCACGCCCAGCTAATTTTTGTATTCTTAGTAGAGACAGAGTTTCACCATGTTGGCCAGGCTGGTCTCGAACTCCTGACCTCAGGTGATCCTCCGGCCTCAGCCTCCCAAAGTGCTGAGGTAAGCCACACCATACGCGTGAGCCACCATGCCCGGCCCTACCCTTAGTCTTGATATATCAGAAAAGCACTGTTTGATGTGCTTCAGTGTAAACCATTGTGGTTCGGTGAATTCTGGCAGGTCATCTGGAGGTTTCTTTGGAGAGCTTCTATCCTACTGGAAACCCAGGTTGGGCCCCATGTGGATTGATCGGCAGTGGGAATCAGCTAGGGCTGCTGTAACTGAGTTCG
The DNA here is from genome assembly GCF_000001405.40 of Homo sapiens. Taxonomy (NCBI): domain Eukaryota; kingdom Metazoa; phylum Chordata; class Mammalia; order Primates; family Hominidae; genus Homo; species Homo sapiens. The sequence goes on from NC_000014.9 coordinate 104,758,991, forward strand.
CAGACCCAGTGGCATAGACAGCAAAGAGGTACTGCCACGTGGCTTTGGAGACCAGAAGTCTGAGAGGAAGGTGCTGGCAGGGCTGGTTCCTTCTGAGGCTGCAATGGAAAACCTGTCCTGGCCTCTCTCCTGGCATCTGCTGGTTATCTTTGGTGTTCCCTGTAGACAGCTGCCCCCTCCCTGTATCTTCATGTCGTCTTCCTTCTCTGTGTCCTTCTCTTCACGTAGTCTTTTTAGGACGCTGGTCGTGTTGCCTTAGGGCCCCCATGTCAGTGCCGTCATCTAGACTGATGATGCCCGCAGTGATCCTGTCTCCAGATAAGGTCATGTCCTGAGGTGTTCTGGGTTAGGACTTTGACGTTTGAATGGTGGGGGGTGGTGGACACAATTCAGCCCCTGACAGCAGCTTTTCTCTCCCCTCCCTGACGCTGTCGCAGCTGCAGTGACATGTACGAGAAAGTGCTGTGCACCAGCTGTGCCATGTTCGAGACCTGAGGCTGGCTCAAGCCGGCTGCCTTCACCGGGAGCCACGCCGTGCATGGCAGCCTTCCCTGGACGAGCGCTCGGTGTTCACACTGAACTGTGGGGTCGACGGGAGGGGTGCCTTTTACATGTTCTATTTTGTATCCTAATGACAGAATGAATAAACCTCTTTATATTTGCACAAGAGGACTCTTGTCTGTCAGCACTTCTGAGGGTGGAGTTTGTGACCCTCCACCTGGGAGGGCCAAAGGAGCAGTCAGTGGGCGGGGCCTGCTGCACCTGCTGTCTACCCGCCAGCTCCTAGAGACCCCACTGTGCATTGTGTGAGGCCCCTTACTCGCCCCCTGCTACAGGTGGGAAGGCTCAGCCCAGAGCACGCTCCTCCCCAGCTCGCCCAGCTGGTAAATGGGGAGAAAGGACCCAGGTCTGGCTCCAGGGTACACAACCAGTGTACTAGACCTTCACGGAGAGAGGTGATACTCGCGCCCCATCCCCAGACGCCACTGTCATGCACGCCTGATCCATCACATCTTGGTGTCCACTTTACTTTTTTGGTGCCTGTATGGTCAGGCCCCGTGTGATTGATAGGCCCCTGCCCTCCAGGAGCTTTGCTCTAGCAGGGGAGATGGGCCCAGCTGTGCTCCCTCTGGAGTCGGTGTAGCTTGTGTGGGGCCTTGAAGGAAGAGGAGTTGACAGGAGAGGAGGCGGGGTGGCCTGGAGGACAGAAGAGGGCAGGCTGCTTGAGTGCTGGTCCCCACACAAGTCGACTGAGGCGGGTCCCAGCCCCTCCAGGGATGAGTGAGCAGTTGAGCCACAGCCCCTCTGAGAAGCTCTGGACTAGAGTAAAGGTTGTTTGGGGCAGAGGGTGGGTGGGAGCATGTGCTGGGGACAGTTGAGAAGAGCCTTTGCTGTTCCTGGGAAGCTGTTAGAAGAGCAAATTATGCTGATTCTTAGAGAAAAGTCAGTGGTGCCCAAGTGGTGGGTTGGAGCCAGGCCCAGAGTGGGATTTGCTGCCCTGGGGCCGAGGATATACCACTCCCGTGTCACGGGTAGAGGGGGCGCTCAGAGAGGTGGTCAGCATGGTAAAATTCCAGGGGGCAACTTAGAAGGGGATTGCAGAGGACTGGCTGGGGGCTTCCTGCAATGAGGACGGCCTTGACCGCCTGCTGCGAGCATCGGGAGCAAGTGGCCACGGTCAGCCACGTGCTGACTCCTTCCAGGTTTCCACAACAGACTGCCACCCAAGCCCTCATTTCTGTTACTCCTGTCGCTGCCCCCTCGGGCCTGTCGGCTCTTCCCTTCACATCCTCTGGCCACATCCCTGCCCCACAGGACCACACTACTCCAGCCAGCCTGCCTCCTTCCCCTATAGGGTCACTACATAGCGCCTTCCAGGCTCCCTGCTTCTGCCCTGCACCTGGCAGTCTGTCCTTATACAGCAGCCAGATCTGTCACTCCCCTGTCCCAACACTCCAGTGGCTAAACATGTCCTTAAAAGTAAAAGTCTGTGGCCCCACAGCCTCTGGCTTCACCCCTCCTCCCCTATCCCAAGGCTTGCTCTGCCCCAGCCAGGCCTTCCTGCTGTTCTGAGAATGCTCAGCATGTTTCCCCTGCACCCCCCTCGCTCCTTCTGCCTGGGGAGCTCTTCCTCTGGACATCCATAGGGCTCCCCCGGATTCAGCTCAGAGAAGCATCCCAGTGCCCTAATGTGTAGGACAACCCCTCCATCACGCTCCCTCTCGCCCTACCTAACTTTACCACTGGACGTAATGCATATTTAAGTAAATATGCAAATGTACTTATTCTAACTCTACTAACTGAGGTGTCGCTTCCGTGAGGGGTGGGACTTTGCCTAGAGCAGTACCTGGCATATATGTTTGCAGTAAATATTGTTGGTCTTCCAGCTGTGGTGGAGCAACAAAAACTGGCCCATAGATGACTATATAGAGAGAGAGACATCGGACAGCAGCCATTGCAGGATAGTAACGCCTGAGAGAGGGAACAAACACCAAGAGCCCAGGGCAGCTGCAACACTGGAGTAGAAATTGCCTCAGTGTTCCCCTAAGGCTCCTGCTGAGGACTGATGGCTCCTGTGTGTGAGGAAACTGCCTGAGGCTGGGGAAAGAGCCATTGGAAGAAAGCGGGAAGCAAGTCACATTCCCAGCACTAAGTGTGGGGAAACATCATTCATGGAGAACAGGGTAGAGGACTCAAAAGGATATTGATGCCATATTCAGGCTAGATTAGCCCTAGACTAGAGACTGCTCTGTGCCTTCCTAACACCTTTAAGTCAAGCCTCAAAAAGACCAAACGGTTGCAAGTGCTTTAATAGCATCCAGAACAAAACTCAAAAGTAAGGGGGAAAACATATTTATTTACTTATTTTTTTTAGAACAAACGAGGCCGGGTGTCAGAGGCTCACGCCTGTAATCCAAGCACTGTGGGAGGTCAAGGCGGGTGGATCACTTGAGGCTAGGAGTTTGAGAACAGCCTGGCCAACATGGTGAAACCCCGTCTCTAAAAATACAAAAATAAGCCAGGCACGGTGGCATGTGCCTGTAATCCCAGCTACTCGGAAGGCCGAGGCAGGAGAATCACTTGAACCCAGGAGGTGGAGGTAAGTAAGCCAAGATCTCAATCTCACCACTGCACTCTAGCCTGGGCGACAGAGTGAGACTCCGTCTCAAAAAAAGAAAAAAAACAATCAAACATGCAAAGAAGCAGGAACTATACCACACAATGAGAAGAAAAGTTAGTCTGTAGAAACAGACCCAGAAATGACACAAGGTGGTAGAATAATTCCGTCTACTAAGTAGACAGGGACATCAGAATGGCCATTATTAAGAAGGATAGACGAAAACAGGAGCATGTTAAGAAAAGGAATGAAAGACATAAAAATGGCCCAAACAATTTCCAGAGACAAAAATACAATGTCTGAGATGGAAAATACACTGATGAGATTAAAACCAAAATAGACATTGCAGAGCAAAAAATTAGTGGACTTGAAGCCATTGCAATATAAGCTATCCAAAAGGGAACAGAAAAAAAATGAGGAAAATGGCAGAGCCCCTCTGAGTTGTGGGACCACTTCAAGCAGCCTACTGTGCCTTTAACTGGAGACCCATGGACGAGGGGCATAGCAGGGTGGAGACAACTTTTGGAAAAAATAACGGCAGGCCGGGCGTGGTGGCTCACGCCTGTAATCTCAACACTTTGGGAAGCTGATGCTGGCGGATCACCAGA